>NC_000019.10:57240874-57582559 GCF_000001405.40 Homo sapiens | reverse complement strand
TGGCTGGAACCCAAGTGCTGAAACACTTCCGAAAGCAAGGGGTCTGTTGTCTCTGAATGTTGGGTGATAACAACCCCATCCCCGCCTTGCCATCAATAGATTTGTTTGAAGTCCTTCCAATCAAAATCCACCCTTCCAGTGCTTACCAACCTGTCCTTCCTAATCCTTAAAAGCTGCCCCAAACCCCATATTGGGGAGACAGATTTGAGCTGGACTCCTGTCTTCTTGTTTGTCGACTTGCAATAAAGGTTTGCTTTTCTCAAAAACCTGGTGCCATGGCATTGGCTTCTGTGTGCGTCGGACAGCAACCCTTTTCCTTATTAACACTGGCACCCTCTAGGTGACACGGTTGTGCACCTCATTACCCTCTGGTCCCAGAGGCCAGCAGCCCCCACAATGGCCACCTAACACCTGCCCTCACCCTCACTGTCCTTTCAGAGTTGCCACATCACATCAAACATGGCTCCCCAAACTTCAAGCATGTGTGTCCATCTAGGCATAGAACTAGCGGAATTGCCTGGATAACTTGGGGAGGAGGGATAGCCTAGTTCGGAAAACCTGCTCTGTGTGGCATGCCCAGGGGACAAATGACCCACCTACTCCTGAGGCCCAGTCCTTCAGGGAGAAGCCCAGCCAGAGATGAGGGAGGCTGCCAGTGGTCACAAAGCAGTAATAAATTCCATCTATGGCTAAACTTATGTGAGACCAACAGTCAATAAGTACCTAAAGAGAAAGCTGAAAAAACATTGAAGATAGAGTGCAAGAAAGTGTGAAGCCCTTAGGATGTGGATGGGTTGTTTTGTGTTTTCTTTCTGTGTTTGTCTATTTGGCACAGCTATTCAAGTATAGCTTGGCAGCGTCATTCATATAGTCCACTAACTTCGATTACTGTTCACCCAGTTAATCCCAAGGGATTCCGCAGGTGTGGGGAGTGTTGACCTCAAGGACCATGACATCTAGCAAGGGACTGAAGATAGTGGAGGCCAGCTCCATCTGCAGGTAGAACATTCCAGAGGGCCCAGGTTTAGCTCCATCCTGTCTTTATTTTTTTGATTTCTTATCTTTAGTCTTTAGGGGTACATAGTAGGTGTATATATTTATGAGTTATATGGTGTAGTTTGATACAGGCACACAGTGTGTAATAATCACATTGGGATAAATGGTATTCATCACCTCAAGCATTTATCATTTCTTTGTGTTATAAGCATTCCAGTTATACTCTTAGTCACGTTTAATTCTTTTTTTTTTTTTTTTTTTTTGAGACGAAGTCTTGCTCTGTTGCCCAGGCTGGAGTGCAGTGGCGCGATCTCAGCTCTCTGCAAGCAACGCCTCCCGGGTTAACGCCATTCTCCTGCCTCAGCCTCCTTAGTAGCTGGGACTACAGGTGACCACCACCACGCCCGGCTAATTTTTTGTATTTTTAGAGATTTATTATAGAGATTTGATTTTAGAGATGGGGTTTCACCGTGTTAGTCAGGATGGTCTCGATCTCCTGACCTTGTGATCTGCCCGCCTCGGCCTCCCAAAGTGCTGGGATTACAGGCGTGAGCCACCATGCCCGGTGAGTTATGTTTAATTCTACAATAGATTGTTGTTGACTGTAGTCACCTTGTTGTGCTATCAAATACTATGTCTTATTCCTTCTATCTGACTATATTTTTGCACCCATTAACTATCCCCACTTTCCCTTCCATTTCTGCTATCCTTCTCAGCCTCTGGTAGCCATCCTTCTAAGCTTAATCTCCGGGAGTTCAATTGTTTAAATTTTTAGCTCCCACAAATAAGTGAGAACATGTGAAGTTTGTCTTTCTGTGCCTGGCTTATTTTACTTAACATAATTTCCTCCAATTTCACCCGTCTTCTTGCAATTGATGGGATCTCATTCTTTTTTTATGGCTAAATACTACTCCATTGTGTATATGCATCACATTTTCTTTATCCATTTATCTATGGACAGTTAGGTAGCTTCCAAATCTTGGCTGTTGTGAATAGTGATGCAATAAACATGGGAGTGCAGATCTCTATTAGATATACTGATTTCTTTTCTGGGTGGTGTAAACTGTATCATATGGTAATTCTATTTTTACTTCTGTGGGGAACCTCCAAACTGTTCCCCATAGTGGCTTTACTAATTTACACTCCCACCAACAGCGTATGAAGTTTCCCTTTCCTCTCTGTCCTGGCCAGCATTCATTATTCCCTGTCTTTTGCATAAAAGTCATTTTAACTAGAGTGAGATGATATCTCATTGTAGTTTTGATTTGCATTTTTATAGTGATCAATGATGTTAAGCATGTTTTCATCTACCTGCTTGCCATTTATCTGTCTTTTAAAATTTTTAGTTTTATGAGTACATAGTATGTATGTATATTTATGGGATACGTGAGATATTGTGATACAGGCATACAATGTGTAATAATCATATCAGGGTACACAAGCATTTATCATTTCTTTGTGTTACAAACATTCTAGTTATAATACTCTTTTAGTTGTTTTTAATGTACAATAAATTACTGTTGACTGTAGTCTCTCTACTGTGCTATCAAATACTAGATCTTATTCATTCTACCCTGTCTTAAGGAGGCCTTGGTAGCCATGCTGAGGTTATGGGGTGCTGCTTCCAAAACCAAAAGTATTATGGGCAGCTGGTATGAAGGATCATAGGCTTATGGTCTGTGAGATCCTGTATGTTTAAGAAAGCCCAGTCTTATTGCCAGTAATTACTGTTTTAATGGTGTATAGCATGAGGCTGAAAGAGACAGTTTCCTGCATTGGAAGCTTTTACTCAACAAATGGCCGTTGTATGTGGTTCAGAGATTCCAAGAGGCATGAGAAGTGTAAACCAAAAATAAAATTCCCAGCCCCCCAACCATCTGAATGCATCCTTCCTCTTGGCCAAGGGCATTCCAAAGTTAATCTGAAAAACTAGTTCAGGACGTGATGGGAAGTGAGGGTCAGACTTGCCCTCCTCCCCTTGGAATTCAGGCACAACTGACCAGCATTAACATTAAAACAGAGATTTTAAGACTTCTTGTAGCAATAAGACAGTGAATTCCAGCCTGATTGTAGTATAGCATTACATGACAGATAGCAGGCCCTGAAAGGAATTGAAGTATTTTACTCTAAACTTTATTTATTTGACATATTTTGAAGAGGCCCTGCAAAGGTGTGTCTTGTGGAATCTGCATTTTGCTGAGAATCCCCTTTCCTCTCCAGGGTTTTTTTATTTTCATGGTCCAGGAAAGAATTAAGAGTCTGGCACCTTTCAAAGTCTGATAGGAAACATTTACAATCTATTCCCTCTGAAGCCTGCTGCGTGAAAGCTTCATCTGCTTAATAAGAACCTTGGTCTCTACAACCTCTTATCTTAACCCAGACACTCCCTTCAGTGGGTATGGGACTGCGGAAATCGGCCAGCGGCCCCTTTAAGGAGCAGCAAGTCCCTGTCTCGCTCTTGGTGTCGCGCCTTTTCCTAGCGCCCTCCGCGGGCCGCTTAGCCCTTGTTCCGGGTGAATCTCAGGGAGGGCACCGGAACCCTGGGCTTCTGAGAACTACATTACCCATAATGCCGAGCGCCAAGCTGCAAAGACGCGGAGCCAATCAACGTTCAGGAACGGACCTGTCTCCGTTTGTTGCATACGGTAAGGCGGGACTTCCGGCACCGCTCCGAGATGGTAATTTTGGTGGTTCTCTACCTCGGCCCACGCCGCCTGAGTTAGAAACGCTGCCTCCGGCACAGAGCGGGGGTCGCCCCGCTGCGCATCAGCCGGTGGGTCGCTGGCGCTGGTGGCAGCCGTGCCTGGGTTCCCGCCCCGGGTCGCCCGCCGCTCCCGGCCCCGCTCCGCTCACAATCCGATGGCGGCGGCCGTGCTTAGGGATTCGACTTCGGTGAGTGCTGCGTCTCCCGGGCCTCACCTGCCCTCTCCGCCGGAAATCCAACACCCTGCATGAGGGGCGCCTGCTTGCGTCCCTGCAGCCCGACCCTAGAGTCCAGGACTATGAGGCCCTCGCGGGTGGGGCTCCCATTTACAAGCCTGGTGTCGTGGGCTGTGGAGGGTGTGGCAGGCGGAGGGGCCGGTTTCTGTGAATCTTGCTGGGACGATTGAGCCAGTAACGTTCACGCCCGAATGGTAAAATGAGGCTCTTTCTTTTCAAGACGCTGAGAGCCATGGGTGGTTGTGAACAGACGAGGCACATGGTCTGAGTTAGACTTTTCAAATTTTTTCTAAAGTTACTCAGAGTTGGAACAGCCTGGAAGGGGGATAACACCGAGGCACAGGGAAGTTGAGTCCTTGTGCAAGGTCCCACAGCAGGTAAGAGTCACACGGAACTGAGGAGCAATAATAATTTAGTCATCACCAAGTCACCTGGCTCCAGGGCTGCGCAGGGAAACAAGGAGGCATCAGCCCATGGAGCTTCCACCATAGTTACCTGCCTCTCATAGCCTTCCTCTTCCCGCAGGTTCCCGTGACTGCAGAAGCTAAACTTATGGGCTTTACACAGGTGAGTGGAGAGTGTTTCGGGCCCTCACTGATGCTGACCCCAGTGTTTGTCTCTGAGATTGTGTTCTGGGACTCTTCTCTTGGCACTCTTTGGGTCCTTGGTTCTAGGAATCCTGAACAAACATCAGTCCCAGGGTCATACATCCAGGCTGGAAGCTGGTATAGAATGGTTCCTATTGCTGGGAACCAGTAAAGTAAGGTGTGGAACGTTGTCTCAGGCTTAGATACCAGATGAGCAAGTGCTTGAAGGTCAGGCTGAGCTGGTTTAGGAAACTACAGCTGTTTTCTTTCTCATGGGAACTGAAAGCTGGGATGCAGGAATCAGACAAAAAATGGCTGTCAGTTGTCGGGTGTTTCTTCTGGAGTGTGTGATGAGCAATGACAGTTTGGGGGCAGAGGAGGTATGTGATCTGATCCAGGTCTCATCAGGTTCCCTGTGTGTGGCCAAGCTGAGAGAACAGGCTGAGTGTGAGGTATGAGATAGGAAGATAGTGAAGAAGGCTGCTGCAGTAGTCCAGGTGAGTGTTACTGGTGGCTGGACTTGTGTGGTGGCTGTGGAGGTGGTAGTTGGATTTTAGATCAGTTTTTTTAAGTAGGGAAGCCTGGATTTTGAGATAGAAAAGTAGGATTTAGGGGTAAAAGCAAGGTGTTTGGGTTTAGCAGCTGGAAATATGGAAGCTCCACTAGCGAGGATTGTAAAGTTGGTAGTAGAGTCAGTTATCTCTAGAGATAATCAGAAATTTTGATATGGACCATCTTTATTTTTAAAATTTTTTAATAAAAATCATCTGAACATGGCCCAATGGGACATCTTTTAGAGTCTGAGATGTTTCAAAGAACAGTTAGTTTAGACATGAAGTGGATAGTTTATCCTACAGGACTAGAACTGTGTTGAGGGATTCAGGATAGAGACATTTAAAAGGTGGTGGCCACTACTTGCCTAGGGGTATAGCTTGGGACACAATTAGGAGGTGGAATCGTGATCACTTTGGTAATGCTATTACCAGCCCAGGGAAGGAAGGTTGGGGGTCACTACTGGCTCTCCTGCTTGGGGACATGGTTGGTCATGGTGGGAATCACAAAGACAGGTATGGGAGAGAGGTGGCTATGGTAGGGTGTGAGAGCAAGGATGATCTGGCAAGTGGCCAAGGATCTAGGAGAAGAGTGGGCATGAGATCAATGCTTGGAAGTAATTGAGACAAGATGACACTGAGACCAGAACTAGTGCTTACTCAGCACTCTGGATATATCTACCAGGGTTTTGTGGCAACCCTTGAGGTGTCAGGAATTTCAGGGAGGTGGATAAGTTGAGGGGCACAGGTGGTCATCTGGGAGTTATTGGGCCTGAGGTGTGGGGGTCCCCTGGGGCAGACTTTGAATGAGGGTTAGCAGGAGAGGAAGGCTGTGACTTAAGAGAGGACATCAAGTGCAGCGCTAGTGCAAGAGGGCCATCGGTGTCAGATCCCCAGGTATTTCTGGGTGACTGAGGATGTAGAAAGGGACAGAGTCAGGCAGGGAGGCCTTCAGAGCAGGGTCTCTGAAGGGCTGCCTTTGGCAGTGGGGACCATTCAGCCTGAGTGGCACCGGACCTCATTTCAGTTTGCCAAGCACTTTCTGAATGTTGCATTCCAACTATCGTGGGGATGCCAGAGAGATGCCTATGGTGTGGGGCAACAGGGTGGAAATAGCCGTGGGAGTGAGATTGTTTGAGAGAGTGTGTGCTTCAAAGAGTGATGTGCATATGGAGAGGAAGTGTGAACTGAACAACCCATGGCCATGGCATTGAGGATATAAGAATGATGGCAAACCTCATCATTGTTTGTATGTGAGTGGCATAATTTTGGAAACCCCAGGAGAACTGTCTGACAAGACAAAATCCAGCCCTATATGCTAGACCCAGAGTTTAAAATGGCATTTCCTGGCCCACCTGCCTGTTGGTGCTGTGGGAAGACACAGTGATGATGGGACCATGAGGAGAGGGCAGGAATCAGTGCCACCAGGTCTTGGTATCTCCTCTGAGGTGGGGCTTAGGTATGGGGATAAGCAGGGAAAGGATGTGTGGGGGGCATGAACTTGGGGTCCTAGGAGAGAATCTGATCATGGAAAGATCTATCCCCATCATGGCAGGGCTGTGTGACCTTTGAGGACGTGGCCATTTACTTCTCCCAGGAAGAATGGGGGCTCCTTGATGAGGCTCAGAGGCTCCTGTACCGCGATGTGATGCTGGAGAACTTTGCACTTATAACTGCGCTGGGTAAGGCCCTCACACCCACTCTCGTGTCCTGGTCTTCGTCTATCCTCTTTTTCCTCAGAGGCAGCTCTGCCGGACCGTGGGCTTTGCTGACTTCCCCACTGTCTTGGCGTATGTGCTGTGGTGTAAGGAATGAAATCATTGCACTCCTTAATCAGCCCTGACATTTGCTGTCCCAAAATGCACAGGGATGGGTCTGGCTGTTAGGTGTCTTGAGTCAGCCTAATGCATCTCCGTTTACTTCTTCACTTCCTCTTTGGGTGGCTGTGTCCATATTCATGGTACTTTGTGTCTCAAATTCTGCCTCCTAGATGACATTTCCTTTGACTACCTGTGTTAGGAATTTGCAGAATTTTCCTCATCAGTATTTACATGGACCATGAGCTGTGGTTGCCAGAACCTCCTTCAAGGATCTGTGTGATATTAATTTTCTTTCTTGTGTTCTCAAGGCTGCTGACTTGCTCTGGGCCACTGCAGGATACTCACCTGTCCCAGCTTTCCCTTAGGACTTGCTTCATTCAGGTCCCAAGTAGTGGCACATCTAGAGGTGGTGGGAAAGCCCTGGTTGTTGGAAAGGGTGAAGATGGGAATATGGCTTCAGAGGAAGCCTGGCCTCAGTCAGTGGCACCTGGGTGAGGACATGGCATCCAGCCTGTTTTCTAATCTTACCAGGAATTTGCCCTGTGTCATCCAGAGTTTGGTGCTAATGCCACTGGACACATCTCATTTCTATGTTTTCTTCCTCTTCCTTGACACTTTGCTGGCTTATTGCTTCATCTGGGACATCCGGCCTCGTGCTGCCCCCATCTTCCTGCCCTCCATGTGTCACCAGTTTCTCTGCACTGCCCCCCAGCATGTTTTCCAACACTGACCCACTCACGATATGTTGTGAGTTGTGCACATGCCAATTAAATATTTCTTGAACACAAGATCGCAATTGGAATCTCCCACTCACTTCCAATTGCATTATCTTGGGCCCGAATAATGCCAGCTTTCAGCACAGCATACACGTGCCACCAGCTGACAAGATCTTGCCACAGGATTTGGCAAAAGAATAGATTGGAGACCCTGCCTCTCCTTGTGTACTGTACCCCATTCTTACGTCCTGTGTTTGGTGAGGCCTCCCCATTTTGTGATCTTTAGAGGCCCACTACTGCCAAGCAGCCTCTTTCTTATCCTGCTTTCAGTTCCTCAATATTGCTTCAAAGCAATACTGTGAATTCATTCCTTGATGTATATGTGAAGGTGCTTCCCATTTCCTGTTATGTACCCACAGGATTTTAATTAATGGAGGTAGTAGAGTGCCAATACAGAGAGGTTAATGTCAGTGACATAGGAATTTATCACCTGCAGTAGCAAGAGCATGTGAACACCATGCCATGCAGGGCCACATGAGGAAGTGCTCAGTGGTCAGAAGGTAGAAGCAAGAGAGGAGGGAAAATATTAAGCCACAGCCTTTATTGGGGTTTCTGCAGGTAACACAAGACATAATAAACAGTTTAGGATTGGGTAATTTGAGTAGTTTGCTTTGGGGCAAAGGGGCTCACTAGGCGTAGTTGTCTCCTGCCTGACCTTGGGATGACTAGAGCAGAGGAATATTAGCTCCTGAAGCATCCAAGTCACATAGAAAATGTGATTGGGAGTATGGGCTCTGGATTGATGGTGTATTTGTTATGCTCCTTGCTGAGCCCTTTGCTATCTCTTTAAGAGTTGGCTCACTCTGGAAGCACCATTCTCTCCCCAGCCAGCAATGTTTTTTATTTTGTTTTGTTTTGTTTTGTTTTTGAGACAGTTTCGCTTTGTCTCCCAGGCTGGAGTGCAGTGGTGCGATCTGGGCTCACTGCAACCTCTGCCTCCCGGATTCAAGCAATTCTTGTGCCTCAGCCTCTTGAGTAGCACCCACCACCACGCCTGGATAATTTTTTGTATTTTTAGTAGAGCCAGGGTTTCACCATATTGCCCAGACTGGTCTCAAACTCCTGAGCTCAGGCCAGCAAAGTTTTTAAGATGTCAGAACACCAATTATTCAGAAAATAGTTTTTTAAATGACTAATACACTCCCATCATAGTCAACGTGCATTTCATCAGTGTTTCTCTGCTTTCAGTTTGTTGGCATGGGATGGAGGATGAAGAGACACCTGAGCAAAGTGTTTCTGTAGAAGGAGTACCTCAGGTCAGGACTCCAGAGGCCAGTCCATCCACCCAGAAGATTCAATCCTGTGACATGTGTGTCCCATTCCTGACCGACATTTTGCACCTGACCGATTTGCCTGGGCAGGAACTATACTTGACTGGGGCATGTGCGGTCTTTCACCAGGACCAGAAGCATCATAGTGCAGAGAAACCCTTGGAAAGTGACATGGACAAGGCCTCATTTGTGCAGTGCTGCCTGTTCCATGAGTCAGGAATGCCTTTCACCAGCAGTGAGGTTGGGAAGGACTTCCTAGCCCCATTGGGCATTCTTCAGCCGCAAGCTATTGCTAACTATGAGAAGCCAAACAAAATCAGCAAATGTGAGGAGGCCTTTCATGTTGGAATAAGTCATTACAAGTGGAGTCAATGCAGGAGAGAGTCCAGCCACAAACACACTTTTTTTCACCCTAGAGTCTGCACTGGAAAAAGGCTTTATGAATCTAGCAAATGTGGGAAAGCCTGCTGCTGTGAGTGCTCCCTTGTTCAGCTGCAAAGAGTCCACCCTGGAGAAAGGCCTTATGAGTGCAGTGAATGTGGGAAATCTTTTAGCCAAACCTCTCATCTGAATGATCATCGGAGAATCCACACTGGAGAAAGGCCTTATGTGTGTGGTCAGTGTGGGAAATCATTTAGCCAAAGAGCCACCCTCATTAAACATCACAGAGTTCACACTGGAGAAAGGCCTTACGAGTGTGGTGAATGTGGGAAATCTTTTAGCCAAAGTTCCAACCTTATTGAACATTGCAGAATTCACACTGGAGAAAGGCCTTATGAGTGTGATGAATGTGGAAAAGCCTTTGGGTCCAAATCCACTCTTGTTCGACACCAGAGAACTCACACAGGAGAAAAGCCATATGAGTGTGGTGAATGTGGGAAATTATTCAGACAAAGCTTCAGCCTTGTTGTACACCAGAGAATTCACACTACAGCAAGGCCTTATGAGTGTGGCCAGTGTGGGAAATCATTTAGCCTAAAGTGTGGCCTCATTCAGCACCAGTTAATTCACAGTGGAGCTAGGCCCTTTGAGTGTGATGAGTGCGGAAAATCCTTTAGCCAAAGAACCACCCTCAATAAACACCACAAAGTTCACACTGCAGAAAGGCCTTATGTATGTGGGGAATGTGGGAAAGCTTTTATGTTCAAATCTAAACTTGTTAGGCACCAGAGAACTCACACTGGAGAAAGGCCTTTTGAGTGCAGTGAATGTGGGAAATTTTTTAGACAAAGCTATACCCTCGTTGAACACCAGAAAATTCACACTGGATTAAGGCCTTACGACTGTGGACAGTGCGGGAAATCCTTTATCCAAAAGTCTAGCCTCATTCAACACCAAGTGGTTCACACAGGAGAAAGGCCATATGAGTGTGGCAAATGTGGGAAGTCCTTTACACAACACTCTGGCCTCATTCTCCACCGAAAATCTCACACTGTGGAGAGGCCTCGTGACAGCAGCAAATGTGGAAAACCCTACAGCCCAAGATCTAACATTGTTTAACTCTTGAAACTCCAAACCTGAGAAAAGCCTTAGACCTGCAGGGAATGTGCCATGTCTTTCTTCAGTGTTATGGCTATAGAGAGCCTTTGTGAAGGAGCCGTCTGCCTAAAGTTAAACCTCATACTTCTAGACCTCCCGATGGGTCAGACTCCCATTAGTTCCAGGCATATGTGTCTTGCAGGAGCTCCTTTGCATGTTCTAAACTGCTGGAGGCCTTTGCCAGAGTTAAATCATTAGTCACCCTTGCATACTAAGGCGAGGCAGATACACCTGTGTTCTCCCAACCCTTGGAGGAAATTCCTTGAGCAGTCTGAGCCTTTAAGGGGAATTCCTTCCCTTTTCTGACTGATTACAGCATACATCTGACCAGTTTTGGCCAGAAGGGCCCAGCCTGGGTTCTGCTGGAAGCTGATGTGGAAGGCTTCCCTTCATGGAAATTCTTGTTTTCACACAACACTTGGTAGTTTTTCCAGCCTCCAAGTCACCACCTAGTAACTGGCTGCCTCACATTGCTCTGGTTTGTGTGGTAATAAAGGCCTTATTTTTAAATCTATGTGTGGTCTTAGGGTTTGGTTTACTGTGTGAGGTGGCTGGAAAACACATTTGGGCTCCTACATAAAGGCATGGACAGCTTTTGTGGGGCCCCAATGTTGCTGGCCTGTGCAGGAAAAGTAAAATGACAGTAGTTCTTGTTCTGGTTTTAGTCCACTTTGCCTTGCTGCTCAAGGCCTCCTAGGAAACAATGCAAGAATTTTGTTGTCCTAATTTATGGCCTGGATCCCTACACTTTCTCTGGACCAGAGGTCATCCTGAGGACAAGTCGGCTGTTATGACAGGCTCCTGTGCTTTAGGGAATAAGATGGATTTATTGCATTGTTCTACAGGCTGTAATGCCCAGCACTGTTGAGACGAAGCTTTTTCCCAGCTTCTGCAAAGGAACCTATGTGCCCTGATGCCCATGATTCCATAGATGGTGGTACTCAAGCTGATGGGAGCTAAGCATGGGACATAATTGGTACAGAAATTTTGGGTATGATTAATAGAAAGTGGAGGAGGTAATAGCAAAACAAATGTGCCTGTGGTAAAAGTGCATCTACACATCTAGTAACTGGCTGTGTCTATTTTTACAACACACACAATCTCCTTGTACAAGGTGTGACAGTGTAGGCATAGCCTGGCTTAGAGGGAACAGCTCCATTCTGCAGCATGATTGTCAGAGCATGGAGCCAGGCAAGCAACCTGGAGGATTACTTGGGATGATTTAATGTGAGTGCAGGAGGACATGTGGGAGGTAGAGAATCAGAAGGAGCCTGGGTAGCAGAAACCTTAACTTGGAAATGACATCCCCCATCATAGGCTTTATCCTCTGCCACAGTTACCCTATTTTCAGAGGCAGTGTCCCTCACCCTTGTGCCCTACATGGAGCTCAACCCTCAGATGTCCTGGTTCTCTGTGCCTTTCCCAGTGACCAAGCAATAGGTTCTAATATCTAACAGTCTGAGGTCAACTTTCTGTTTGACTTGCCAGGCATTGGTGCCTTTCAAGGTCATGGCCCTGACCTTCATCTGGTAGAAATGTGGATATTTGGGCCTGGCCCAGAGGACACTGCACCAAGATGTGAGGCTGCAGAACTGTGGGCTCTTGGTCTTGCTGGGTAAAGCTTTATTTCTGTCCCATGTGGGTGACCCTAGTCCTCTGATTCCATCCTCTTGCACATACTGCCTGGTGAGAAAGGCATCTCAAGCCCTTCTCCCTCTACCCACAGGTCCTGTTGTATTCTCTGTTTTGGTCTCACATGCTTTTGCCTGGTCTCCCTGTGTCTGCACTGGGGATCACTGGGGTAGAAACAGCCCTTTAAACACAAATCCTCACCCTAGTGCCCAGCACACTCTGCCCTCTGTCTGAGGTCCTTATTCCAGAATTCAGGCAAGAAAACTTGATCTAGCCTGGTTGGGTCAGGTATCCCCAGAGATTGGTTAACAGGACTGTGGGTAGTGGATTATTCTCGAAGAAGGGGCTGAGCTAGGCAGGACTCCAAGGTAGCATGTCCATCAATATCCCCCAGGTATCTTATTATATAATGCTGCCTCTTTTTTTTTTTGATGGAGTCTCACTCTCGCCCAGGCTGGAGTGCAGTGGCATGATCTTGGCTCACTACAAACTCCACCTCCCAGGTTCAAACGATTCTCCTGCCTCAGTCTCCTGAGTAGCTGGGATTATAGGCGTGTGCCACCACACCCGGCTAATTTTTGTATTTTTAGTAGAGATGAGGTTTCACCACGTTGGCCAGGCTTGTCTCAAACTCCTGACCTCAGGTGATCCAGCTGCCTCGGCCTCCCAAAGTGCTGGGATTACACGCATGAGCCACTGCGCCCAGCTGCTTTTTTATTTTTTAAAGAGCTCCTTATGTCAGCATGAATTATCCTCATTTCCTGAGGCCTAAGTTATATTCTTCCAGTGGTAAGGGAGATGGTTTTAGAAAGCACAGAGGTAGGACATCAGGTGGCGTTGTAGGGCAGGTGAGCCCCAAAATTGGGGCTTAGTCCAAGAAGGTTCTTGGCTTCACTCAGGAAAGAATTCAAGAGCAAGCTAGTGGTAGATGGAAAATAGCTTTGTTGAGGCAGCAGGGTTACAACTCTGTGGCTGCTCCTACAGAGCAGGGCAACCCCATAGGCAGTGTGTCGAGTATCAGCTCAGGGGGCAGCTCTGCAATCATATTTATACCCGCTTTTAACTACATGCAAAGGGTGGGTTATTTGGAAATTTCTAGAAAAGGGATGGTAATTTCCGGGTGTTGTCATGGTGATGGTAAACTGCCATGGCACTGGTGGGTGTGTATTATGTAGATATGCTCTTGGTGCCTGTTCCCTGTTTCAGCCAGTCTTCAGTCTGGTATGGAGTCCTGCCTCCTATCTCACTCTCCCATCAGAGATTAGATACTCCTCTTTAATCTTAAGGGGGCTCTGTGACTGCTTGCTGCTGATTTTGTGGGCCTAGGCCCTGCCTAGCACTAAAGGAGTAAACATCCCTGGATACCACATATAAGGTCCCCAAAGGAAGGACACTTCCATTCTCTGGAATAGTAGACAAGGATGGGTTGGAAGCCTTGTGCCAGCATTGTCTTTACCTGGAACTAGAACAGGATACCCCAACCCCTCTCCTGTGGATACTGGTCCATGTCCTGTTAGGAACTGGGCTGCACAGTAGGAGGTGAGTGGCAGGTGAGTGAGCATTACTGCCTGAGCTCCACCTCCTGCCAGATCAGTGGCAGCATTAGATTCTCATAGGGGTGCTAACCTTATCATAAACTGTGCATGCAAGGGACTGGGGTTGCACACTCCTTATGAAAATCTAGTACCTGATGATCTGAGGTGGAAGAGTTTCATCCTGAGACCAGCCCCCAGCCCCAGCCCCACATACCCCATCCATAGAAAAATTGTCTTCCATGAAACTGGTCCCTGATGCCAAAAAGGTTGGGGACTATTGATCTAGAAAACACAAACTTTACTAAGAGGTTAAACAAGCAAGAGCCAAAGAAAATATACATAACAGGGTCACTTGCTTATAGATCTTTTGAATGTTAACCTATCCAGAGTTGCTAATATATGTGCAGCAGGTTTTATTAACTGCACAGACTTTACCTTGTTCCGCTAGTAGATAATCTAATGCCAGTGTGTTATTGAGAACTGCATTTGCCAAAGAGTCTAGAGATTCTTGAATTGCTGGTAGTGCCTAACCTGTGTTGGTGGCTAAGGATTCTAGAGTTTGAGTCAAGTTCTTTAGGGTTGACTTGTGGTAGGCAAAGCCACCCTAGGGTGCTGCTTGTCCTATGGCTGCCCTGATTCCCACCAGAATTAATCCTATTGCTTGTTGACTTCTGGTGTTCCTGGGCCTTATTGGGTTATAGACTGTGACCCTTGGAGGGGCAAGGGTGGTCAACATACATTTATCTTTGTTCCAAGTTTTTGATATATAAGGGAAAGCTACTCCTAAAAGAACAGATGGCTCCCTGGGGAGCCAGGAGTAGTTACAGCATGTGACTTCTCATTCATGGCCACAAACAAAAATGAGTCCAGTTGGAGCATAGAGGTCCTACAGGGTGTAATGTCTATCCTTTGCTGCCAAGTTGGGTCTATAGAGATATTCTTCCCCTGTTCCAATGGGGGTGGTCAAACAAACCTTGTTTTCCAGAAGCGAATAGTACTCCCACCCTCCCAGATTAGGCAGTCATTTTTTCCCGTGTGTTCTGGTCTGGGAGAAGACATCATATATGGTCTTCTTGCCTACAAGTGAAATACCATTTACCTTGCTGTTGCCTTGGAAACTTGGTAACTATAGTTAGATCAGAGCATCACAGGGAAACGTCTGCTTTTGTGTCATTAACATAGTAGTGAGTGCAAAAGAATCATTAATGCACTGGAGATATACTCAACTTTTCAAGTCCAGGTATAATGGCAAGTGTGGAAGGGGACATTCAGGTGGAATCCATTAAGTGAAGGAGAGTTCCACTGAATAAGTAGGGGTTTTGGTACTTTGGGATTGCTATGGTTAGTTAGAAGTACTGGGTAGATGTCTGTGAGGTTTTCCAGATAGGCCAGAAGATGGAACTCTAGATCCTGGGGATGTTGATGACAAGTCCAGCAACCATGAAGATGATTCCCTGACACTATAATTTTTGAACTGTTTACTATAGAGGTTTGATCTAATTAGAACAATTAGAGGATTTCTGTCTAAACTTTCACCTAGTGAGAGCTTTTTGTCCCTAATGACAGACATTCATGGCACTGTATAGAGGGGATATTTCATGCTGAGTGAATACCCTTCTCCCTCTCCATTTGGGTTGTGTTTTTCCTCCATGTAAAAGCTCAGGACTGCCCAATGAATCTAGACAGTTCCATTATGAGACAAGTTAATTTTCTTCTTCTGGAAGGCATACAATGGGGACAGCCTATTAAGCCCAAACCTCTCTTTCTAACTTCTTCCTGGAAAGAATTTGGAGTCAGAGTTCTTATTTAACATTTCAGATCCTACAGCGCCACCAAGTGAAATAGGATTTTTTCTCCATAAGGAGCCCTATCTGCCCTTTGTGCAAAACCATTAGTTCCCCAATTCCTCTCCCTCCTGTGTGCCTCTGTTAGGGACTAAGCTCCATGCTCCATCTGTTAACAGCAAAGCTGTACCTTTAACAGTCGGGAGAACAGCCACTCAATCCTTATGTTCTTTTGAGTCACCTGTTCTGCATTGAACTACACTGGCATTTAAATAAAAAGAAGATTTCATATTTGGAAGTCAATCGGTCCCATTCTCTGGGATTTCAATGTTTTGCTAGGGCCATAGCAAGGGAAGCCAGAGATAGTATTAAAACACTCCCTCCATTAAAGGGTCTCACCCAAATACAATATCTCCCAGACCACTAGGGTACCCTGGGAGCCTTATGGGCCACTTGGGACTAGGAAACCAGCAGCGTGGAGAGTCAGGTCCTCATACAGGTAAGCATGACTATTACACCCAACTAGCTCTTCCAGATCCACGGGTGAAGGTCATGCTTGCATCCATGGGTGACACCTATGATGGTGGCCAGGACCCAGAGTATGGGAAGAAAGAGAAGTGGGATGCACTTTCGATCTTTCCCTCCACCCTGGGTCACACCAAAAAAAGGAAAAAGACCAAGGGACGCCTTTTCTCCTACTCTTTTTAAAACAGGTAACAAACCATCTTCAGTCTGCACTCCTCTTGAGTGCATCCTGAGACACTGAGACTTTTAACCCTGAGACTGAAGAAAAATGGCTTATATTCTTCTGTACGAGGACATAGCCATCTTACCAGCTCCAGGATGGATAGGCCTGGGCTGCTGAGGGAAGTGTTAATTTCAATAATATCCAATAACTAGATCTTTTCTGCACGTGGGAGGGCAAACGGTCTGAGGTCCCCTATGTGCAAGCCTTCTTTGCCCTGTGAAACAGCCCAGCTCTTTGTAAGCACTGCAAAATTGACTCTGCCCTCTTAAGAGTCATATCAGACAAGCCCACAGTGGACAACACCGCAAAGTCAGAAAACCCCCTCAAATGCAACTTCTGGATGCTCTACCTCCCCATCCCTTATCTGGGGCCTCCAATAGCCAAGCATCAGCTCCTCCAGCTGTGCCACACAAGAAAACTCAACTTCACTGTTGACCCTGCAGGAAATGCCCAATGGACATGGTGCCACTAGAGTTCAAGTTCCCATATCATTGCAGTACCTTAGACAAACAAAGGGGGTCTTAGGCAAGTTTTTGGATGACCCTGATAGATACATAAAAGCTTTCTAAAATCTAACCCAAATGTTTGATCTTGCATGGGGAGATGTTATGTTACTCCTAAGCCAAACTCTAACTGCTGCTGAGAAACAGGCAGCCCTAAGGCAGCAGAGAGATTCACCGACAAACAGCATGTATCCTATAGCCAGTCAAAAAAGAAACCCAGTCAAAAGGGGAAAGAGGGTAAAAAAGAGACAGGATTCCCATTCCCAGTAGGAAGATAAACAGTGCCCCTTGAAAACCCTAAGTGGAGACTAGTCATCGCATAGATGAGTGGAATACACTTTCTGATGTGCATATTAAAAGGCTAGCAAAAAACAAAACCAAACCTCTTAATTACTCTAAACAATCCATGTTAAATCAAAAATCAGATGAAAATCCCTCAGCCGTTATGGAAAGGCTGAGAGAGGCCTTAGTGAAACACACCTCCCTGTCTCCCAATTCAATAAAGAGCAGGTTTATTACTCAGGCACCCCCCGATATCAGAAGGAAGTTGCTGAAACAGACCCTGTCCAAATGTTTTTCTAATTTTTCTCACCCTCAAGTTTAAACTTTGAAGTATATAAATGACAGTCTCCTCTGTGCTCCAACCAAGGAAGTAACAGGAAAGCACTGAGGCTCTCTTCAATTTCTTGGCAGAAAGGGGATATACGACTTCAAAATCTAAAGCTCAGCTCTGTCAGACTTCAGTAAAGTACCTAGGTCTAGTCTTATCAGAAGGGACAAGAGCACCAGGTAAGGAAAGGATTAAGCCCATTTCCTTTAACAGTTAAGGGGATTCTTAGGAATTACTGAATTTTGCAGACTGTGGGTACCTGGATATGGTGAAATACCTCACCCTTTATACCACCTCATAAAAGAAACTCAAGCAACTAATACTTGGAATCTTAAAACTCAAAAGCCTTAACCAGTTAAAACAAGCATTACTTAAAACACCAGCCCTCAGTCTTCTCATAGGGAACACATTTAATCTCTATGTATCAGAAAGAAAGGAAACGGCCCAGGGAATTTTAACAAAGGCTCGAGGTCCAGCTCAACAGCCAGTGGGTTACCTAAGCAAGGAACTTGACTTGGTGGTTAAAGGATGGCCAGCCTTCCTCCAAGAAGTTGCATTGGTGGCTTTGCTCGTGCCAGAGGCCACCAAGTTAATAATGGGAAATAACTGTTTGTTTGTTTTTTGTTTGTTTGAGACAGAGTCTCGTTCTGTCACCAGGCTGGAGTGCAATGGCGTGATCTCGGCTCATTGCAACCTCTGCCTCCTGGGTTCAAGCAATTCTTCTGCCTCAGCCTCCTGAGTAGCCGGCACTACAGGTGTGCACCACCATGCCCTGCTAACTTTTGTATTTTTAGTAGAGATGGGGTTTCACTATGTTGACCAGGATAGTCTTGATCTCTTGACCTTTTGATCCACCCACCTCAGCCTCCCAAAGTGCTGGGATTACAGGCATGAGCCACCGCACCCAGCCGGAAAATAACTGTTTAGACCCCACATAATATAGCAGGACTGCTATCCTCTAAGGGAAGTCTCTGGCTAACAGACAATTGCCTCTTCAAATATCAGGGCTTGCTGTTAGAGGGATCTACAGTCCAGTTAAAAACCTGTCCTTGCCTGAATCCAGCCACTTTCCCCAAAAGTAAACTGGAGAACCTGAACATGATTGTGAACAAAGAGTGATGCAAACCAGTAAAAAAAAAAAAAAGATAAGGATCATTGTTTATATTATCTGTAAAGTTTTAATTAGTAAAGAAGAATTTTATGAAAGAGCACTCAGCTTAATTAAAAGTGGATACCCAAGTTATAGGTGTCCTTGAAACGCCTTTATGTTTTTCTCTTCTTAGATCTTGTTTTTCTGGAAAAGGTTTGTATCTCAGTCAACTGAATTACTTTTCTCCACTCTGTCTTGCCAATCTTGGTGCATGCATGAAAGGCTCAAGGATGACTTCTGGTGGCCTTGGACTCCTTGAGAAAACAGACAAGGTGCCACAGATTCAATTTGGGGGAAATCTGTTTTCCTCATGGAACCCCAAGAATTAGAGATGGATAAATCCCTCTCAAAATCTGTTTTGGCCTTCGAGCTATGCCTGTTTATTAGGCCCCAGAAACTGCATGCTTTTGTAGCCTTATTCTTAAAGGGCTCCACCCTGAGCTGCTGGATCTTCTTCTGTCTGTGTAGTCATATATGTGTTGTGTGATGTCTATAAAAAAGAGCTGTAATTGATTGGCCTATAAGCACTTAGATCAAATAAAATTCTTTTTTTCCCAGACTGAGTCTTGCTCTGTCACCAGGCTGGAGTGCAGTAGTGCGATCTTGGCTCACTGCAACCTCCGCCTCCCAGGTTTAAGCAATTGCTCTGCCTCAGCCTCCCAAGTAGCTGGGATTACAGGCACGTGCCACCATGCCTGGCTAATTTTTTGTATTTTAGTAGAGATGGGGTTTCACCATGTTGGCCAAGATGGTCTCAATATCCTGACCTTATGATCCACCCACCTCAGCCTCCCAAAGTGTTGGGATTACAGGTGTGAGCCACTGCGCCTGGCCGATCAAATCTTTTTTGAAAGAATAGTAAAAACTGTAATTTCTCTTAGTTCATGTGACTTTAATCTTTAAAAATAAAACAGTCTTAGGGATTATTGGTAAAATACAAATGTACTCAAGATGTAAATATGTGGTCTAAATTATGCAGGTCAGATGGTAGGTTTGCTAAATGTTTTAAGGTTGTACTGCTCCTTTGGCCTTTAAGAACTGTTCAACTTGCCTGCTTCACAATGGGTAAAGTCTGGGAACATATGGAAGTAACCAAGCCCCTAACTTATTCTGGAAGGAGTTAAACTTTATCTGCACCCAGCAAATAATTAAAACAACTTACCAGGTTTTACACTAAAGTTAAAAATTGCTAAGAGGTAGGGCCAGGCGTGGTAGCTCACACATGTAATCCTAGCACTTTGGGAAGCTGAGGCGGACAGATCACGAGGTCAGGAGATTGAGACCATCCTGGCTAATGCGGTGAAACCCCATCTCTACTAAAAATACAAAAAATCAGCCTGGCATGGTGGCATGTGCCTGTAGTCCCAGCTACTTGGGAGGCTGAGGCAGGAGAATCGCTTGAACCTGGGAGGTGGTGGTTGCGGTGAACCAAGACTGTGCTACTGCACTCCAGCTTGGGTGACAGAGCAAGATTCCATCTTAAAAAAAAAATTGCTAAGAGTTACCATTATGACATGTAATTGAGACTACTGAATAGATTTACATGCAATGTGTGTAAAAACAGTAAAATGTGTTTTTTGTAAAAAATTATAAGAAGGCATGGCAATGTACGTTTTGCCTAGGGATAAAGAATTGTCTTAAAGTAGATAAAATACAACTGAAGGTTTAAGCAAACTGGGGAAAAAATTGTAAGAATTAATCTTGCAAAGGAAACTCTGTGTGAATATATTGACTACATTCAAAAGGGTATTATGTGGTTTTCTGTAAATTGAGCATTGAAATAAAAGCACAACAAAGAACTCTTAATGCATGAATCTACTCTTTAGCAAAATTTGTAAAGGGTTATAAAAGGTTTGTGAAAATCTCACCTCATTGTCAAACTGGTTAAGATTGGATAGAATTGCCTATAATTGTTTCATTAAAAATTGTGGTTGACATTAATAGTACACTAATGTAAGGGTGAAATTTGGCTTTCTCTCTCTTGAACACAATTTTCATGTAATAGTAAAGGCTAATGAAAGGTTTTTGCTTTTTCAAATTTTTGAGTCATCATTTTGGCAAAATAAATAACTTATAGTAATCTGGAATTCTAGTACATAACATCAAATATTTTAAGCCTGTTAACATATTTAACAGGCTTCCACAAATCAATTGTCTTTCTTGACACCTACGTTTTGGATGCTACAGAGGGTCCCTGGGGCATCCAGAAAAGAGGCAAGCAGGATTATTTGACATGTTTTGTTACATGGGATTGCCAAAATGATGTCTAATCTTCTTCAGGTTATATTTCAGCAAATACTATTAATATGTGTTCCAAAACTGCATGGGATTTAGAAAACTCTAATGTGAAAGTATACACTATCAACCACAATTAAGGTTGTTATGTTGTTATTGTAAACCACGGAGATAACCAAATTTTTTTTGTCAATCATGTTTTTGACTAACCACCCTGGACATTTTGTCATTTACAGACAATTGTTGTCTTGTTTTAATCCTCTTCAAAATATGGTTCATAATCAGATGTAGGAATACTTTAACAGGTATTCCTAAATGCAGGTTTCTGATAACTGAAAAACATACAGGACTCATGAAAAGCTAAAATGTTTATAAATATCAAGCAGAACAAGAGTTAACAGAATAGGCTGAACTAATAGAAAAACTGAAATAATCTTTTTGACTTTTGCTTGGAACATTGCTGATCCTTGTTTTGTTTTTCAGAGTCAAGGAAACTTCTTTTGAGCTAGCTACAGCCTTTAACAATTGAGTAAGGTTTACTCCTGAGAACAAAATTTGGAACATGTTTGTTTCTCTCTGCCTTATTGGTTCTTTAAGGACCACTGCAACATGGTCTTGGGAATTATACTTCAAGAAGCCTATAAGGTTAAAGGGTGTTTATACTCACAGTGATATAGGAATAGCACTGGGTGGTTGCAGGAGGATGGAAAAATTCGAACAACAAATAAAAACAAGAACTAGGCAAAGAAACCATAGGATAACAGAAAACCCAAAATAAGAGAAAGAATGGCCAAAATCCCAGTCAGGATGACATGTCCATGACTCTTCTGGGCAAAGCCAAATAAGAGAGAAAGGGGGCAGTAACCAGGTGGGTCCCTGAATTTCCCTCCTTTTCCAGAATACCTAATAATTATTCCACTCTCTAATTAAAGAAACACCCACAAAATAGGAATGCTGTGTGGTCACAGGAGAAGGGGGAAAACATCAAGCTGTTAAAATTAGCTACTCCAACAAGAAGACTGGGCTGATGAGACCTTAACAAACAGGATTGGGGCTAGGCTGTCCCATGACGCTAGATTTGACCCATTTCCTACCCCAGACCTAATTATACACTCATTGCCACATTAAATCACACACCCACCAGTGCCAGGCCAATCCAAGCACGCCCACATTTAGTATAAAAATGGTTGGCACCCCAATTCTAAGAAATTCCCACCTTTTCCTAGAAAAACCTCATGATTATCCCACCCCCTAATTAGAAGAGCCCATAAAATTAGAAACCCAAACTCCATTGTGCATGACCCGCTCTCCCTCGTACGTCCGCATTTCCCTCTTCTCTTGGGAAAAGTACACTCTTCTCAAAAATGTGTACTTTTTCTTCCCAATAAAAGCTTCTTGCCTTTGGCTTCATTTTGACTCATCCCTGCATTCTTTCTCACGATGGTGTCACGAAGCTGGACTCCGGAAGCGGGCGGGGACTCACGGCCCCTGGAGACCTTCCTGAGCCCTGGGCAACACCAGTCCACACAGAGGAGGCAGACGTCCCACAGACGGAACCCCACGAGCATGTCCCGGGAATGGCTCCACGCGGGAAGCGGGGGTCCAGATCCACGCCAGTCCCAGGGACAGTGCCTGGCGTCAGGGTGGAGGAGGACGCAGTAACCAGGCGTAAGATTTTACTGGTACATGGGAATGTCACTGGGTCACTCAGAGGAGGCAAGCGGGGAACCTCGTGGCAGGGCCCCCTTTATCAAACTCGTTTACCTGGGTGCCTGGGCGAGTGCTCACAGCCTGCTTGTAGGGACGTTGAGGCATCCGAATAATAGGAAGTTTTAAAAATTTACAATCCAGTGTGTACACTTGCTCCGCTAAGATCATCTGAGATATACAGAAACATGGTGTGCATAATAAAAAAGGAAAAAGAGCCAAGCCTGGCCTCTTACGGGACAAGACTACATTACCTAGAAGGCAGTGGGCCGGCGCAGGAAAAGGCGTGGCAGGCGACCGCGACACAGGGGCGGGACTTCCGGCCTCGCTGGCGTGGACGTTTGTGGTGGGGCGTGTTGGTCCGCGCTCTCAGAACTGTGCTGGGAAGGATGGTAGGGCGACTGGGGCTCACCTCCGCACCGTTGTAGGACCCGGGGTAGGGTTTTGAGCCCGTGGGAGCTGCCCCACGCGGCCTCGTCCTGCCAACGGTCGGATGGCGGAGACGAAGGACGCAGCGCAGGTGAGCAGACTGGCTCGGCTCCCCGCGGCCACCCGGCCTCAGTGTCCCGGGCCCGACGAGCGGAAGGACGGCGTTTCAGGGTCGTCCTCAGTGCAGTCCCTGCCGTTGCTTCTTAGAGGCCTAGAAGGGGGTCGCGCGGTCCCGGGTCCGGAATGCAGGCCCGCGGTGGCGTGGGGAGCGTCCCCGTTTCTGGGGTGCGCGGCGTTGTGGTATGAAATAGGGCTTTTAGGGTCCCGGAACCCCTCACAGGTGAGAGGAGCGACCGCAGTCCTCCTCGTGGCTCTTCCAACCATGTCCTTTCTCGGGCCTGCGACCTTGAACAAGTCCCGTTACTGTCCTCGTCCTTCATTTTTGCGCGCGCAAAGTAGAAATATTTACTCTTCCCCCCCCCGGGGTTGAGGAAGCTTGAACGGCTCCCTGGGTGATGTGTGTGTGTCCGTCTCAGTGCACAGCACGGTCCGGGGACGTCGCTCAGGATGTTGTTTCCGGAGCTGCTCCCTGGGCCTGTGCTAGGTTTGGAGACTCAACCCCAGCAGGAGTCTGACCCTCTGGCCTCCTTGGCCTCCTGTCTCTACAACACGAAGGGCAGCGGCTGAAAGAGGTGGGAGGAGCGTTTCTGCGGTTGCTGCTATGCCAGGGCAGAAAAGGTGGTAGGGCAGGCTGAGGAATTTGTCTTTCAGTTTAGGGCAAGGGACGCTGGGTTGCAACTAACAGTATATTTTCCTGTTTAAGACATTTAGTTACAGGTGAAAAACGAGTCCATTAAAATGTTCAGTGGCGATGGTATGCAGGATGTAGTGTCCCTTTGGAGATAACACATGAGGCCCAGGGTTACTCTCTAGCAGTCACTCTGATTACTTTCATGATAGCCCAGATTACTGTCAGCTCCTGTCGTAGTTGTTAATTTCTCATCCACCTCTCCCTCCTTTGCTTTATTTCTGACTCCCTCTGGTGTCCGCTGCTTAAAGAGGTCTCGTCTGTTGCACCGTTTAAAGCTGACCAGAGTCTCTTTGGTCTCCTTGCTCTGTTTTCTTGTCATCTGAATCTTTAAGGCCATCTGACATTGCCTTACTCATTTATTTAGTTGCCTGTTTAGGATCTTTTTCCAACCCTGGAATGTGAGTGCCTGTTGCTTCCCTCTCCCAAGACCCAGAACAGCCAGGCTTAAGTACATTTATTGTACTTAATAAATGGTTGATGATTGAATAGGCCTCTCTTATAGGGACTCTCATCACATTTCCAATAAATCCACCCCCTCCTACCAGCATGGTCTGCAAGGCTGTACTTGGTTTGCCCTTTTGACCGCATCTTCTTTCTCCTCTTCCATTGTCCCCTTTCTCACTGCATTCATCCAGGGAATCCTGAGCTTGCCAAGCTCTTTCCCATTTTCAGCCTTTGCCCTTGCACTTCCCTTTGTCTGAGACATTGTTCTCAGGTCTCTGCGGGGCTGCAGTTCCACACCCATCCTGGCAGTGCTGGCTGTAGCTAAAAGCACCCCTCACTCCCACCTGCCTGCTCTCTGGCAGCTTGGTGAGGTGTTTTAGCGGTGCTCAAATGCTGCTTTTGCTTTTTAAATGTGAGGCTGTGCCTGATTTCTAAAGCTCCCTGAGCCTTTGCTGACTGTGAAATGGAAGTGATAACGACATTTACCTCTGGGCCTGTCAGGGGATTAATAAAGTTCCCAAACACATCAGGCACTTACATGTGCTAGGCACTCCACTGATTGCCTAAGTGAACATTTTCTGTTTAGTTCTTAGAGCTGCCTGCTGAGATGGGAATAGTTATTGTGTTGATTCGGAAATCGAGCCTTAGAGAGATCATGTGACATCGTCATAGTCACATAGCTGGCAAGTGTCAGATTCAGGAGGCCTGATTTAAGTCAGGCCTTTATTTGCTTTACCACGGCTAAGGAAGCCTTAGCCTGGCAGGGACACAGTGAGGACCAGAGGACTTAGTGAAGGGTGCCTGCCCCTCTACACCTGTGGGTATTTCTTGCAAGGTGGAGATGAGAGACTGAGAAAAGAAATAAGACACAGAGACAAAGTATAGAGGAAGAAAAGTGGGCCCAGGGGACTGGCACTCAGCATATGGAGGACCCACACCAGCACCAGTCTCTGAGTTCTCTCAGTATTTATTGATCACTATCTCTACCATCTCCATGAGGGGGATGTGGCAGGACTATAGGGTAATGAGTGGGGAGAGGGTCAGCAGGAAAACATGTGAGCAAAGGACTCTGTGTCATAAATAAGTTTAAGGAAAGGTGCTGTGCCTCGATGTGCACGTAGGCCAGATTTATGTTTGACTTTACCCAAACATCTCAGTGCAGTAAAGAGCAGTATTGCCGCCAGCATGTCTTACCTCCAGCCATAAGGCGGCTTTCTCCTATCTCAGTAAATAGAATGTACGCTCGGGTTTTACACCAAGACATTCCATTCCCAGGGACAAGCAGGAGACAGATGCCTTCCTCTTATCTCAACTGCAAAGAGGCCTTCCTCTTTCATGAATCCTCGTCAGCACAGACCCTTTATGGGTGTCGGGCTGAGGGAAGGTAAGGTCTTTCCCTTCCCACGAGGCCACATCTCAGGCTGTCTCAGTGGGGGGAAACCTTGGACAATACCCAGGCTTTCTCGGGCAGAGGTCCCTGTGGCCTTCCGCAGTGCATTGTGTCCCTGGGTACCCGAGACGGGAGAATGGCGATGACTTTTACCAAGCATACTGCCTGCAAACACATGTTTACCAAGGCACATCCTGCACAGCCCTAACTCCATTAAACCTTGAGTCAATACAGCACATGTTTCTGTGAGCACAGGGTTGGGGCTAGGGTTACAGATTAACAGCATCTCAAGGCAGAAGAATTTTTCTTAGTACAGATCAAAATGGAGTTTCTTATGTCTTCCTTTTTCTACATAGACACAGTAACGGTCTGATCTATTTTTCTTTCCCCCACACTTAGCTGCTGCTGTTGCTGTTATTGTGGTTGGATTAGTATCAGTCATTTTCCTCCATTCTTTTAATATGCCAGAGTACTTACTCTCTGCTTCCCATAGTCCTCGTGGGATTGCCATTGTTTGTGTCATCTTCAACAGCTTCCCCATAGAAGGCTTTTCTCTCAGGCACAATTGCATTGTCAAAAGGCAGTATCTGCCTCCCCTTTGAGCCCTGCACGGAAGTCAGCCCAAAGGAGACCTAGTTGATTCAGACCTGGATCTCTCTGCACATTGACTAGAGACTGAGTGACAGGTTCTGATCCTATGCGACAACACAAGGCCAATAGCATTACTTCTGTTTGACTTTCCAGATGTTGGTGACCTTCAAGGATGTGGCTGTGACCTTTACCCGGGAGGAGTGGAGACAGCTGGACCTGGCCCAGAGGACCCTGTACCGAGAGGTGATGCTGGAGACCTGTGGGCTTCTGGTTTCACTAGGTAATGACTCACCTCTCATCCCTGAGGAGGACCCTAACCCTGATTCTTGGCCAGGCAAAAAGGTCACTGGAACTGCCCACCTTTCTCTTGACAGACCTTTCTGTTCCCACCTCTTCCTGACTGGTCTCCCTTTGTCTGCATCAGAGATTGTCGGGGTAGAAAATGTCCTTTTAACACAAACCCTCACTCCAGTGCTCAGCCCATTCTGAGGTCCTTAATCAAGATTGCATAAGAAGGAAGCTGATTGGCCATCCTGGTGGGGTCAGCTGTGGCCACAGCCCTATTAAGCAGGGGCCATGGGTGATGGGCTGTTCTTAGAGAAAGGGGTGAGTCAGGCAGCCCCCCAGAAGACATTTGTCCTCAGTGCCCCTCGGATATCTTCCTAAGCAATACAATCTCTGTAAAAAGGCATCTGGGTGCCTGCATGGTCATTAGTTGTTTTCTGATGCTTGATATCCATGCTCTGTTGATCCAGGAGGTGTTTTTAGAGGGTACACAGGAATGTCCTCAAATGGCATGGTTTGATACCCTGATAAAGCCATTCCTTTTACTTTCTCTGTCCAGCACGCTAATTCTTGTCATAAAAGTCTCATCAGCTGGGTGTGGTGGCTCACGCCTGTAATCCCAGCACTTTGGGAGGCCGAGGCGGGTGGATCACGAGGTCAGGAGTTCAATACCAACCTGGCCAAGATGGTGAAACCCCGTCTGTACTAAAAATACAAAAATTAGCTGGGCGCAGTGGTGCGCGCCTGTAATCCCAGCTACTCAGGAGTTTGAAGCAGGAGAATCGCTTGAACCTGGGAGGCGGAGGTTGCAGTGAGCCAACATTGCGCCAGTGCATTCTAGCCTGGGTGACTGAGCAAGACTCCGGCTCAAAAAAAAAGAAAAGTCTCAGATCAGCGCTGAGTCTTTCATTTTCCTTTCACTCCCCCAGTGCAGTTCATTTCTTTTTTTTAACAGAGGGGACAACCTCCAACTTAGCCCTAAGAAACATACAAGGGTTTCCTGGGACTTAGTGGCATTGTTTTGATTTTGTTGTGTTGTGATTGCAGACTTCTATTTGTAGGAAGGGAAATTGACTTTCTCACTTACCAGAGCAAAACAAGGTTCCCTTTTAGAATACAATATTTAACAAAAGTGGGTCAGGATAAAGAAGTTATTAGAATTGATGGCACACTCTGAGTTCAGTTGGGAAGGTGGACATCAATCCATAGATGACAACTGAAATAAGTTCTAGAAAGAAAAATGAGGGGAATTTAGGAATAAATAAGCAGGATGTCATAACCTATTGTGGGAGTTCCAAAGAGGGCATCTCAGGAAGTGACAGTGGAGCTGAGACCTGAAAGCTGAGTAGGAGTTAGCTGGATAGAAGGAGGTGGAAGAGGGTAACAGTGTTCCAGGTGGAGGAACCAGCGTGTGAAAAGTGACAGGGAGCTCAGCTCTTGGGAGAGCCAAAGGATCATCTGATTCACCTTTCCCACAGCCCTGTCCCAGAACTCAAAGCCAGGCATGTAGCACACATTGGTGGACCTTACTGTGACATGTCTGAAGGAATCCTGGGCTATGGTTCAGAATCTGCCAGTCGATGTTTCTGTGGATCCTTGTACCTCAGTCATTGGTCTTCTATACAGAATCCTCCTGTCTTTTACTCACCACATCTAGTGGAAAGCATTTGGCTGCATATAACAGAAAACCAGATCAAACTGGCTTCACCTGGAAGGAAATTCACTAACTCGCCTGATGAGAAGCCTGAGGTGTGGTTGGCTCCAGGCTTGTTCGGTGCCGCAGCCCAGTGACGCCATCAAGGATGTCTTGGTTCTCTGTTCCTTCTTCTTGGTTCAGGCTTCTGATTGTCCTCAGGCTGGCTCCTCATAGGGATGCTGGGTGCTGCAGCCTTGACTGGGGCAGCAGGCCCCCATGTTCAATCCATCCTCCCACCTTGGAATAAATGCTTTCTTTTCACAATGAGAATCCAGCTTTGGTCACCTGCCTAATGAAGACTCTTGCATTACCAATTTATTTCAACCACTGGTTTTTCTTTTCCTTTTTTTTTGAGATGGAGTCTTGCTCTGTCATTCAGGCTGAAGTGCAGTGCCATGATCTCAGCTCACTGCAGCCTCTGCTTCCTAGGCTCAAGCAATCCTCCCAACCTCATCCCCTTGAGTAGCTAGGACCATAGGTGCACACCACCATACCTGGCTAATTTTTTATATTTTTGGTAGAGACGGGGTTTCACCATGTTGGCCAGGCTGGTTTAGAACTCCTGGCCTCAAGTGATCCTCCTGCCTCGGCCTCCTATAGTGCTGGGATTACAGCATGAGCCACCATGTCCAGCCTCAGCCAGTGGTTTGCAGCCCCATCTGGGCACCAGAATTTTGGGGGGCACATTTTGGAAGTACTGATGCCCAGGTCTCACACGAAGAAATTTTGTTTCATTTGGTTTGAGGTTGGAATCACGCATCCCCAAGTGGTTCTGAAAGCACGAGGTGTTTGAGAAGCAATGATTTAGATTTGTTAGAAAATGCCTCCTGGGGCCGGGTGCAGTAGCACCTTGGGAGACTGAGGCAGGAGGATCACTTGAGGCCAGGCACTCGAGACCAGCCTGACCAATATTGTGAATCCCAGTCTCTATTAAAAATACAAAAACTAGCCAGGCATGGTTTTGCATGCCTGTAATCCCTGCTACTCGGGTGGCTGAGGCACGAGAATCCCTTGAACCTGGGAGGCAGAGGTTGCAGTGAGCCGAGCACTGCACTCCAGCCTGGGCAACAGAGTGAGACTCTGTTTCAAAAAAAGAAAGAAAGAAAGAAAGAAAATGCCTTCTGGAGGAAGCAGCACACCTTTGCCGTGTCCCATGGCTGTCAAAGTGTTGTGTGCCTGAACAACGTTGGCTTCCATAGACGGAGGTCATGGGCAGTGGGTGTTGTGTAGACAGATAGCACTACCCTCCATGGCAGTTGTAGCCCAACAGTGGGATTTGTGCCTGTCTTTTATCTCCTTGGCTGCCATAATAAAATGTCATGGATTGGGTGGTTTAAACAACGAGAGTTTATTTTCTTATGCTTCTGGAGGCTGAGAAGTCCAAGATCAAGGTGTCGGCAAATTTGATTCCTATTGAGACCTCTCTTCCTGGCTTGCAGATGGCTGACTTGCTGTGTTCTTACAAGGTGGAGGGACAGAGGAGAGATCTCTCTCTGTTTTTATGAGGCCATAATTTTATCAGATTAAGGCTCCACCCTTGTGGCCTCATTTAATTTTAATTACCTTCTAAAGATCCTGTCTCCATATACAGTCACGTTGGGTGTTAGGGCATCAACATATGATTTTTATGGGGAACACAGCTCACTCAGAGCAATGCCCTTGATTTTCAGGGCTCACATCAGCATTTTGCTTACTTTGGGAGCAGCTGCATTCATGTCTGGACCCTGTCATGAAGTCCTAGGCAAGATGGAGAGACTTTCATTTTCTCATTAAATTACCCCTATTCTATTTCTTTTGCTATCAACAGGGCATCGGGTTCCCAAACCAGAGTTGGTCCACCTGCTAGAGCATGGGCAGGAGCTGTGGATAGTGAAGAGAGGCCTCTCACATGCTACCTGTGCAGGTAAGCAGCCACCAGCTGGTCATGTGGAGTCATGGCAGTCTTCAGATAATGTGAGGGCACCACTGCCTCTGAATTTCTGTGTGAAACTGCTCATTGTGGCTTTCCGGGGGCCTGGTTGTTTCTGACTCACTTTGGGTCATAGTGTCCATCATCAGGTGAGCACTGAGCCACACAATTATTCAGAGACACAGGTACCTTTTGCTGTGAACAGGAATCTTTATGGTTGCTCTGGCTCAATCCAGCTGGTAGAAGGGGAACAAGAAGAAGGGGAGAAGTCATACCCAGTTGTACACATACTTGACAACCACATAGTCTTGACAAGAACTAGGCATTTGGCCACACCTAGATGCTCAGGACTGACAAATGTGATTTGGCTATGTGCCCATGGAAAAGAATTAATGGGTTTGGTTTACATCACCTCAGACTCCTCTACTCAACAAAATCAGAGTGATATAATTTCTGTGTCATTGAGTTGTTAGAGGATGTAGAGATAACACATGACACTGCTTAGTTCAGTTCCTGGTCCATAGGATCAACAAATGTCAGCTAGTTAGTATTATGCATGAACAGTTTTAATCATCATAAATGTAATGTCATACATTTCTTTCTGGACTCAAGAGAAAGGGGACTTTCCTCCCCTTGATATTACTGTCTGCATTATGCTGTGAATCCCACTCTTTTCCACCCTCTCCGTCCACTCATCCATCCTCCAGTTAGACCATCAGAGACTCGGAAGCAGCCCTTTGCTCCATATCTTCCTGCCCCTCTTGCCCTGAGAAACACCAAGGTGACATTTGGCCTTCTCTGCCCTACATCTGTGCTGATGAGTGTAGCTGGAGCCATTTGCCTTGTGGATTTGTATCACCACTGAGTCATGGGCTCTCCCCTTGGGCTTCTTGGCCAGCCCCATCTGCAACCCTGTGTTCCAAATACCTCCCTTCCCATTCCCTCAATCCCACATCTCCACTTAAGTGTCTCAGAGGCACCTTTAGCTCCTGATGCCTAAAAAGACACTCAGTTCAGAGAATGTCTTACCATCCAAGCAGGTTAGAAGGCTGGAAACACACCACATAGCTCCTGGACTCCACCTACCTTCATCAAACCCAGCATCCATTCATCCCTAGTCCTGCTCATTTTAAATGATCCATATCTCCTAAGTCCATCACTTCCACTGCTTCCCTTGGCTCCTTCACCAACACCCTAGTCCGGGCTCTCATAATCTTCTGCCTGGGCCATACCAGAGGCTCCTGACAGGTCTCCCCACATCTGCCCCATTCCTCTGGGCAGCTCTTGTCCCTGCACCGGCTCCTGCAGCCACTCAGATGTGTTTCAGATTTTCACCACTTCCCCAGCAGCTGATGTTTCAGTATATAATTAATTTCATGTTAAAAATAGGATGTGTATTTAATGTTCTTAAAGATTCATCTGCACGGTCTCATACTTGGCTTCTCTTGTCCTCTATGGAGGAGATCTTACCTCTAGTCATGGTCAGTGTCTTTGCCAGTGCCTGCATCATACCTGCTGTGTTCTCAGGGAACTTGCTTTTTTTAAAAAAAATCTCTGCTTTGTCTGTACCTTCAACTTATCTATATTCAAATAAAAAGTGTGCACAATACAAAACCAGAAAGTGAATATAAGTTTAAACAAACAAAAAAAAGTGTACTCAAATTGCTTACACTTGGCGAAAACAGACAAAATGCTTTTTCACCTACAATACCCTGTAACTTGTGTTGACCCCACTTGTAAAGCCAAGCTTCTTGGAGTTGTCTCATGTTTGGAAGAGATGTTTACACTTGACTTTAATATTTTTTTGTTTAAAATTTCTCAAACTAAAAAAAATCTTATGTATACAATAATAAGTACAAATTTGAAGGGCTCAGCTTAAATTTTTGCATTTCTGCAAATTGAATTCTTCATCTAGGTCAAGATTTACAATATTTCCAGCACCTCGGCAGTTTCTGTTACCCTGTCTTTGTCAATAGCTCCTCCTGCAGTGGGAGCCACTGTTTAGACTCTCTCCCTAGGGACTAGTTTTTAATTGGTTGTGAATGGGCATAATTGGAGCCCCAAAGCAGTTTCTCTTTTGTGTATTTCTTCTTTTCACCATCATTGTGTCCATGAGCTGGGTTTATCCTATATGCTGTGTACCATAAAATTATGTGAAAACATCAGGATCTGTTTCTTCACTCTCCTATTGGTTGACATTTGTATTGTTTACCTTGTTTGGAGATTATGAAGAATGCTGCTATGAATACTATTTTCCATAATATTTAGTGGATATAAACACTCATTTCTGTTGCATATACACCCAGGAGATGACTGGTGGAGTCAAGAGACAGATCTGTGCTCAGTTTTAAGTCAAACCCCCAAATATTTTTCCAGAGTAGCCGCACCATTTCCCATCCCCACCATTCCAGGTATGAGACTGCTGCTGCACTCGGGTCTTCTAAGCATGCGATGCTGGCCACTTCATGAAGCACAGCTGCTAGCTTCCTCAGATCACAGCACTGAAGTTGTTCTTGCTAGTGTCACTGGCATTACCCAAATTGCCCAGCGCAGCAATGAAAATAATAAGGGTAATGTCCCACAATTTAATGAACACTTGCGCTGCATCAAGAACTGTGCATTTTCTCATTTAACCTCATGACAGCCTGAGAAATTGAGTCTCCTAGTCTCTTAGTTGAGGAATTGGAGACCTGGTGGAGAAAGTCATCCTCCAGTATCAACCCACTTGACACAGGCAGGATTTGAACTGAGTCATTCTGTCTCCAGTACCCTCTTGTCTGCCATGCATTGTGCCTCCTGACACAGCAGAAACTTGTCAGATCTTACTACACTAGGCCTTTTGTACCATTTGTTCCTGTGTGTACTTCCATCCCTTTTGTGCTGGAATCTTCATTTTCTTGCTCCAACTCTAATCACCCTTTTATATTGGTTTCACCAGGCATCTGGTGCCCAAAGGGTGAATCTACCCATTTTTACTTCCTCACCTTCAACCCATTGCCCACTTCCTCTCTCTGGCAATGACTCTGGCTTCTCTTTTAGGACTCAGCTTATGGGACACCTCCTCTAGAAAGCCTTCCATGATCTCTTTTTCTTTCCAGTCTCATTAGGTGCAACTTCCCTAAACTCTTATAGCACCAAAAGGCTTCATTTATTTTTATTTTTCTTTTTCTTCTTTGAGACAGAGTTTTGCTCTTGTTGCCCAGGCTAGAGTGCAATGGTGCAATCTCGGCTCACTGCAACCTCTGCCTCCCGGGTTCAAGCGATTCTCCTGCCTCAGCCTCCCGAGTAGCTGGGATTACAGGCATGCACCACCACGCCTGGCTAATTTTTAATTTATGTGGGTACATAAGATATTTTAATATAGGCATACAATGCATAATAATCACATCAAGGTAAAGGAAGTATCTGTCACCTCAAGCATTTATCCTTTCTTTGTGTTACAAACAATCCCGTTATACCCTTAGTTATTTCAAAGTATAGAATAAATTATTTTTGACTATAGCCACCCGGTTGTGCTATCAAATACTAGGTCTTATTCATTCTTTTCTAACTTCATTTTGGTACCCATTAACCATCCTCACTACTCCATGGAGTAGGATCCTACTCCATCCTACTGCCGTTCCCAGTTTCCAGTAACCATCTTACTACTCTCTCTCCATGAGTTCAGTTGTTTTGATTTTTAGTTCCATCCCTGTTGTTGCAAATGATAGGATCTCCTTTTTTATGGCCAAATAGTACCCCATTGTGTATACACACCACATTTTCTTTGTCCATTCATTGTTGATGGACCCTTAAATTGTTTCCAAATCTTGGCTATTGTGCCTAGTACTGCAGTAAACATGGTAGTGCAGATATCTCTTTGATGTACTGATGTTTTTTTTCTTTTGGGTATATACCTCCACTGGGATTGCTGGATCATATGGTGGCTCTATTTTTAGTTTTTTGAGGAACCTCCAGATTGTTCTCCATGGCAGTTGTACTAATTGAAATTCCCACCAACAGTGTATGAGGGTTCCCTTTTTTCCACATCCTTGCCACCATTTGTTATTGCCTGTCTTTTGGACAAAAGCCATTTTGACTAGGATGAGATGATACCTTATTGTAGTTTTGATTTGCATTTCTTTGATGGTCAATTATATTGAGCAGTTTTTCATATACCTGTTGGCCATTTGTATGTATTCTTTTGAGAAGTGTCTATTCAGATCTTTTGCCCATTTTTAAATCAGATTCTTAGATTTTTTCCTATAGAGTGGTTTAAGCTCCTTATATATTCTGGTTATTAATCCCTTGTCAGATGGATGTAAGCGTTCAATTCTTAAAGCAAATGCCCTTCAGACAATGTCATCAAAACTCTATTATCTCTTCCTTACTCTGAACTGTAAAGAGAAATGTCTTTACTCCGGATCCTCTGTCCCCCGGTCCAGCCTGCCCTCCAGATTTTCCCTTTAATGGTGTCAAGGATACAAGGACCGTAAGCAGTATTTGGTAACCTGGGTTAGAGATGTAAAAATGCAGCAAGTATCATAGGCACTATTTTCATCTTCATTTTCCTACTGAAGTGGTTATTTTGTGTTTTTCTATATTTTATCACTAAAAGACCCCTCCTTTGTTTGTTGATGCCCTTCAGGTGACAGAGCACAAGTTCATACCAGAGAGCCAACCACTTACCCGCCAGTCTTATCTGAGCGGGCCTTTCTCCGGGGAAGCCTGACTCTGGAATCTTCAACCTCAAGTGATTCGAGGTTGGGGAGAGCTAGGGATGAGGAAGGGCTTTTGGAAATGCAGAAAGGTAAAGTGACACCGGAGACAGACCTCCACAAGGAGACCCATCTTGGGAAAGTGAGCCTTGAAGGTGAAGGTTTGGGGACAGATGATGGTCTGCACTCCAGGGCATTACAAGAGTGGTTATCAGCAGATGTTCTCCATGAATGTGACTCACAGCAACCAGGGAAAGACGCCTTGATTCATGCAGGGACAAACCCCTACAAATGCAAGCAGTGTGGGAAAGGTTTTAACAGGAAGTGGTATCTCGTTCGACATCAGAGGGTTCACACTGGAATGAAACCCTATGAATGCAATGCATGTGGGAAAGCCTTTAGCCAGAGCTCAACTCTCATTCGGCACTACCTCATCCACACCGGGGAGAAACCATACAAGTGCCTTGAGTGTGGGAAGGCCTTCAAACGCAGGTCGTACCTCATGCAGCACCATCCAATCCACACTGGAGAGAAACCCTATGAGTGTAGTCAATGTCGAAAGGCCTTCACCCACCGGTCTACTTTTATTCGCCATAATAGGACCCACACTGGAGAAAAGCCCTTTGAGTGCAAAGAATGTGAGAAAGCCTTTAGCAATAGAGCCCACCTAATTCAACATTACATCATCCACACTGGAGAGAAGCCCTATGATTGCATGGCATGTGGAAAGGCCTTCAGATGCAGCTCAGAACTCATACAGCACCAGCGGATTCACACTGGGGAGAAGCCCTATGAATGCACCCAGTGTGGGAAAGCCTTTCACCGGAGCACGTACCTCATTCAGCACTCTGTCATCCACACTGGGGAGATGCCCTACAAGTGTATCGAGTGTGGGAAGGCCTTCAAACGCAGGTCACACCTTCTGCAGCACCAAAGGGTCCATACATGAGAGAACCCTATTGCTGCAATGAATACAGCAAGGCCTTTACCCACTGTTATTTTATCATTCATAATGGGACCCACACTGTAGGAAGAAGTCCTTCGAATGCAAAGAATGTCAGGAAACTTTTCATTTTTTTTGTCAGCTCTTTCTTAACTAACACATGAGCAGTCACTTTGGAGAGAAGCCCTGTGAATACAGTGAATGTAAGGATCCCTTCAGTCACCACTCAGTTCTCACTCATTGCAGAAGGATTCATACCAGGGGGAAATGTGGAAGGCATTCCATCAACATCAGAGAACTCATGCTGGAGAAAGACATTCCAAATATAACTATTAAGGACAGTCTTTGGCCAGAGCAGAAATCTTACTATCTGAGAATCATAATGAAAAGTTACTACATAATTGTTATTGATGTGAGAAAACTTTGTGACCAGGTTGTCACTTGCTTGTCCTATAAAGAGCCATGCTGGAATTTGACCCACCTTGGGATTTTCTCTATGAACTTATGAAAACCTTCAGTTACAGGTATCTTCTTGCTTTATGTCCTTACAGACTTCCCTGTAAGATCAGTTTTATTTTTTGGTAGGGGAATGTTTGAGAGGTAAAGGGGTTTTATTCCTTTTTTTTTTTTTTAACATACATTCACTGCCATCCTTTGTCAGAGTTAGACAGTGAGGGCAGCTCTTCAGGCATTTCTTGGAAGTTGCCTTTGATCCAGACATCTCTGGGAGGATATCCATGAGGAGAGTAATTCTTTGTGAGAAATATGAAGGCTTGTGTCATGAGATTCTTGAATTTAGTAGAAATTAGAATACTGAGAACATCTTCATGTGACACTTCTTTTTTATATCTAGGGTGAGAAGAACCCATGTACAGATGGCCACATTAAAATGTGCACCACATTAAAATGTGCAATACCTAAGACTGTTTAAGGCTTTGATTTTTATTAATAAACTCATTATTTTTTAAGAGACAGGGACTTGCTCTGTCACCCAGGCTAGAGTGCAGTGGCATGATCATAGTTCCCTGTAACCTCGAACTCCTGGGCTCAAATGGTCCTCTTGCCTCAAGTTTCTGAGTAGCTTGGGATACAGGCATACACCACTACGCCTGGCTAATGTTTGTAATTTTAGTAGAGACAAGGTTTTACCATGTTGGCTGGGCTGGTCTGGAACTCCTGGCTTCAAGTGGTCCACCTGCCTTGGCCTCCCAAAGTTCTGGGATTACAGGTGTGAGTCACTGCACCCAGCCTTAAATTTTTTTGTATAGATGAGGTCTTGCTGTGTTCCCCAGATTTGTCTCAAACTGCTAGACTCAAGTCATCATCCTGCTTAGCCTCCTAAAGTGTTGGGATTACAGGTGTGAGCCACCACACCTAGCCTAATATGGTTTCAAATGCTCAGCACTCTCACATTTTCCTGATTCCATTCTGTCTGTTTGTTGTCTTTATTTTCTCTGGCAACATAGTGATCACTTTGTACTTGCTTGGCCTTCTCAGATGAGTCCTAATTCTTTCTGGTGTTTATCAGATTCTTTAATCCTGTGTAGAGGGGTATTTTTAGGTCCCCCTCAGCATTTTTCTAGGGATTGAATTATAGCTAAAACAGGCAAAATAAAACACACAACTAAGATGAATCCATGGTAAACCCAGTAAACCCAAGAAAACAACATGGAGAGGAATCTCATTGTCTGATCTTATAAACATTTGCGTGAAGTTTTGCTACAAAATAAAGTGCCTAGCATTTTAACAGGTGAATCAGGATATACGTGGGCAGGTTTACGTGAGTTTCATAGTTAACCACCATGACCTTAGTCCCTTGGTGCTAGCACTGAATATGGTAATTAGTTTTGTTGTGTTTTGAGATGGAGTCTCACTCCGCTGCCTAGGCTGGAGTGCAGGAGTGCGATCTTGGCTCATTGCAACCTCTGCCTCCCGGGTTCAAGCGATTCTCCTGCCTCAGCCTCCCAAGAAGCTGGGATTACAGGCATGTACTACCATGCCCAGCTAATTTTTGTATTTTTAGTAGAGACAGGGTTTTGCCATGTTGCCCAGGCTGGTCTCGAACTCCTGACCTCAGGTGATCCACCCACCTCAGCCTGCCAAAAAGCTGGGATTACAGGTGTGAGCCACTGTACTTAGCCTGAATCTGGTAATTTGAAATTCCTTTTGTGAGATTTTCTTTTAGTTTTCAAGCTACATGAGATAATGTTAGGTTAAAACGTGTGAAAAATAGAAAATTATCATTTTCTCACTTTGAGCTTTCCTCACAACCTTTTAAAGCACTGCATATATATTCATGTTTTCATAGTGGGCATGTACCTTTTACTGTGGTCCTTTTGCACATATTATAAATAGAATTCTTGGTGAGTTAAGAGTTCTCTGTTTTTGTTTTTTCAGGACAGAGTGCACAGTTTCCTCTCCTGTGGGAAGGAGAGTTGACTCTTGAGGACCCCCACCCTCCTGCATCCTCTCTCTGGAAGGCTGCATGTATTGTAGCTGTGGCTGTACTTGTACCTAAGGCCCTGGGTTCAAGAGAGTTGGAGAAACCCCTCTAGAAACATATTGGCTGTCATCAAAGGGTTCTTTCCAGGCCTGAGGACCTAGGCCCCAGTTTGTCCCAAAGCAGGAGTGTTTTCCATGGGATAAAGGACACCCTAGGTTTTTCTTAGCTTCCAGCTCTTTCCATACAGTCTTCACTGAAGTGTTTGGTACAAGGATCTACTATGAACTTGCTGCTGTGATAGGCAAGAATCTCATGAGACACCTGTCATTTAGCTCCATGGCCACTCACTGTTGTGGTCATACTTAGAAGAGTGGGATGCAGTGGATGGCTGGGCTATGGGTCCTGCCCTTGAGCAGGGAAGGAACTTACTGTCTAATATAGGAAAAACACATGAGAACAGGTGCAATATATTGACTTAAACTTGTTTAGCACCCGTTTTTAAGTCAGTAGAAGTTTTGAACTTACAGTAAAAGTTGTGAACTTCTGTATGTTTTCCACAGTTTATGATTGAGGTAAAACATGTTTTTTGTTTTGTTTTTGAGACAGAGTTTCACTCTTGTTGCCCAGGCTGGAGTGCAGTGGCGCCATCTCAGCTCACTGCAACTTCTGCCTCCCGAGTTCAAGGGATTCTCCTGCCTCAGCCTCCCGAGTAGCTGGGATTACAGGCGCCCACCACCATGCCCGGCTAGTTTTTTTGTATTTTTAGTAGAGACGGGGTTTCACCATGTTGGCCAGGCTGGTCTTGAACTCTTGACCTCATGTAGTCCACCCGCCTCTGCCTCCCAAAGTGCTGCGATTACAGGCGTGAGCCACCGTGCCCGGCAGAGGTAAAACGTTTTCATGTTCATGTTTTTGTAACTTTGTTACATTTAATGAACAAATTAGATAAAAAGCACTATGCTCTTATGCTGCTTAATCTGTGAGAAATGATTGTGGGGGTGGGACTAGTTATGACCATTCACAGTTGGTGCACTTCAATCAGTAAATGTCACAGAGGAAATGTGGACGGTAAATTAACTCGGCAAGTCGGTCATGCAAAGACGAATTAGAAATCTTAATATTTGTAAGCAGACAAAAAATGTGTCTGGAAGGATCCTCACCCAGTTAAATGGTATTTGCTCCTTGGGTGTAGAGGGAGGGAAGGGATGGGGTAGAGGGGAATGTCAGAGTTCACTTTAACTTCATGCACATGTGGAAATGTTTGAAATGTTCACAGTAAATTTTATAATTTCAGAAAAACTGCTTAAGGTTGAAAAGAGAAATTTAAGAAATTGCTGACGGAATAAAAACATAATAGAACTACAACACCGAAGGAAATGAAAGAAGCAAGAAGGAAAGCACCAGAAGTGATTTGGAAGAGAAATCCTAAAATGAATGTGAACAACAGAGTGATCAGAAGAGTGTAGGGAATTAATAGTTTCTTTAAACAAGCCATCTCACAATGGAAGCCTGTGTGTCTTGAAATTGCTGTGGTTATTATTCACTCTGCCCTTTGAAGAACTGCAGAAATTCATAGGGCAATGTTAAGTGTTTGTGTCTCCAAAAAAGATGTTGGAGTCGTTACCCTCAGAACCTCAGGTAATCATGTTAGTTAATCCATTAGGTTAGTTCCTAATTGACTATGACTGTGTCCTTAGAAAAATGGGAAATTTGGTCACAGAGGCAGATGTACAGAGGGAAGACGATGTGAAGACACAGGAAGAACATCTTCAAGCCAAGGAACACACGGGGCTACCAGAAGCCGAGATAGAAGCATGGAACATATGTTCTAGTAAGAAGTGTCTGGGTTGTTTTGGTTTTTTTTCTTTGGAGTTTTTGTGGTATTAAATTATTTTTAAATTATGTTTTATTGTAGACCTCACAATTCTTTTTTTTTCTTTTTCACTCAAACTACAGCAAAATATTATATTTCTATCCTATATTTCATGGGCTTACCTCTAGCCAATTGTTTTTAACTGCCATGTAATATTTTACATCATGAAGCTTTCATCCTTGATTCAAATCCTCTGATTATGGACATGTATTTCCTCCATTTTCCTGCTATGAAATATATCACCACCAGCTTGATTCAACCTTAAAAATAAGGTCATCAGTATTATGTTCTAAATAAACTTATGGCCATACATGAGAAATGTACCTTGCAGCTGAATGGCTAGGTCATATGGTGATCTAGTATGTAACTGGAATTATGTTATACATTGCCCTTCCTCTCCCATAAGATGGACAAAAGTGTTTCTGTATCACTGTGTCCCAGACAATATTTAGAATTACCCAGCTTTCCAGTTTTTACTTTAGAAGTTTAAAGTGATATAGAATATATCTGGTATTTCTCATATTGAAATACATTTGAACATTAGTTCATATCCTTTCATTGCCTTTTGTTTTTCCTCTTCTGTCAATGGTCTACTCATATGTTGGCCTGTCTTTATTTGTATCTTGACTTTTTATTGTGTATTTTGTTTATGGTGGGGTACTTTATTGGTGATTAATACGATTTTCAAGTATATTATATGGGCTAGTCCCTTGATACTATTGACACTGTATTTATCTTCAGTCTCTTGTTGGTATCTAACTTTGGTTCTGAAGTTTATGGAATGGAAGTATTTAATTGGAAAGATTAAACATATTGATTTTAATTAATATTTTTGACTTGTTAGGATTTTTGAATACTCAGGCATAACTCACAAAATTATGCTGCTGGCTTTAAAATTAGTTTTACATTGATTCTTAGAGCATCTTAATCATTAGTAAGGATTAAATCCAAAGTACACACAGTGAAGATAATTTTAAAACTATTTAAAATGGTAAATTTACCTATTAAAGATGAAGCATGAGAACGGGGCAGGAAATGTCATATAGTTCCACTTTTATATGGATTTGCTCAGAGAAACCCCTGAGAATGAGACTGATGAGAATAATGGCATAAAGGTTTTGGCAGACAAGCTATATAGGAAGTGGGAATAACAAGGGCAAATTTTCTTGTCTGGTTAGCTCTTTTAAAAAATAAAATGATCTTGTAAAGATAATTGGAATTTGGCAAAATAACAAAAATTAAGTATGCGTAAGGGATGGCGAAGCAAAATTAAGAACTCTTTCAATGTGTTAAGGTCAGAATAACAGCAGAGAAATACTGTAGGCTGACAGAAATTCTAATATTGCAAATAATTTACAAAATAAATACCTTATGTAATATCAGTTGAATAACAATCTTTCCAAAGTTCCTATAATTACACAATTTTTTTTTTTCGAGATGGGAGTCCTGCTCTGTCGCCCAGGCTGGAGTGTAGTGGCGCAATCTTGGCTCACTGCAGCCTCCGCCTCCTGGGTTCAAGCAGTCCTCCCACCTAGGCCTCCCAAGTAGCTAGCTAGGACTACAGGCGCCCACCACCATGCCCAGCTAATTTTTGTATTTTTAGTAGAATGGGGTTTTGCCATGTTGGCCAGGCTGGTCTCAAACTCCTGACCTCAGGTGATCCGGCCCACCTTGGCTTCCCAAAGTGCTGGGATTATGGGCGTGAGCCACCGTGCCCAGCCAAGGAATAAAATTTTTTTAATAGCACCAAAATAACAGTAAATGAACAAACAGACAAATTAGACTTCATCAAAATTAAGAACATTTCATTTGGAAGACTGAATGAAATAAGGTGAATGAAAACACACAAAATAGAATATATACACACGTATTTCTTATCTGTTCTTTTTGTTTTTGTTTTTGTTTTTTGAGAAGTGTCACTCTGTCGCCCAGGCTGGAGTGCAATGGCGCGACCTTGGCTCATTGCAACCTCCGCCCCCCAGGTTCAAGCAATTCTCCTGCCTCAGCCTCCTGTGTAGCTGGGATTACAAATGCACGCCACCACGCCTGGCTAATTTTTGTATTTTAAGTAGAGACTGGATTTCACCATGTTGGTCAGGCTGGTCTCAAACTCCTGACCTCAGGTGATCCACCTGCCTTGGCCTCCCAAAGTGCTGGGATTACAGGCATGAGCCACCGCACCCAGCCTATACACACATATTTCTAAGACAAGACACTTACTGAGATAACATGACTATCAAAACCCATTAACTGGGCAATAAACCATACAGACAGTTCTTAAAAAGATAGAAGGTTTTGTGTATGAAAACTGCACCTCAATGTTTTAAGATAAATGGTTCCACACAAAAATATGCATCTACCTCTCCTTTTGGAAAACCAGACTATAGGATAACACAAGATTTACTTATTATTAAGGATTCATCTCCTCACAAGTTAGGAAGGACAGCCTTCTCAGCAGTGGCAATAAACGGGAAGTAATAAAGATAATTCCTAACTGGCACAACAGATCTGGGTGAATCACAAAAACCACATATCTGGAAGGCAAGGTGTATGTTCTCTCAAATCCTGCTTTCCTGCCCGTGCAGCAATCATCTCAAAAACAGTACATAAGTTATGAGTCCACAAAATCTTTAGATGCCTTATGCTGACGATGTGTGTTGCTAAAGGAGAATCAAAGGTCTGAGGTCCTGAGAATTTCTATATACCCCCAAACCATGAAGCCATAGTAACACAGACATATCTGGATGCACCTTTGGATGGGACACATTCACTCTTCTTGGCCACAATCTTTTCTACTCTGTTTATCACACCTACCTGTCTGGGCCAATTACTGTTCTTACCTGGCCCCAGTAGGTCTTACAACCAGTGACCTACCTACCAATTCAGTCCTTCAGTGCCCATGGCTACAATGAAGGACCTGGGAAATAAGATACCATGAACAGTGCTGGGAAATATGAAGCATCACTGCAAATAAACAATTCATGCAGGTCCCAGCACTTGAGTTTGTCACAAATGCCTCTTCTCAGGGAGACCTCTGGACCTACAAATAAATCTGGCATCGACACCATGATTAGGACCACACAGCTCTGCTCTCCTTCCTAGGAGACCTTGGAAACCAATAAAAATTAAGACAAACAGGACTAAGAACTATTTTCCGATCTCATACTATGTCCCTGGGGGGACATAAAGTTGGAGCTGTTCACCCTTCACACTGGCAGAGCACATACATCAGCACATGGTAAGACAGCCCATTTCCCTCTTGGGTAATGTGGGAGAGGGAATATCCCACTATGGCAATCACATAAAAAAAAAAAAAACCTATGAAGAAGGTAAACCTCCATGGGCTACAAGAATCCAGATTGCTCTTCTTGGTCAAAGTTGGGTTTTGTCTTTGCCTCGAACAGTTCAGCAAGATGGAAGAGGACCCTCAACAGGCTTTTATTATATTATTCCCTTCAGAATTTGGTAAGCACAGTGGTCTGCATTCCTTGAGCACATGTGAGTGACTGATGAAAACGGTGAGGATATGCCACATGGTAGTGTCTGTTGTAACACTGGGCAGATTAGAAAGTACAAGTAATCTCTAGAAAGCTTCCCAAGTACTTGGACCTTGTAGTGAATCTTTCAACTAGTGATATGCAGATGTATGAGGGTGAATTTCTGTCTGTTGGATCCCTTGAAAAATCAGCTCTCTGGTGTCCTACAGTGAATAAGACAATTACACATCCCAACAATTGCTAGGGCTCTTCTGTTATATGTACCTTCTGGTGCCTGACAAGGGAATATCTTTTGTTGAAGGCTTTCCCACATTTACCACATTCATACGGCTTTTCTCCGGTGTGGATTCGCTGATGCTCAACAAGTTTGTTTTTATAGATAAAGGCCTTCTCACATGCAGTGCAGTTATAAGGCCTCTCTCCACTGTGAACTTTCTGGTGTTGAATGAGGCTGGTGCGGTGTCTAAAGCATTTCCCACATTCACTGCACTCACAGGGCTTTTCGCCAGTGTGAACTTTCTGGTGCTCAAGAAGTCTTTTTTGGTGGCTGAAGACTTTTCCACATTCATTGCACTCACAAAGTTGTTCTCTAGTATGGATTCTTTGGTGCTGAAGAAGTTTAACCTCAAGGTAGAAGCCTTTTCCACATTCACTGCATTCATAAGGCCTTTCTCTAGTGTGGATTTTGTGATGCTTAAGAAGTGTTTGTTTGGAGATGAAGGCTTTCCCACAGTCACTGCATTCATAAGCCCTTTCTCCAGTGTGAATTCTCTGGTGTCGCATGTAGTCAGACGAGCGGATAAATGATTTCCCACATATGATGCACACATAAGGCTTTTCTCCAGTATGAATTCTCTGGTGCTCAAGAAGTCTTTTTTTGTGAATGAAGGCCTTCCCACATTCTTTGCACTCATAAGGCCTTTCTCCCGTGTGGATTCTATGGTGATCAAGAAGTGACTGTTTGTATATGAAGGATTTCCCACATTCACTGCACTGATAAGCCCCTTCTCCAGTGTGAACTCTCTGGTGTCGAATGCGGTCATAGGAATGAATAAAAGATTTCCCACATTCCATACACACATAAGGCCTCTCTCCAGTGTGGATTCTCTGCTGATGGCCAACAAATGTTTGTTTGTGGCGGAATGATTTCCCACATACATTGCACACATAAGGCTTTTCTCCATTATGGGTTCTCTGGTGTTCCACAAGTGAGTATTTGGAGCTCAAGGATTTCCCACATTCGATGCACACATAAGACCTTTCTCTAGTGTGAATTCTCTGCTGGTGCCCAACGAGTGTTTGTTTATGGAGGAATGATTTCCCACATATATTGCACACATAAGGCTTTTCTGCATTATGGGTTCTCTGGTGTTCAACAAATAAGTATTTAGAGTTCAAGGATTTCCCATATTCCCTACGCTTATAAGCTTTTTCTCCAGTGTGGACTCTCTGATGCTCAGTAACATGAACTTTCTCATTGAAAACTTGCTCACATTTGTAACGTCTTTGTTGAAAGGTCTCCCTGCTTCTATGTGCATACTCTTGTCTGCTGTGGGTGGTCTGGTGTTGGAGAAGGCCCAGGATGGTTGGAAAATCCTTCTCAACATCTTTGCATGGGAAAAGATTGTCTGACAGAGGAATTTTGCAGCTATTCAGAAGCAAGGCACTGCTCTCCTCCTTTCTGATGTGTTTCTCTCCACTGTCCTGGTTCTGGTGCTGTTGCAGGTTAGAACCAAATGAAAACCATTTCCCACTGGCCACAGACGTATAAGGTTTCTGCCAGGGAAGTGTCCCCTGATGCTCACTGAGGTACAAAATGTCTTTCATGACCAGGATACACATCTCACAAGAATGAGCATTTGGGATGGAAGGACCTAGCTTTGGAGTCCTGGCCTGTGACACTCCTTGCGCAGAAAGAGTCTGCTCAGAAGGGGCCTCCTCAGCCTCTATTCCATGCAAACAACCTAAAAGCATAAAAATGCAAGTGAAGTATATGCAGACTTTGGTAGAAGGGAACAGCTCCATTACAAATACCTGTGGAACACAGGGAGGGACGAGTCCATGGTTTTTCTTTGAGATAGGGTCTTGCTCTGTCACCCAGATGGGAGTGCAGTTGCAGTCATATCTCACTGCAGCCTTGACCTTCCAAGCTCCAGTGACACTCCCATCTCAGCCTCCCAAGTAGCTAGGACTACAGGCATATACCACCATACCTGGCTAATTTTTTTTTAGAATTTCTTGTGGAGATACAGGTCTCATTATGTTGTCGAGGCTGGTCTCAAATTCCTTAGCTCAAGTGATCCTCCCACCTCAGCTTCCCCAAGTGCTAGGATTATAGGCACGAGCCATTGCACCCAGGCCATGGGTTTGTTTTCAGGACAAGGGAGCTGGAGTCAGGTCAAGGAAGATAATACTTGCAGTATTAGGCCTCTTAAGGTTACCATGTAGGGGAAGACCCATAACCAGCAAGAGAACAAGGAATGGGGTACTATGGTGGGAAGAGAGGCAGGGGGCATACAACTCCCTTCTCTGTCAATGGTTTTCAATAGGACGTCATCTGATGGAGACAGGGGAGACCTGCATAGAATGTGTGTCACCCCAGGAAAATGCAATTACAACTGGATAGCTGATGTTTGAGAGCTTAAGTAGACAGTCTTTGATTTATAATGGTTGAACTTATGATTTTTCCACTTTATGATGATACGAAAGTGACACATTCAGTAGAAACCATACTTTGAATTTTGAACTTTTCCCAGGCTAGTGATACGCAGTGTGTATACTCTTGTGATGCAGTGGTAGCAAGCTGCAGCTCTCAGTAAGCCATGCAATCACCAGGCTAAACAACTGACACTCTACTGTGTTGCTAAGCTAGGATGTCTAATAAGTTGGGTGTATTAAATGCATTTCTGACTTACGATATTCTCAACTTACAATGGGTTTATCAGGATATAACCCCATCACGAGCTGAGGAACATCTGTATCTGCACAGCTCATAATATTAAATACATTAGGTATAGGCTAATGTTGGAGAACACTGCAGAACAGGAACAGGAGAGATGTGGAGAACAGAGGTAGGGGACAATCACAGTAGAAACGACAAGTAGGCAAATTGTCAAGCAGGCAGAGAAAAGAGAAAAATGAGGTATGGCCATGAGCCCTGGCACCAAAATAGTGGGGAACATAGGACATTTGCCTGGTATGATTTGAGTTCAGCCCTCAAATCATGCCCTCCCACTGCTCCTACTCACAGGTCCCAAACCCTGTTAACCCCCCTTGCTGTGGCTGAAGACTTCACTACGCTTTCAGGAACACAGGCCTCTCCCCTGTCCCCAGCTTAAGTCAGGAGACTATCTGGGTCCTGGAAGGTAGAAGAAATCCTAAGGGAAAAACAGGGAGGTGGGTCAACAACACTGGCCCAGGGTGCGCCAACCCATGACAGACTACAGGAGGGAAATTTATTACAAAAAAACCCTTGGGAGGGGGTCTTGCTGTCATAGTCTAGGGTTCCCTACAAATAGCAACCATGTAAGTACCTGTAATTCCTGAGAAAGGCAGGTCCAAAGACACGTCTACTAAAGGCAGGGGGAGAACCTGTAACACAGGTCCACCACAGAACTGAACAGTCACCTTAGCAAGGAGTGGCAAAACCAAGTGGTGTCGGTTGGGCAAGTTACAAGAGTCTGAACCCAAACTCTTAACTAAAAGGCTTCAGGACAGTAGATGTTGGGGCAGAAAAAACCCAGGCCTGGCAACCACAACGCCTATGTCTTCCACAGGTCAAGAACCAAGGAAAGAAGAAGGGCCCATGTCCAACTCTGGGAAAGACAGGAAACTCCTGGAAAAAGGGGAAGAGCAGAGTCCAGCAGAGGTTGATGGTGTGGTTTTAAGAGATCTTACCTACTGAGGCCATAAGCGAAAAGTTCTCCAGCATCACATCATGATACAGGCACCTTTGAGCTTCATCAAGGAGGCCCCACTCCTCCTGGGAGAAGTACACAGCAATATCCTCAAAGGTCACATGGCCCTGCATGATGGGGGCAGATGAAATCATGAGCAGACTCAATCCCCAGGAACCCCAGTAAATCTCGCTCCTCCCTAGTTCTCCAACTCAGAGGAGATACCAGGTCCTTATGGTGTCTCCCACTGGGCTCTGGGCCTTACATCATGGAATCTCATCCATGCTCCTGCTAGTTCACCTCCCTGGAGACCCAGATACTGAAACCTGTGCTTACCATCTTGGTTTAAAGTGCCAGTACGAGGATCCTGAGTACAGCCATACTCCCTCCCCGGTTGCACACCATTCATGGGAACACATCTCCAGATCGTGACTGCTACACCTTGAACTCCACTGCCCTCAGCATCCATGACACAGGTACTTCACCTGGCTTCTCCACATGCCACTCTGCTCAAGGGATCCAGGCAGCGCTTGCTAAATGCAACAAGGATCCAGCACCACCTCACATCTTTGTTAGACCCAAGTCAGAGGCAGTCTCAGGACTGTTATGAAGACGTCCCCATGTGGCCTGGCTCTTTGTTCCAATTTCAGCCACTCAGACCTTGTGTGAGCTCAGGCTGCCAAAGTCCACTTCCTCCTTAGTGTTGCCTGTGCTGTCCCCACACCAGTCATATCTTTCCTCTCTCCACCTATACTCAGTCAAAGCTTGGCCCCCAGCTGCTCCCACCACAGGCTGAATGACTCTCCCAGTCAATCTCATTTGCTTTTAACCTAATCTGTCACACCGTCTGAAACTACTTAGGCCCTACCAAGAGTTACCAACAAAAGTCTGAGCCAGCAAAAGGGAGGAAAAGCACCAGCCCTGACCTTGGTGTTATTTGACCTCCATTACTGCTTTGCCTCTGAATGAATCTCTTAACATTCCCCATTTAAAGACTGTGCCAACAGCTGGACACCCGTTTCATCCTACCCCCACACACCCATGGTTACTACTCTTCTTTATCTGTCTTAGTGATGGTTCCCACTTCTATCTAGGTGACCATGCAAGAGACCCAGTCATTAGAGAATACTCTCTACATCCTTCCTCACTGATGGGACTGCCACTATGACCTGAAGAGTGTTCCTCTTAAATCTGCCATGGTCCACAGGCCAGCCACTGGCTGACGGATAGCTTTCACTTGGATCCCTTCCCTGAACTCCACGTGTCTGTCTCTTGCTGTGCACCTAACACCACCACCAAGAAGTCCCAACATGAGACTCCACATTGTGAAGGCCTAACTCCTGGACTTTGGTTTCTATTCTGCATGTAAGGAGCTTGGAAGTGGCCACTCTATCACAATAGCAAGTAAAGAGTTAAACAGACTGAAAAATGGACAATTCTAGGATCCACACAGGAAAGATAAGGGCACAGCACACACTGCTGCCCACAAGATTGGAGAGACAAACGAGGGCATACAGGAGAATCAAGGCTCACAGGAGCAGAAACTCATGAAAGGAAACCATCATGCAAACCAGTGCTAGGTTAGGAAAACCCAATCTATAATGCATAAATTGCTGGAAGGTCTGTGTGGACAATTCTGTGAGCTGAAAATTCAGGAGGCACTCTGATAGGGGGCCCCCACAATCTTGCAATATTTACCTCCAGAAACTTAACCAAGTTCTCATGGTGAATACTGGAAAAAAAAAAATCCCCTTGTGCTTCCAGCAGAGAGGGGAAAATGAATCATTTTAAAATATGCCATAGCAATGTGTTCCTCTAAACAAAGCCTGCCCTTGGGAGACAACAGTTAATCAGAGCCTAACCTGCAGAGGTATTATCAGAGCCTAATCTATCTGGGGGAAGGGAAATAACCAACTACAACCCACTCTAGTATTCCTCTTCCACATAATGGGAGAGAAAAAGCATAATAAACACAATTTAGAAACACATGTGAATTTCAGTCAAGAGGAACAGGCTCACTAAAACACTGAGACCTAACTGTGGGACTTAAAATGCTTCCCCTGCCCGCTGACACACCTCACCACCACATTATTAAAGGCCTATTTACAGCAATTCCTTTTACTGAGCTCATCATGTGTAGCTATCAAGAAAACATCACAGGCACTTTGGGAGGCCAAGGCGGGTGGATCACCTGAGGTCAGGAGTTCGAGATCAGCCTGGCCAATGTGCAGAAACCCTGTCTCTACTAAAAATACAAAAATTAGTTGGGCGTGGTGGCGGGCGCCTGTAATCCCAGCCACTCGGGAGGTTGAGGCAGTTTCCAAAAAGATACAAGAATCCTTAGCACATACATGCCTGACCACAGAGCATCAAACTATATGAGGCAAAAACTGACAGATCTTCAAGGAGAAACAGATCAATCCACCATCATAATTGAAGTCTTCCACACTCTTTTCTGTTACTGACAGATACAGTAGGCAGAAAACCACTAAACTTAACTGAATTCAACAACACCATCAATCAACTGGACATAATCACCATCTTTAGATTACTTTGTCCAACAAGAACAGAATACATGCTGTTCTCAAGCTCACACGGAATATTCAACAAGACAGACCACATTCTGGGCCTGTTTTATATATCTTTAAAACTTCCTATTTTCCTGATGCTTCAACATCCCCAATACATTATGAGCAACCCACCCCGGTGACCAGGTCCCCAGCATGCTAAGACTGGTCCCTGTCACAACCTCCCCTTCTTTTCATCCTTTGACTGTGACTGAATGACATTCAAACACAGTAGGAAAGGCACCTGCCCACAGGTCCTTGCTCTCCCTCTTGGCTCCCTGCCTGCTTGGTTGAGTCCACTCCCTGAGAGCTATTTCCATATGGCTCCATGCATGGTTTGCTGTGCCACCCTCTATGAGGACCTATGAATATAATAAATCCTTTATGCTTCTCAGAGTTTCATTTCCACGGCAGTGTTGGAATGATCCTAGAGACCCCACGAAGGGCATTTACTCCCCAGTTTACAATACACAGTTATAAAACACATCTTAATAAATTTACTAGAAATAATACAAGGTCTGCTCTGCAATCACAATGGAATTCAACTAGAAAGCAGTAATGGAAAGAGAGCTGGCAAATCCCAAAATACCTGGGAGATGTAAACAAGACAACGCATGGAACAAAGAAGAAATACTCAAGATAAATTTAAAAATATTTTGAACTAAATGAAATGAAAACACAACTTAGAATTTGTGAGATGCAGTCGAAGCGGTGCTTAGAATAAAATGTATAGCACTGAATACATATACAGTCGTCCCCGATCTTAGCCACAATTTTGTTTTCCATGGTTTCACTTACTACTGGTTAACTGTGGTCTGAAAATATTACATGGATAATTCCAGAAATAAACAACCCAAAAATTATAAATGACGTGCTTCTCTGAGTAGTGTGATAAAATCTTACACTGTCCCACGCTGTTCTGCCCAAGACGTGAATCATCCGTTTGTCCAATAGATCCATGATGAATACACTACCTGCCTGTTAATCACTATGTGGCCATCTTGGTTATCATATCAACTGTCTCATTATCACAGTGCTTGTGTTCAAGTAACGCTTATTTTACTTAATACCCCCAAAGCACAAGAGCGATAATACCAGCCATTCAGATATGTAAAAGACAACCTGTGAAGTACTTCCTTTAAGTGAAAAGGTGAGAGTTCTTAACAAGAAAAAAAATATTGTACTCTGAGTTTGCTAAGATCTACGAAAAGGACAAATCATGTATCTGTGAGATTGTAAAGAAGGAAAAAGAAACTCATGTTAGTTCTGTCACAGCTCAAACTGCAAAAGTTTTGGCCACAGTGCACAGACTTGCAGTTCCCTATATATGCCCATATCATTCTCATCTCTAAGCATTTGGACATGCTGGCGCCTATGCCCAGGAAACCTTTCATCACTTCATCCTATTGGATGCAGAAATGGGAACATCTCTGTATAACTCCTGACCCTGATTAATCATCCTGGGCCTGAGGTGGCCCCAGGGACCCAAGATGAAGGAAAAAGAGTCCCAGGACATTATTGTTACCTGCATCTGTGGGCCAGACCCATGGCTTTAGGGAACAGGGCCAGTGAAGACCTGGGACTTCTTCCACTTACCTGTGATGGTTTCACAAACTCTTCTGTTACCATGGGAATCTGTAGGAAGAGGGAGGCTATGAAATACAGGTGTTCAAGGTGGCATTTACAAAGGGTAAGTTGCTCTTGCCAACTGTGTGACACTAGACAAAGACCTAACCTCTCTGAGGTTGCCTTCATCTGTAAAATGGAAACACTTAATGGTGGCTATCTCGTAGTGCCATCGTAGGCATCAAACTCATTCATACGTGTCCAATGCTAAGATTTAGCTAGTACTGACTATTGCATTAAGATTTCTGTAAACATTTTTTAAAACTCTGGTGTTTCTTACTTGCCATTTAAGTCTTTATGTGAATGTGGTATCTTTTCAAATTATGAGAGGCTTCTGTGCTTCTTTGATAATAAATATGTAGTGTCTTTTCCCACACCATTCTCTGATTCTGATACCAACTAGGTGTCCTACAATTCAATCCTATTCTAACACTAACTACCTGGAGTTGCAGCTAAACCAACAGGTTTAAGGGCTCAGTCGTACAAAACTGCCCTCACTTCATATGGCAATTGCAAGCCAATGTCCAGACCACTGTAATTTTCTCCACTTGGCTACACATTTGGGGGCTGCCATGACCTCTCTCCTTACGTTCAATAATTTGCTAGAACCACTTACAGAACTCAGGAAAATATTTTACTTATGTTTACCAGTTTATGATAATGGATGTAACTCAGGAACAGCCAAATGGAAGCGATGCATATGGCAAGGTACTGGGAGAGGGGGTAAGGCAGAGTACTTCCACGCTCTCTTACGTCACTCTCCCAGCACTTCCAAGTGTTCACAACCTTGAAGCTTCTAGAACTCATTGTTCAAGATTTTATATAACCTAATCTCCAGATCTCTGCTCCCCTCCCTGGATGCCAGAGGTGGGGCTCAAAGTTCAAATTCTATAATCACTTGATTTTTCTGGTGACTGACTCCACTCTGAGGCTATCTAGAGACTCCACCTTGTCTGCTCACCCTAAGCCATCTCATAAAACTCAAGTATAGAAGTCTTCCCTTATCAGCTGTTTTGCTATTTGCAGTTTCAGTTACCCACACTCAACTTCAGTGTGAAAATTATAAGTATTAAATTTCAACTTCAGTCTGAAAATAGTAATATTAAAATTCCAGAAATAAACAATTCATGTTTTAAATAGTGCACCATCCTTTATTTATTTATTTATTTATTTATTTTATTTATTTATTTTTGGAGACGGAGCCTCGCTCTGTCGCCCAGGCTGGAGTGTAGTGGTGCAATCTCGGCTCACTGCAAGCTCTGCCTCCCAGCTTCACACCATTCTCCTGCCTCAGCCTCCGGAGTAGCTGGGACTACGGGCGCCCACTACCACACCTGGCTAATTTTTTGTATTTTTAGTAGAGACGGGGTTTCACCATGTTAGCCAGGATGGTCTCGATCTCCTGACCTTGTGATCTGCCTGCCTCAGCCTCCCAAAGTGCTGGGATTACAGGTGTGAGCCACTGCGCTGGCCAACAGTGCACCATTGTAAGTAGTGTGAGGAAATCTCACTCTATCGAGTTTAGTCCCTTCTTCATCACAAGGGTGAATAGTACAGTAAGATATTTAGAGAGATACCACATTCACATGTTTTTTATAATTTAACTTTTGCTTTTTTATTGTCTCAACTGCAGTTACTTAACTTTTATTAACTTATAAAGTATAACTGTTCTATATTATTTCCAGTTATTATTGTTCATCTCCTATACTGCCTCATTTATAAACTGGATTTTATTACAGGTATGTAGTCTAGGAAGAAACATAGTATATATAGGTTGGGTACTATCTGCAGTTTCAAGCCTCCGCTGGGGTTCTTGAAAGGTATCCTCTGAGGATAAGGGGGAACTACTGTTCAGACATTCATTGTTCAACTACTAAATGGTATAGCCTATTGCTCCTAGGCTACAAACCTGTACAGCAAGTTACTATACTAAATACTGTCAGCAACTGTAACACAGTGATAATTATTTGTGCATTTAAACATTTATAAACTTAGAAAATGCAGTTTGCCTCCTGATCAGAAAGAAAGAAAATGAAAAGGTACAGTAAAAATATGGTATCATAATCTTATGGGACCACCGTCACTGATGTGGTCAACACTGTTGTTATGCGGTCCATGACTTATCACAAGACACTTTTCACTGAGGAAATTACAACGATTTTAGGAATTCTGTGCCAGGAAAGCATGACAAAAAACAAACATTTATTTTTTATTAGAGCACAGAGTTATAGTGACATTTTATTCGGTTAACTAATTGCTTGCATAAATTTAATTTGTTAAATCTATACAGTCTAAACTTGTATTTTCCTGGGAGAGCTGCTCTTGCTGGGCTTGGGCTTCTCTGCTAGTCTGGCTGACCTTTCTCTGGCTCCACATAGAGTGAACAGTTCGCCAAGTCTTCTGAATGGTGACTCTACACAGTGTCCCACCCTCAAATCCATCCTATGCAGTGTGTATTCCTTACACATTCCCTTTGGAAGTACCCCCGGAACCCCATGGCCCTCCTATCTGCAGGCAGCTTCGCCAAGGCCGACCCACACTTTCCCAGCCTCCAGCCTCAGCCCTCCCTCTCTTCATCTCAAAGTAAAACCTTAAGATTTCCCGTCTAAATTTAAGGCTTGGCTTGAGTCTACGCCCCAGCCTGTCTCCATTTACACATCACTGAGTCAGTCCCCTCCCATGAATTTTCTACTTATGATTCCAACTGCCCATGTAACAACTTCACTCTGTGGCAATTTAGAAACACCACGTCCAAAATTCAACTCCTACTATTTCCCTGAAACCTGCTCCCTCACCAGATTTCTTTGTCAACTCTTCCAGATGTTCAGGTAAAAGAAAAACTTGGGATCATACTTCACTCCCACTTTTGCTCATAGGCACAAATGATGGAGCAGAAAATCCTGCTGGCTTTACCTTTAAGATCTACCAAGATTCTTATTACTTAGGTCCCTTCAGCAACCCGTCTGGTCCAGAATCCACCATAATCCTCCTGGAGCCTACTACAGCAGTCTCCTCACCAGTATCCCTGCGTCCACCCCCATCACTCCGTAACAGTCTGTTTTCTCCACTCATTGCCTTTGAAATATTTTTTCAGACCCTCACTCAGATCGTGTTCTCCTTTAGTTCACAACCCTCCATGGCTCCCAAAGACTCAGAATTAAAAACCCCGGTTGCTCAGGCTGCCATGGCAGCCGTGCCTTCTTCTCCTCATTCTCTCTGCTCCCTGCAGACACAGGTCCGCCCCCAAGTTTCCGAATGCTCGCGACCCCGGCGCACCTCCCAGGCTCTGCGCGTGCAGCCCCCACGGTACGCAACGCTCTCCCTTCTTCACCTCACCGCCCGTCAGCTCTGAGGACCCCACCCAGAACTCCTCGCTGTCCTGGAGAAGAGGCCTGAACTGCAGAGACCCACGCAGGTGACCCCAGTCCGGGGCCTCAGGACCCAGGTGAGGATCCGAGGACTCCGCTCTCACCTGCGGCGTAATCACTAGCGCTGCCTCGGCCATGGGACTTTAGGCGGGGCGGGGCCTGGAAAGGCGGGCGGTAAAGCCCGGGATCCGGCGTGCGTGCGGTGGCAAATCGCTGGGCGACGCTCAGACCGAGACCAGGCAAGCTCCTCTGCGGGCGGACACCACCTCCACCGGTTTCCGGCTCCAGTTACCTGGCCCGGACCCAGCGAGCCGGAAACGCCCAGCCCGCGGACGCGCTCGCAGGCAGCAAAAACGACCACCACCGGAAAGACGCCGGAAGATTCTGGCGTATTGCGCACTTACGGAGGTGCCCCTTTCCTGGGCAATGATTGGTCTAAGGCCCCGGCACGCTCGGCGCACAGTATTCTGGGTGGTGTAGTTCCTACCACGCCGCAGTCCGCCGCGCTGTGAGGACTCAATCCAAGAAAGAGAGGACAAAGGAAAAAACCCATCAAACTAGGGTCAGCAAAGCCTATTACATACACAGGATAAAAGAATACGATTTGATCTTCATTTCTCAACACAAAAGTTGACATATATTGCATACAATACATTAAAAATGTTGACAATTGAGAATTGACGCGACCCTTAATTTTTTTCTTTTTTTTAATGTAGAAACTATAACCAAAAATAAAATTCAAAGGCCTCCCAACTATCTGAATGGACCCCCTCCTCTCAGCATTATAGAGTTAACCTGAAAATCTAGTTCAGGCCATTATGGAAGAAGGGGTTGGACATGCCTCATTCTACCCCTACAGCAATAACATCAGCATAGACCTTAAGTCTGATAAGAAACATTTACAATCTATTTCTCTGAAACTTGCTACCTGCAGGCTTCATCTGTATGATAAAACCTGGGTCTCCAACCAAGGTGATCACTAACAGTGGGGTCAGCATCCCCTTATCCCACACGTTTGTGTTTATTCTGTTTTTTTGCCCTCAAGTGTTAGTGACTTAAATTACATAATGTATCTATTATCATAAGTGGAACTGAAATGAGATTGCAGAAACATTATATCTTCTTTTTCTTTTCTTTTTTTCCTTTTTTTTTTTTGACAGAGTCTCACTCTGTCGCCCAGACTGGAGTACAGTGGTGCAATCTCTGCTCACTGTAACCTCCACCTCCCAGGTTCAAGCGATTCTCCTGCCTCAGCCTCCCGAGTAGCCGGGACTACAGGCATGCGCCACCACCCCCGGATAATTTTTGTATTTTTAGTAGAGACAGGGTTTCACCATGTTGGCCAGGCTGGTCTAGAACCGGCCTCAAGTGATTCGCCTGCCTTAAAGTGCTGGGATTACAAGCATGAGCCACCATGCCTGGCTTTTTTCCCCCATATTTAGCAATTAGCTTTTGTTGCTATCCATTGTCTTCATTTCTCTTTAGTTTTTAATTGTTTATAATTTTGACATTTTATAATTACTTAAGAAAGGTTAGAAAAATTACCATTTAGATTGGAGTCATATTAAATAAGACACCTATATTGTAAAAATATCTTTATGAATGTAATCTTTGGCTATAGTGTTGTAACCGAGCGAGTTATAGAGAAATGCCACACTCTGAGACTAATTCTGGAGTCCTTTTATTGCCAGCGACCGAGAGACAGCTAGAGCTCAAAATTCTTGGCCCCGAAGAAGGGGCTAGATTTCTTTTTATACCTTGATCTAAATAGGGGAGGGGGAGTTTAGCTGAAGCAATTTTTACAGAAGCAGAACAGGCAAAAAGTTAAAAGATAAATGGTTACACAAACATTTACAGGAAAATAAACAGTTCCAGGTGCAGGGGCTTAATTATCACAAAGTGATAAACGCAGGGGCTTTGGGTACCATTAACTGAGTGCGTTCCTAGGAGCTGCTGGTACAGCGTGCCTCAGTGTCTATCAGTAAGTGCATTCCTGGATGTGCTTGGAGTCAGCTTGCACTAGTTATGTCCTTAAGGGAGGGGGATAAGGGGGCTGCAAGTGAAGAAACAAAAATGGAGTCTGTTTGGCTCTCTCAGCTGAGAGAGACAATCAGGTTAAAACAAGGTAGGGCATCACAATCGTTTGTCTCCACTATTATTTATTTCTGATCCTTTTATTTTTTTATTATTTTTTTTTTTTGAGATGGAGTTTCGCCCTTGTTGCCCAGGCTGGAGTGCAATGGCACGATCTCGGCTCACTGCAACCTCCACCTCCCAGGTTCAAGCGATTCTCCTGCCTCAGCCTCCCTAGTAGCTGGGATTACAGGCATGTGCCACCACGCCCAGCTAATTTTGTATTTTTAGTAGAGACGGGATTTCTCCATGCTGGTCAGGCTGGTCTCGAACTCCCGACCTCAGGTGATCGGCCCACCTCAGCCTCCCAAAATGCTGGGATTACAGGCAAGAGCCGCTGCACCCGGCCATGATCCTCTTATTTTAAGAGTTTTACGGGTCGGGCGTGGTGGCTCACGCCTGTAATCCCAGCACTTTGGGAGGCCGAGGCAGGCGGATCACCTGAGGTCAGGAGTTCGAGACAGCCTGACCAAAATGGTGAAACCCCGTCTCTACTAAAAATACAAAAAATTAGCCGGGCGTGGTGGTGGCGCCTGTAGTCCCAGCTACTCGGGAGGCTGAGGCAGGAGAATGGCATGAACCCAGGAGGCAGAGCTTGCAGTGAGCAGAAATCGTGCCACTGCACTCCAGCCTGGGCGACAGAGCAAGACGCCGTCTCAAAAAAAAAACAAAAACAAAAACAAAACAAAACAAACGCAAAAAAATTTAGCCGGGCGTGGTCGCGGGCTCCTGTAGTCCCAGCTACTCAGGAGGCTGAGGCAGGAGAATGGTGTGAACCCAGGAGGCGGAGCTTGCAGTGAGCCGAGACCGTGCCACTGCATTCCAGCCTGGGCGACAGAGCGAGACTCCGCCTCAGAAGTAAATATATACATAAACGAATGAATAAATCTTACTTCATTCAAACTTTGTCACATTTTTTCTTATTTGTGTTTTTCTAAAAGTTCACATATTCTCTAAATATCTCTTTCATTTATTTTTAAAGAGTAATCTGCAAAGCATTATTATCCTTCATATTACTTTAATTTGCACCAGCTTTAAAGTGAACAATCAGGTAGGTACTTTACGTATTGACTGTTTAAAATATAAATGAATATCTGCATTAAATATGATTTAGTGGAATATTGATATTGACTTATTTTATTATATTGACCTTTCTGCTATTTTTAAACAACTTTCTTGAAGTATTGGTTGATATTCTAGAAGAAATTCCATCTCTTTTAGTTAGCTTGCAATATTTAGTTTTGAATTTCAGAAAGCTACGCAAAGAATCCATAATACGGAAAATATTGCTTCCTTCTTTACATGTGTTTATATAGTTATCAGAAAGTTTGAAGTAATCATTCTTGTTGTGATGCATGAGTAATTACTCAGAGTAGGACTTGAAATAATTTATCAGTCTCTATTATTTCTGTTCATTTGGTTCTTGCCATTCCTGTGACATTGTTTTCACATATTCTAGGCCCACCATAATTATCTCACTTCAGACCTTGATATTAATTATCCTTAGATATCTCTATATTGTGGGGCATGTGACACTATCAGGAATATTTTTGCTATACGCTTGATAGACTTATTGTTGCTGTTTGGCCCCAAAATTCCTTCCTCAGCAGGGGAGTTCAGTAATGCCCCAGAGTCAGGACGCTTTCTGCCCCGAATCTCTTCTTTCCTTTACAGCAGAAACTTAAATGCTTCCTGTCATAGCTGGAAGTTCGTGTAGCCTAGTGCCACATATGTGAGGGTGGAATCTTGGTGCATTTAGGGAAACTGTTGGTAAACAATTAAGAATTCCAAAGAGAAACCTCCTATGACTCATTTTCTATGTAAAGGCAATTATTTTGTCATCCTCTTCTATGGAAATGTACCTTGAAACTGTAACGCCTGTGATCCATGTTGTCACATCCCCAGGTAGGAAACCAACCCAAAGAGACACAAATGAACAGAAATTTACTGAGGAAGCTCTAAGGGCCTCTGAAGTGTAGGTCATGCAGAGGTTTTTTTTTTTAAACCCAGAATTACATCGTCTATCCATATTGTTATGAGTCACATCTTACCAGTCCTACACTCCAGGCCACATGTGGCACATATAGCTACATACCACCATCTTGGTCAACCTGAGGGATTTCTGGTGAAAAAGAATATGAAGATGAAGGTAAAAATAAAGATAAAGATGTAAAGGGACAAGGAGCAGGAAGAGAAAGAACAGAAGGAGGAAGAGGAACACGAGGAAGAGGAGGAGTAGGACCAGGATGACAAGAAGCCACCACTAGACTTAAAAGACATCTCTCCAAATGAAGATATGCCACTGAGAATTAAGCAAAAGAGTACAAAATGCAAAGATGAGCAAAATATATGTTAGAATACAGAGCACTAGAAATCATAAATTCTAGGAGTTAGAACCCATTGGTGAATGAAGGGGATTTTCATTATTGATTGTGGTGCTAGTTTAAGAGATGTGCTGATATTGAGAATACTCACTGGGTTGTGATGTGTTTGCTTTACTGAACGCATGTGTATCATGCAAGCCTGCCACTTCTCTCCATATTTGTTCTTCACTTTAGCCCAGTGGTCACTTCTGCATCCTCAGGTCACTTAACCTTCATGAGTTTTCTATGAAATCTTCCAATTTACTAATTTAAACCTTCCCAACCATCCTTACTGTTACCTGAGTTCTAGATTCATTTTTCCAATTTTTTTCCCTGACCTTCCAATTTGCCTCTGTGATAGATATTTAAATGTGCTCCAAAATGAGCAGTTTTCTCAGCTTTTATCACCAAGTCTAACAGTCACTTTCATCTCTATGAATAACACTATCATCTTGCTATTTGCTTTCATTTTCCAAAGAATGTAGCAATTTTTATCCTTAATTTACCACTTTTCCTGACCATTTAACCCATGTTCCAGCAAGTTCTATGCTAAAAATTAACTTGAAATAATTCATAGACATAAATGTAAAACCAAAAACCATACAACTTCTTTTTTTTTTTTTTGAGACTGAGTCTTGCTCTGTCGCCCAGGCTGGAGTGCAGTGGCGCGATCTCGGCTCACTGCAGGCTCCGCCTCCTGGGTTCACACCATTCTCCTGCCTCAGCCTCCTGAGTAGCTGGGACTGCAGGCGCCCGCCACCACCCCCGGCTAAATTTTTTGTATTTTTAGTAGAGACGGGGTTTCACCATGTTAGTCAGGATGGTCTTGATCTCCTAACCTCGTGATCCGCCCGCCTCGGCCTCCCAAAGTGCTGGGATTATAGGCGTGAGCCACTGCGCCCGGCCAAACCATACAACTTCTAGGAGATAATGGAGGAAAATCTTTGTGATCATAGTGAAGCAAATATTTCTTACATAAAAACACCAAACAAGACTGTAACAGGAAAATTAAGAAATTAGATTTTCTCATAATTAAATGCAATGCTCTTCAAAATATCTTGTTAACATTAAAAAGAGGAGCTACAAATGATTAGCATAAAATATCTACAAATAACACAGCTAGTAATGAATTTGTATGCAAGATATATATCTAATTTCTTAGATAATAGGCCGTGTCCAGCCTAAAATTTTTTAACCAAATACTAATCATTTTTATTTATCTTGTAACATAAACCATTAAGTTATATGAATAAGCAAAATCTCAGTTATGGTTAGAAATCTCTCACTCCGCCAGGTGCGGTGGCTCATGTCTGTAATCCCAACACTTTGGGGGGCCGAGGTGGGTGGATCACCTGAGGTCAGGAGTTCAAGACCAGCCTGGCCAACATAGTGAAAGCCTGTCTCTACTGAAAATACAAAAAATTAGCCTGTCATGGTGGCAGGAGCCTATAATCCCGGCTACTTGGGAGGCTGAGACAGGAGAATTGCCTGAACCGGTGAGGTGGAGGTTGCAGTGAGCCGAGATAGGGCCATTGCGCTCCAACCTGGGCAACAAGAGCAAAACTCCTTCTCAAAAAAAAAAAAAAAAAAAAAGAAATCTCTTGCTCCATTAAAATGTTTTGTGGTACTGTAAGAAAGTGCAAAATCATTTTTACCATATCTATCGTTGTGAAAATATAATTCTGACGAAATATGATTTTAAAACATGTAAATATGGTACTCATGAATTTTTTTCAGTGTTGGAGTCTCCTCCTGACTGGGTTGTTTACATTCTCTCTACTGTTTTTTCTATATAAATGCAAATAAATAGAAGAAAATTTTTTTTTTTTTGAGACGGAGTCTCTCTCTCTCGCCCAGGCTGGCTGGAGTGCAGTGGCACGATCTCGGCTCACTGCAAGTTCCGCCTCCCGGGTTCACGCCATTCTCCTGCCTCAGCCTCCCGAGTAGCTGGGACTACAGGCGCCCATCACCACGCCCAGATAATTTTTTGTATTTTTAGTAGAGACGGGGTTTCACCGTGTTAGCCAGGATGGTCTCCATCTCCTGACCTCGTGATCCGCTCACCTCGGCCTCCCAAAGTGCTGGGATTACAGGCGTGAGCCACCGCACCCGGCCAGAAGAAAGATTCTTTAGAAATATATAAAACTCCTTTTCCTCATTAATCTTTTACTTCACCAGTTTAGCTCTCATTGATGATTTTCTATCTCCATCTATTTTAACTGACATTTTACTATAAAGTATAACTTTTTCTTTCCTACTTCATTCATTCATTCATTTATGTCTGTGGACTCATGGATTATTTTTTTCTCTTTAAGCAGATTTAATGAAGTGTAATTTACACACAATAAAATTTGCCAGTTTAAAATGTACAGTTCAATGAATACTGGTCAATATATACAGTTGACCCTTGAACAATGTGGGGATTAGGGATCCTAATTTAAAGATTCTTATGACTCCATCATCTTTATGCCAAATTAGAGGGTGTTTAGGATCAAGTAGACCACTTCCACAACTTTGGTGTTGATCTCATGGGGTTCTGGCTGGCCAGGGGCATTGTACAATGTCAAAAGAACTTTAAAGGCAATTACTTTCTGTCAAGGCACTTCCTGACTTCAGGAACAAAGCATTAATGGGAACAACCCAGAAAAAATGGTTCTCATTGTCCAGGCCTTCTTGTTGTACAACCAAAAGACTGACAGCTTGTGCAAGGGTTTGGGGTTAGCAGTTTTATAGATAAGGGCAGTCCTTATCATAAAACCAACTACATTTGAACAAAACACTGGAGTTAGCCTATCCCTTTCTGTTTTAAATCTTGGTATGTTCTTCTCTTACTTACTAATAAATGTCCTTTGTGGCAGTTTTTCCCAAAACAGGGCACTTTATTTGCATTAAAAGCCTGTTCAGGCCGGGTGCAGTGGCTCATGCCTGTAATCCCAGCACTTTGAGAGGCTGAGGCGGGTGGATCACCTGAGGTCAGGAGTTCAAGACCACCCTGGCCAAGATGGCCATCTCTACTAAAAAAAAACAAAAAAATTAGCTGGGCATGGTGGCGGGTGCCTGTAATCCCAGCTACTTTGGGAGGCTGAGGCAGGAGAATCGCTTGAACCTGGGAGGTGGAGATTGCAGTGAGCTGAGATCGTGCCATTGCACTCCAGCCTGGGCAACAAGAGCAAAACTCTGTCTCAAAAACAAAACAAAACAAAAAACAAATCTGTTCAGGTTGATATAATTTCTTGTCAGTGGTTCTCTTAATGGCACCTGGGACATTGTTGGCTGCCTTGTAGTCAGCAGAAGTTGCTTCTCCTATTATCTTGACATTTTCAAAGCCAAACATCTTTCTAAAATTATCAAACTTTCCCTTGCTGCCATTAAATTCTCCAGCTTTAGATCCTTCACCTTCCTAATGCTTTGAGTTGTCATATAATGACTGTTTCTCAAATCGTATTTGAGTCTCTCTGTATGCCTTACCCATGGCAATTCTGCACCCACATGAAAGCTGCATTTTTAAATGAGATAAAAGATATATTTTGCAGAAAATGCAAGATTTTTGTGCCTGCTGGCATAGCTGCAGCAATGTCTTTATTTCCTTTTTTGTTTGTTTTTAACAATGATCCTCATACTGGATTAATTTATCTTGAAATGGTGGGCAACTACAGCTGCAAACCTCAATCTATAGTACATATCAAGCAGTTCAGCTGCTTCTTATAATGTCATGACTTTTCCCTGCTTCTTGGGAGCACTTCCAGCATCACTACTGGCACTTCATATAGGCCATATAGCGTTACTTAAAGTTTACAATATCGCACTAAACACTATGAATAATATATTAGAACCTTGAGAGATCACTTTTTACTGCAATATGTGATTTACTGGAGAGATGAACTGCTCATGTGGAGATGATTAACATCATGGGGTTCTTTAAGTGAATACTCACAACACTGTGAACAACAGGAGATGTCTACAAAATTATTATGGTACTGTAGTATGTCCTGTAGTTAATTTTATCAGCCCAGCATGATGGCTTATGCCTGTAATCCCAGCACTTTGGGAGCTCAAGGTGGGAAGATTGCTTGAGGCCAGGAGTTGGAGAGTAGCCTGGGCAACATAGCGAGACCCCTGCCTCTACAGAAAATTGTTGAGACAGGGTCTTACTCTGTTACCCAGGCTGGAGTGCAGTGGCACAATCACAGCTCACTGCAGCCTCAACCTCCTGGGCTCAGGTGATACTCCTACTTCAGCTCCCCGAGTAGCTGGAACCACAAGTGCGTGGCACCATACCCAGCTAATTTGTCTTTGTTTTTTTGTAGAGATGGGGTCTTACTATATTTCCCAGGCTGGTCTCAAACTTCTGGGACCTGCCAACCATCCCAAAATGCTGGGATTACAGGTGTGAGCCACCATGCCCAGCCTGTACAGAAAACATTTTAAAATTAGCCAGTGTGGTGGCATGTGCTTGTGGTCTCAGCTGCTGGGGAGGCCGACGCAGAAGGATCACTTGAGCCCAGGAGTTTGAGTATGCAGCAATCTATGATCATGTCACTGCCCTCCAGCCTGGGCGACAGAGGGAGACTCTGTCTATTCAAACACACACATACACACATGCACGATTATGACTTAATACTGCATCTTTGGCTGGGTGTGGTGGCTCCCAGCACTTTGGGAGGCCGAGGTGGGCAGATCATGAGGTCAAAAGATCAAGACCATCCTGGCCTATGGCTGTCGGTTTGGGACTGAACAAAAGAGAACAAATGCAGAAATGAAGACAAAGACAAAAAGATCTGTTTTAAAGAAGGAGACAGGCGGCTCCTTTCTTCTAGGGAACAAGGGCCCTGAGCTTCTACAGCCCTTTGTATTTATTAGGTAGAATCAACAGGGAGGAAGAGGTAATGGTTGGTCAGCTGCTTGATTTATCACAGGCTCACATAATTGCTTTCTTTATACAACAGCCTCCAGATGTTCCTATAGATAACCACAAGGAACACTGCACGTGGGGTATGACTGCCCTCAGCATTCCTTCTGGTGGCAGATGCAGTTGTCAGCTTGCCAGCATCCTGCATTCATGAGAACAGTTTGCTGTTTGCTCATATAGCCTCCAGTGGTATACTGAGTTGGTCACGACCCTCATTCTTTCGGCCTCCAACCTCCCCCCTTTTCTGTTTTTGTATTAATTGAATAAAGGTAATTGCAGGCTGTGCAGCTCTCAATTGCCGGTTGGTGGTCCAGCTGATTTTACAGACTATGAACAAAAAACAGAAACATAATAACATTATTCCGATAATCACAAAAAAGACATTGAGGTGCTGTTTGAAGTAGGTCCAAGGGTTAAGGCTCCCTAAACCTTGCTGGAATTCTGCCCAAGCTTTTAAAGAGGGCTGAAGCACTTGAGTCTGCTTATTCAAGTTAAGGATTTTACTTTGTGAATCATTAATATCAAAAGTAACATTGAATGTAAAACTCCCTGTAAATGGGCCTTTACAAAGTTCCTTGGATATTCACTTTGATTATATTCCAAATTAGTTACACAAATATGAATAGGGTTAAAATGACAATGCAATTGCTGCTGCAACTTCAGGCTTTGTATTTGTTATCCTAGCCACAGAACAGTAGTCTTTAACATTGCCACTTCTGTTTGTATCTTGGTGTTAATTTTATTTTGAAGCATCCATTCCTGGTCGGCTGTGCACATCCAATTTTTCACACATTGAGCTGTTTGAATGGAGCTGTGCAGTGCTACTGAGGACAACACAGCAGAGGTTATTAGTGTGACTAGGGAAATTATAGCAAAAATTATCATGCCTAAAGCTCTACGAGCACGATGAGTAAGCTGAATAAGAAGGAGTTTTACAAAATGTAAAGCGGGGGTGGCCTCCCAAGGCTCGGACAGATTTACAGGAATCTATAATCCAGGAATGTGACCTAGAATTATTAGGGTGGATATGCTGTGTGTTTGTATTGTGCTATGATTAAGGCAATGATACAGTTGACAGGCATCACAAATCGATTGGGCATTGTTTACCCGGAGTTGGTCCTTTTTTGCTGCTAGAAAAACATACGGATTAAAAATACAAATTGTAAACTGTGTGGTAGTATTTTCTACAAAGGTAACATTAAAACTGCATTGAGCATTATTACTATTATTGGATAGTGTCCCAACCCAAATGCTGCCATTCATAAATGGGAGTGCTGTCTTCCATATTGACTCCTGAATTGGACCTCTCTTTCCTTGATAATGCCATTGAGGCAAAGGTGGGCTAAAGCCCATTCTGTGCCAAGCAAGTTGTGTAGCAGATTGGGATGTAGCGAAGAGATGTTCAAGTTTCGCCACCAGTGCCAGCAAAATTTATGCCATGAGGTCTGATTCTCACTTCTCCCATCTAAATGACCATGGGGACCCCAGTCGATAATGTCTCCCATTAACATGGACTGTTGTTTAGCTAAGGGGCCAAGACACTGAGTCCAAGGACAGGGGTGAGAATTATCAAAGGGAGCCCATTCTGTACAATCAATACAATTTGGGTGATGGGGCCAGGAGTGATTAGTAACTACACCAGTAATATTAATAGAGCTAAGGCCTAATAGGTACATAATTTTTCCATGGTAACTCAAGCATGCTTGGGACTGAATTGCAAGGCAACTGCGGTTGAGTGATGCATCCTGGGTGACACATAAAGAAGTCCCTCCAATGGTGCAGTATAATTGATACCATTGTTCTGAGAATCTAATCACTCTCTGTCAGGGGGAGTTAGGGGTCCTGGTGTCCATGCTCCCTGATCATGATATATCTCAGGAGGAGTGTTGCTCCCGAGTACCGGTCGTACTACTGGTGGGTTAGGAATATATGCCCAATAAGTTTTTGCCTCTGCACAGGGAAAACATACCGCACAGGATATTACAGCTAGCATGGCCATAAACATGGAGTCAGGGGTTTTGCTCCAGCAGTTTCTCAGCTTCCTGTGTGGTTTTCTTGAGCTGTCCCCATTTTATGGGGGTTGATGTCAGTGTGACTCCAGTCGGTCCTTGTTCTGTCTTTGCATTCAGATTCAACTAGCTCATGGCTCGTACTGGAGGAGCTGGGCCCACAGTTGAGATCCATGGATTTCTCCAGTCTCCCGTTCCATGGTCACACACACCTTGAGGGCACCCACACGGATTGTCCATCTCCTGTAAAAACACAAGCAAACCCTCGTCCCCATATCAGTAAGTCTACCGGGCCTTTCCATTGTCCTTCTTCCGGGGATTTCTGTAATACCTTTGGGTAAACTTTCCTTTTTCCCTCTAACATTTGCCAATGTCATTCTGCCAGAGTCTTAATATCCATACCAGGAGTCAAAAAATTTAAAGTAAATAAGGCTAAATGTAATTTTGTTTGAGGTGGTAGCTGGTCTCCTAGTCCCCATTTTTGTTTTTTCAACATGCATTGTAATGTTTGATGTGCCCACTCTATGATTCCTTGTCCTTGAGGATTGTAAGGAATTTCTGTTTTATGAGTGATTGCCCATAACTGTAAAAAATTTTGAAAAGCATGACTAACATAAGCAGGTCCATTGTCAGTTTTTCATTGTGTAGGGACCCCCATATGGGCAAAAGGTGACAGACAATGTCATCAGACATGACCAGCTGTTTCCCCAGTTTGGCACGTGACATGTAGCATATGGGAGTAAGTGTCTGTAGTCACATGAACATAGCTGAGTTTGCCAAAGGCTGCTATATGTGTAACATCCATCTGCCAGATTTCATATGGAGCCAAGCCTAGTGGGTTACATCCTTCCATGGGTGCAACGCCAGGGACAGGCTGGCAAGTGGGGTAGGCTTGCGCAATAGCTCAAGCCTGGCTGCAAGGCAGATGAAACATACGAGTAAGGGCAGAGGTGTTTTGATGCAGGAATGCATGAGAAGATTGGGCTTGTTGAAATACAGAACCGATTAGTTTATCTGCTTTATTGTTACCTAGAGATAGTGGTCCAGGAAGTTGTGTGTGATAGCAAATATGAGAAATATGAAAAGGAGCAGCATGAGAGTGAACAGCTTGTTGAAGTCTTAGAAACAAATTATACAGCTCTGGTTCTAGGGTGCTTTTAATAGTGGCAGTCTCAATGTGACTGGCTACATTTACAATATAGGCTGAATCACAGACAATGTTAATAGGAGATAAAGCGGTGAGCTGTAAAACTTGAATAACTGCCACTAATTCTGAGCATTGAGCTGAAACTCCAGAGGTCTTTATTGTTTCAGTATGCTTAGGTCCATAAATAGCTGCACAGCCTTTAGAAGAGTCATCAGTAAAATAGGTCTGTCTGCCTGGAATAGGCTTGTGATGAGTGATTACAGGAAGGGTAAAAGGGTGAACTTCATAAAATTGCAAAATTTTGTCTGATGGATAATGGTTATCTATTATTCCTACAAAATCTGTGAGAGTGATTTGCCATGCAGTCGACATTTCCCATGCTGTGGCCTGTTGTTGGGAATCCAAGGGAACAATAATTTTGTCTGGATCACATCCCATAAACATTTTTGATCTATGCCTACCTATTGTTATAAGTTGAGTAATTAAAGAAAGATAAATTTGCAAAGATTTCACTGTCTGATTGGATAAAAAAGCCATTCTAATACTATTACAGATTTGTGTATGAATTGGCCTAAAAGTCCTGTTGGAGAATGGGAGGTAGGAAGAATAAACAGAAGCAAAGGCTTTTGTGGCTGTAACCAGGTGGCATGTTGTTGCTGAAGCATCTGTTCTACAAGCTATAATTCAGCTTCTGCCTCCTTAGTAAGTTGCCGAGGAGAGTCTAATGAAGAATCTCCTTGGAGGGTCTGATAAAGGTGTTTGAGTTAATAAGTAGCAATACCTAGCATTGGGTGCAGCCAATTAATGTCCCCTGATAATTGTTGGAAATCATTCAAAGTTTGTAATCTGTCCCTACAGATGACTACTTTCTGAGGCTGAACACTTCTTTCAGTAATAATAGTGCCTAAGTACTGGTATGGGGAGGTGGTTTGCACCTTTTCAGGAGCTATTTTGAGATTCCATTTAGTCAAAGCCTGTTTTGTTTCTCTGAATAACTGATGTAAGATTTGATCTGTAGGAGCGGCCAAAAGAATATCATCCATATAATGAATGACATAGCCAGTGGGAAACACATTACAAGGCTCCTTTAATGCCTGTCCTACAAAATTCTGATATAATGTAGGACTGTTAAGCACGCCTTGGGGCAAAACTTTCCATTGATAACAAGAGACAGGCTCCCTTTGATTAACAGAAGGCACAGAGAAGGCATATCCAGGCCTATCCTGCTGATGTAATAGTATAGTAAAAAAAACAATAAGATCTATTACTACAAGAGGCCAGTCTCTTGGAAATGCCTGCCAGGGATGGCAGACCTTGCTGTAATGCACCCATTGGTTTAATCTGTGCATTAATAGCTCTCAAATCATGTAGCAGTCCCCATTTTCCTGACTTTTTTGGTATTACAAATACTGGTGAATTCCAGGGGCTGACTCTTCAATATGTCCTGCATCCAATCGCTCTTTTACTAGCTGATGGAGTTGAGTTAGTTTCTCCTGTGAAAGGGGCCATTGATCCACCCATACAGGTTTGTTAGCCACTCTAGTGGCAAAGCAGTGGGTGGAGGAGAAATATCAATGACCCACATCAGAAATCTGACGACCTAGCCCTTTTCTATCTGTTTGCCCAGTTATTGATATAGGATCAGGGTTTTCCTGTAGGGACTTTCCTAAGCCTTGTCTGCTCTGATATCTCATTTTCTTTAACATTTTAAATCCTGGATTGCCAATAGTTTAATTTGTAAGTCTCATATCCTATGCCGTAAGCAAATCTTCACCCCAGTTTTCCACATCAAGAGTGTCTGTCTGTGGAAACCATGGGTTATGCGTGATAACCTCCTGCAGCAGCTTAGCTAGTGTTTGAGAACTAACCTGAGCACCAGATTGTTTAAGTAAACCTTTAAGTGACTGCATATAATGTTGCTCTTCAGCAGACAAATTCTGCCCTATGTTACCCTGATTCAGAAACTTCCCACTCCCAGTACCTCTTTAGGGCACTGACCTTATATCCACTGCCAGCAGACTTGTCCTGGGGTTTCTCATTCTTCTGGTCAGTTTCACTTTCTCTGCTCCAGCAGACCTTCTTCACTCACGTCCCTGTTCGGGCGCCACTTGTGGCTGTCGGTTCGGGACTGAATGAAGAAGGACAAATGCAGAAATGAAGACAAAAAGATCTGTTTTAAAGAAGGGGTCAGAGGGCTCCTTGCTTCTAGGGAACAAGGGCCCTGAGCTTCTACAGCCCTTTGTATTTATTAGGTAGAATCCACAGAGAGGAAGACGTAACAGTTGGTCAGCTGCTTGATTTATCACAGGCTCACATAATTGCTTTCTTTATACAACAGACTCCAGATGTTCCTGTAGATAACCACAAGGAACACTGCACCTGGGGTGTGACTGCCCTTAGCATTCCATCTGGCTGCAGACACAGTTGTAGGCTTGCCAACATACTGCATTCATGAGACTAGTTTGTTGTTTGCTCATATAGTCTCCAGTGGCATACTGAGTTGGTCATGACCCTAATTCTTTTGACCTCCAACACAGACCAACGTGGTGAAACCCTGTCTCTACTAAAAAATACAAAAATTAGCTCAGCGTGGTGGTGCACACCTGTAGTTCCAGCTACTCAGGAGACTGAGACAGGAGAATCACTTGAACTTGGGAGGCAGAGGTTGCGGTGAGCCAAGATCATGCCACTGCACTCCAGCCTGGTGACAGAGAGAGACTCCATCTCAAAAAAAAAAAAAAAAAAAAAATACTGCATCTTGTGTTTGTTTACATTTCTCTGGAAGCACCAAGTACAGTCTGTGTTTATGTGACTCTTGACTAATTTTAACCTTGTATAATAGATTTATGTATATTTTATGGTAGTAAATGATAAAATAGTACCTACATATATTTTGTATTATGCATTCTTGACATACTTATTTCAATGAATTCTGGTTTTTGGAAATTGTCTCAAATATTCAAAAAACTTTCCAATATATTTATTGAAATAAAATTCACATATAATTGGACCTGTACATTTCAAACCTGTGTTATTTAAGGGTCAGCTGTACTGTCATGAAACCACCAACACAGTCATGATAGAGAAAATTACCATTGCCTGATAACATTTTCCTGTACTCTTTCAGTCAGAACCTTCACCCTCAGACCACAGGCCCAATAACCAGTGATCTGCATTCTTTTACTCTAGTTTTGCAGCTTCTTCATTTCATATAAATGGAATCATACTGTATGTCAACTTTTGTGTCTGGCTTCTTCCACTCAGCTCAGGGCTTTTTTTTATCTATGCTGTTTTTGCTTGTATTCATAGTTTATTTTTTATGTTGTTGAATGGTATTTTAAGGATATACCATAATTGATTATTCCTTCTTCTGTTCATGGACATTTTAGTTTTGAGTGTGTGTATGTGTGTATGTGTGTGTGTGTGTGTGAAAAACAGCTTCTAGTGTTTGGCTTTTATAAATAAAACTGCTGAGCATGCAAGTGTAAGTATTTCTAGGACACATGTTTTTGTTCTCTTGGGGATATCCCTATAGGTAAGATTCCTAAGCTATATGGTAAGTTTATGCTACCTTTAAAGCTGCTACACTGTTTTCTGAAGTTGTTTTACTACTTTTGCAACTTTGTTGAAAAGAGATTGACAATAGAGTGTTGTGTGAGTGTATTTCCGGGTTCTCTATTCTCTTCTGTTCATCTCTATGTCTGTCCTTTAGCTAATACTTTACTCTCTCAATTACCGTACATTCATAAGTCTTGAAGTCATAAAGGTTTTCAAATTTATTCTTATTTATAAAATTGTTGGCCGGGCATGGTGGCTCACGCCTGTAATCCCAGCACTTTGGGAGGCTGAGGCGGGCAGATCACGAGGTCAGGAGATCGAGACCATCTTGGCTAACATGGTGAAACCCCGTCTCTACTAAAAAATACAAAAAAGTATCCGGGAGAGGTGGCGGGTACCTGTAGTCCCAGCTACGCAGGAGGCTGAGGCAGGAGAATGGCATGAATCCCAGGGGGCAGACACAGCAGTGAGCTGAGATCATGCCACTGCACGCTAGCCTGGGTGACAGCGAAACTCCGTCTCAAAAAAAAAAAAAATAAATAAAATAAAATAAAATAAATAAAATTGTTTTGGCAATTAGTCCAGGCCCTTTGCATTTCCATGTAACTTTTTAGAATACATTTGTAAATTTTTATTTAAAAGATTAGGTTTTTATTGGGATCGTCTCAACCTATAGAACAGTTAAAGGAAAACTGACAACTTAAAAATATTAAATCTCAGATTCAGGAACTTCTTGTGTCATTTATTTATGCCTTCCTTAATGTCTCTCAGGAATGTTTTATTTTTATAGTTCTTGAACATATTTTGTTAAATTTATTTCTAAATATTTCATATTTTTATGCTATTGTGAAGTACATTTTTTCAGTTGCCAAGCATGTATTTGCCAGCTATATACCAACTTAGAATAGTGATATATACTTTGTATACACTGGCCTTTTTATCTTAGGACCTTGCTAAACTCAATTATTAGATCTAGTAGCTTTTTAGTAGACAATTTAGAATTTTCAATATTATCATGTTATATGTAAATAAAGAGTTTGGGTTCTGCCTTTACAATCTTAAGACTTTTTGTTTTTAATGAGAAGTGATAAATGTTGACATATTTATGTTATTCCTAATGTTGGGGAAAATCAACTTATCAAATATTTGATCACATATATATCAAATGTGCTGTTAGCTGTTTGTTTTTCATAGATGTGCTGTATCAGGTGGAAGAAATCACCATCTTGTTCTAGTTTGCTGTGTGTATCATAACCGAGTTTTGAATTTTGTAAAATGCTTTTATTACATTTTGAGATTTTCATTTTAGTCTGCTAATACAGATTAACAAAGAGTTTGAATTGTTGAATCTAACTTCTATTCTTGATAAACCTCACTAGGTTATGATTTATTATTGTTTGTATATGGCTGGATTCAATTTGCTAAATGTCTTTTTGTTTTGTTTTAGCATGAGTGCAAGTTTATTTAAAAAGGCTTTACAACAAGAAAGAAAGGGAAGTATACTTGGAAGAGACCCAGCGGGGTGATTTGAAGGACAAGTGCCTCAATTTGCTAAAATTTTGTTAAGGCTCTGTCTATATTCATGTGGTTATTGGTCTATAGTTTTATGTCATTGCCTCTTTGCTGTCCTGTTAATGATAACTTTCATATAGTTCAGAAGTGTTTGAACTTTTCTCTTTTTGGAAGAGTTTGTATATAATTGGTATTACTTCTTCCTTTAATATTTCATAAAAGTTCTTACATGTTTTAGGAATGACCCTCAGCTGATGCCATCAAGAAAAAGGAATCTCAGTCCTACAACCACAAAGAACTTAAATATGCTAACAACTCAAAATAAGCAAGAAACAGATTCTCCATGAGACTCTAGAAAGGAACACAATCATGCCAACACTTTGATTTTCACCCAGTGATACCTGTGTTATACTTATGACCTAAAGAACTGTAAGATAATATATTTGTGTTGTTTAAACCGTAAGTTTGTGGTGATTTGTCAGGATAGCAATAGAAAGCTAATACATCAACATTATTCTGTGAGCATCTCTTTACTTTCCAATGCAATATTTCCTAGACTCATGTTGTACCTTTTCTGCCACAACCAGAAAACAGCCTCTTCTCTAAGGAGTTCTGCTTCCTTTTATTAAAAAATTATATAAGCCAATAACTGGGCATTAAATATGCTCAAAGCTACTGGAATGCCACTGCTTGCTAGGATATCTCACAAAAGATAGGGAATATGTACACATTATCTATATACATCAAATTCTTTATCTGTAGTTAAACCTACAAATATTTCAGAAGTTGGATATTTAAAAAGATTCCTAAGACTACAGTAGCATACTCACATAAGGCTTTTATTTATAGGCAAAGATATGGTATAGTAAGAGAATAGAACACCAAATGCACAAGGAATAAGATAACAAATGGATAAACTGGGCTTCATAAAAATTAGGACAATCTCCTCTAGGAAAGATACTGTTAAGAACTGAAAACAAGGCCAAGCATGGTGGCTCATGCCTGTAATCCCAGCATTTTGGGAGGCTGAGGCAGGATGATCACTTGAGGCCAGGGGTTAGAGACTAGTCTATGTAACATACCAAGACCTCAACTCTAATTTTTTAGAAAGAAAACAAAAGCCACAGACCATGAAAAAATACTGCCAACGCTTATATCAAATAAGGAATTTGTCTTCAGAAATGTTAACAACTTGCAACCAAATATTTTAAAAAAACAGGCAAAAAATACCAACTGACATTTGACTAACGAAGATATACGTGTGACGAATAAGCACATTTAAAAATGCTCAAAACTGAGTCATTCGAAAAATACAAATTAAGAACTACAATGAAATACTACTGCACACTTAGTAAAATGGTTAAAATGAATGGCCTATGACTTCCATACATGTAAACTGTCAGTAATATGAAGAAATGGAAAATCTAATATATTCCAGGAGGAAATATGAAATGCTAACCATTTAGAACACAATTTGGCAAGTTCTTAAAATTTGAAACATTTGGATCAACTTACAGAATATCTGAGTGAGGAGATTTGCCGACCTGTTACGCAGCCAAACTGGTGAAAATTATAAAAACACAATTCAGTCTCTGGAAGCGGACATAAGGGTTTATGGCAAGTAAATATTTATTAAAGAAGATCTAACATTCATAAGAACAGCAAAAGTGAGTAACATCTGAATCGAGACCACTCCTTTCCTCCCCCAACTCCAAACTCAGTGAGATTAAAACTCCATTCGACTGGTGCAGCCAATACAGGGCTCCCTCTCTCTGGAGCTCCAAGACAGAGGGCTATTTTCTCAGGAGGAACAATCTATCAGGAATTCTCATCCTGCCTCCAGTGTGCATATTTGGATGAATGATGTTCAATTGCCAGCTCCCTCATAAAGATCACCCTCAGAGTTTCTGGGTTTTTTTTGTTTTTTTTTTTTTTTTTTGAGACGAAGTCTCACTCTGTCACCCAAGCTGGAGTGCAGTGGCGTGATCTCGGCTCAATGCAACCTCCGCCTCCCGGGTTCAAGCAAATCTCCTGCCTCAGCCCCCCAAGTAGCTGGGACTACAGTTGCCTGCCACCACGCCGGGCTAATTTTTTTTTTTTTTTTTTTTAGACAGAGTCTCACTCTGTCACCCAGTCTGGAGTGCAGTGGCGTGATCTCAGCTCACCGCAAACTCTGCCTCCTAGGTTCATGCCATTCTTCTGCCTCAGCCTCCTGAGTAGCTGGGACTACAGGCGCCCACCACCATGCCCAGTAAATTTTTGTATTTTTAGTAGAGATGTGGTTTCATTGTGTTAACCAGGATGGTTTCGATGTCCTGACCTTGTGATCCGCCCGCTTCAGCCTCCCAAAGTGGTGAGAATAACAGGTGTCAGCCACCACGCCTGGCTGTTTCTGCTTTAAGTCAGGTCATATTGATTCAGCGACAGTCTAAGGCCTTTCTCCAGTCTAAACTTTCTGGTGTTGAATACGGTTAGGCCTTTGGCTGAGGCCTTTTACCATATTCACTACATTGTCCACTCTGTGAACTGTCCAGTGTTGAATGAGTTTGGAGGTATAGCTAATGGATTTCCATTAGTAACCTTCAAGACTTTTTTACACTGTGAACTTTCTGGTGTTGAATGAGGTTGAAACACCAGCTAAAGGATTTCTCACAATCATTGTATTTCTCCAGTGTGAATCCTTCGATGTTTAACAAGACTGGAGCTGTGGCGAAAAAATTTCCCACATTCCCTGCACTCATAAGGCTTTGCTCCAGTGTGAACCCTCTGATGTTTAACAAGGCTGGAATTCTCACTAAAGAATCTCCCACATTCATTGCACTTAAAAGGTTTTTCTCCAGTGTGAACTTTTCGATGTTGCATGAGGCTTGAGCTTTGGCTAAAAAATTTCCCACATTCACTGCACTCATAAGGCCTTTCTCCAGTGTGAACACGCCAATGATTGATAAGGCTGGACTTGTGGCTATAGAATTTTCCACATTCACTGCACTTATAAGGTCTTTCTCCAGTGTGAACTCTCTGATGTTTCATGAGGCTGGAGTTGAAACTAAACAATTTTCCACATTCACTGCACTCATAAGGCCTTACTCCAGTGTGGATTCTGTGATGCTGAACAAGTGTGGAATTATGCCTGAAAGCTTTTCCACATTCACTGCATGTAAAAGGCTTTTCTCCAGTGTGAACTCTCTGGTGTTGAATGAGGTCAGCATTACGGCTAAAGGATTTTCCACAGTCACTACACCCATAAGGCCTTTCTCCAGTGTGAACTATTTGGTGTATAAAAAGGTTGGACTTATGGCTAAATAACTTCCCACATTCACTGCATTCATAAGGCTTTTCCCCAGTGTGCAGTCTCTGGTGCTGAACAAGTAAATATTTCTGACCAAAGGCTTTCCCACATTCACTGCATTTGTAATGCCTTTTTCCAGCATGAAAGGCCTCCCTACTTTTGGAGCTCCTATGTGACTTCTCTCCCGTGTGAGTCACCTGGTGCTTGAGAACACCTGAGCTGGTCAGAAGATCCTTCCCAACTTCCCTGCTTTGCAAGGACTTCTCTGATAGGTGGACTCTGCAACTCCTCAAAACTGGGACCCTGCCCTCTTGTCTTTTTAAGGGTTTCTCTCCACAGTGCTGCTTCTGGTGTTGCTGAACGTTTGAACTGGGCACTTCTACAGAAGCACTCTGCTCAGCAGCTGCCTCAGCCTTGGCTCCTTGCCAACTACCTGAAAGAAGAGAAATGTTGATGAAGTAAATGTAGTCTTTGGTGTGAGAAGGCAGCACTCTCACACGTGTCTGACACACCTGGTAATTAGCGTGTGGGACTGCTTGCAGAATGAGGGGGCTAGCGCTTGGTGGGGAAGGGCCTGCTGTGCAGTGCTGAACCTGGCTAGCTCACAGATTTGGGGAGGCCTCATGAGCACCAAGGATGCAAGGATGTGGTGTAGCACAAGGAGGAGAGGCAGAGTCCCCAACACAATCCTCTGCAAATGGCTTTCCACAGGGTTTTGGCTGCTGGAGACACAGGAACACGGCACAGAAGGTTATATCCAGGTCCAGAAAAAAACAACTGCAGGATGGGCGCGGTGCCTCATGCCTGTAATCCCAGCACTTTCGGAGGCCAAGGCGGGCAGATCACGAGGTCAGGAGATCGAGACCATTCAGGCTAACATGGTGAAACCCAGTCTCTACTAAAAATACAAAAAATTAGCCAGGCATGGTGGCGGGCGCCTGTAGTCCTGGCTACTAGGAGGCTGAGGCAGGAGAATGGCATCAACCTGATAGGCGGAGCTTGCAGTGAGCCGAGATCACGCCACTGCCCTCCAGCCTAGGCGACAGAGCAAGACTCTGTCAAAAAAAAAAAAAAAAAACAACTGGAATGAAATAGTTGGTGTCCAAGGACTATGCAAGAATAAGCGCCCCACCTCACCACACATTCAGTGAAAGCCACTGCTGAAAGGTGCTGCTGAGGATGGGGTGAAACATGGAGTACAGAGAGGTGGGGAATGGCCCTGGGTCAACTATCAGAATAGATATAAATGGGTGACTGAGGAAGAAAAGATAGAAATCAGCGACGACACCTTGCCTTGGTATCAAAATATCTGGGCCCACTGGAAAGACTCCTGGTATGATACAAACCCATACCCGAGTTCATACCTCCCTGAGCTCCACCCACCAAGTACCTCTCAGTATGGCTGAAGTCACAACTTCCCAAGCAGGCATGAAGGGCTCCTCCCATGACTCCAGCTGGGTTATTTCATGGGTCTTGGAAGATGCAAGTCCTAAGGAAAACGACAGGTGAGTGGCAGCACTGAGCCAGAATGACTTATCTCATCATGGACCACAGGAAAGAAAACAAAATAGTACAGAAAGAACCTTGGAGGAGGGTCTTGCAGGAACAACCCAGTCAAACAGCAATCACATTGGTGACTCAATTGCTGGCACAGACCGACACCCAGGTATGTTGGCTAGAGGAGACAGGCAGAATGTAGGGGAATAGAACTACCACAGATCTGCACAGTGTCACCAGGCCACAGAGAGGCCACCAGGGATAAGATCCATCAAGCTGACTGCAAGACTCCTGACCCCCAAACCCTTTCCTGCACAGCTGTGGGGCAGCTCAGGGAGAGAAGGTGGTAGTATACACAGCCCAGGCCTATTACAATAGCTACTTCAGGATACTGGAGAAGGAATGAGTGCCCACAGTTCAGCTTTGGGAAGAACAGACCTCTCCCTAGGAAAAGGAGGAAAAGCCAAGTCCAGCTCAGGATGCTGGGGTGGGGTGTGAGAACCTTACCCAGAGAGGCCAGAAGTGTAAAGTTCTCCAGCATCACATTGCGGTAGAGGAGCCTCTGAGCGTCATCAAGCAATCTCCATTCCTCCTGGGAGAAGTAGACAGCCACGTCCTCAAAGGTCACATAGCCCTGCTAAGATGGACAGAGTTGAGTTTATCTGCGGTCTCCTTACTGGGGAATTTAGGCATCCCCCTAAACATCCACCCCTGCTCACCCTCTTCCTTAATCCCCATCTCAGAAGAGAGACCCTGCCCCAGAACCACTGATGCCCACTCTCTCCTCATGTTCCCACTGAGCAAGCAGAGGCAGGTAGGCAGATAAAGTCCATCTCAGCTCTGGGCATGGTATGCAGAGTCCTACTCTTCTCTTGCCAGACAACTCACCTTGGATCCCCCAGATTGTGTTTCCCAAATACAATCAAATTTGTGTCAGTGTTCTCCCTGAAGCACCCAATACAAGGTCCCTGGGGACATCTGTTTACACTCATTAGAATGTGCACATACTCTGTACCACAACCACTGCCCCCTGCACCACCTTATGTGCCTCCCCTAGCGTCACCACATTCTAGTCTACACATGGCATCCAGAGGGCACTCACCAAATGCAATCAGAACTCCATCCCTTCCTAGACCTCCAATGGCACTGACTACCAGGGGCAACCCTCAGCCCCACTTTGAAGGCCTCTCTACTGGGCTCTTTTTGTTGCTTCACCTTCAGCTACTTGGAACTGCACGCATATCTGGACACCTGTGGCACTCTTCCATTTCTGTGTTGAAAAGCTGTTCCTGCCCAATGTCAGCGTTCCTCTGACTCTCATTAGAATCGAAGGCCAGGACAGGCATGGTGGCTCATGCCTGTAATCCTGCCACTTTTGGAGGCGGAGGCAGGTGGATCACCTGAGATCAGGAGTTCGAGACCAGCCTGAACAACATGGAGAAACCCTGTCTCTACCCGAAATACAAAATTAACCTGGGGGTGGTGGCGCATGCCTGTAATCCCAGCTACTCGGGAGGCTGAGGCAGGAGAACAGCTTGAACCCGGGAGGTGGAGGTTGCCGTGAGCCAAGATCTTGCCATTGCGCTCTAGTCTAGGCAACAAGAGCAAAATTCCATCTTAAAAAAAAAAAAAAAAAGCCCACGTCTCCCAAACCAGGCCCAGCAATTCTCTCAGATGACCTCATTTGATCTTGAGCTAATCCAGCAGCCTGAGAAACTCCCCAGGTCCAGGTAAAAACAAAAGCCTTGTGATCCCACAGTTGGATGAATAAGCAGCAGTGCCTGCCTTCCTGTCATCTTACCTCATTATAGCTTCATCTTCATGTCCATCTCATGTCTATCCCCACAGGAACTTTGGCCACTAGTCAGACCCTCCTTACCCCTACATCCCTTTCCCCATGGCCACCATTCTCCCTCATGTCCTTGTGAAACCCACCACTCCCATCCAGGTATCCAAGCAAGAGACCCAGTTCTTGGCCCCTATACATTCTCCCTTATTACCTAATGGCATTACCAATAGGACCTCAAGATGCTCCCTCCTAAATCTGCTCCACTGCTCCATTTGGTCCATACACCAACTGTATCATGTGGGTTTCCAATCTGAACCCTTCACCTGAACTCCAGACTTCTCTGTCCAGGTGCCCACTCAATGAATCCACTCAAGGGTCTCTGGAACATCTCATATCAACATGGCCAAAACCTAACTTAATTATTCCCACTGAAAATTACTCTTACCATTAACCTCTTTCTCCCACCCTACACTTTAGAAAATCTGCCCATATCTACTTAAAAAACACAGACTCTGGCTAGGCGCTGTGGCTCATGTCTGTAATCCCAGCACTTTGGGAGGCCAAAGCGGGCGGATCATGAGGTTAGGAGATCGAGATCATCCTGGCTAACACGGTGAAACCCCATCTCTACTAAAAATACAAAAAAATTATCTGGGCGTGGTGGCAGGTGCCTGTAGTCCCAGCTACTCGGGAGGCTAAGGCAGGAGAATGGCTTGAACCAGGAGGCGGAGCTTGCAGTGAGCCGAGATCATGCCACTGCACTCCAGCCTGGGCGACAGAGCGAGACTCCATCTCAAAAAAACAAAAACAAAACAAAACAAAAAAAACGCAGACTTCAACCACATCTCCTACGTCCACAGCCACCACTCTGGTCCAGCACTCACACAGACTACTGTAGTAGCCTCTTTGCTGGACTCCCAGCCTCCACCTTTAACCCTACAGGTGTTCTCAAAGCAGAAAAAGCTTGTTAAGATTGGGCCGTAATCCCTGTGTAGCCTTCCCCATTTCCATCCTTCCTGATATCCAGGAAAAAACAAACAAACAAAAATACAAACAATAGAGGCCCAGCTCCTCAGCCAACCACTTCAGGTCTGCCTTATACCTGCTGATGCTTCCCCCAGTCATAATGGAGATCTAAGGTTGCCTAAGCATTCCCAGCTCAACCTTACCTCCACGTATTTTCTAATGTTGATCACTATGCCTTCTAAATCTCCTGTCATTGGTTGCCAGAAATGAGAACCTCTCCATATAACATATAATCTGGGCCAGGCGTGATGGCTCATGTCTATAATCCCAGCACTTTGGGAGGCAGAGGTGGGCGGATCACCTGAGATTGGGAGTTTGAGACCTGCTTGACCAACATGGAGAAACCCCGTCTCTACTAAAGATACAAAATTAGCCGGGCGTGACGGCACGTGCCTGTAATCCCAGCTACTTGGGAAGCTCAGACAGGAGAATCGCTTGAACCTGGGAGGTGGAGGTTGCGGTGAGCCGAGATTGTACCATTGCACTCCAGCCTGGGCAACAAGAGCTAAATTCCGTCTCAAAAATAAATAAATAAATAATAATATGTAGTCTGGACTCAGGACCCTGACTGTATGACCATTTTGCAGGGAACTCAAATGGAAGGGGAGGGAGAATAGCCAGCAAGGAGTCCCAAGACACCATAATTCTGAAGACCATGTAGGTAGGAGTTGAGGAGGGTGAGGGCCTGAGACATCCTCCACTTACCTTCTCATGGTCTATAACTAACTCTGAAGTCACAAGAACCTATGGAAAATCAAGACCATGAGAACCAGACAGTGATGTTACCAAAGGATCATCCAAGCCCCCTCGTCTAGCCTGGAGTCAGGTGTGCCTGACTATCTGCAATCTGGGCTTTGGTTCTTAGTGATGCCTCTTACCTGTTGTGTGCCCTTGGAAAAATGCTCAACTTCCCTGTGCCTTGGTATTGCCATCTGCAACATGGCAATAATGGTATTCACTCAATAGGACTATTGTTTGTATCAAACTCATTCTTATGTGTCTAGGACTAAATATCAACTCTTACTGTACACATAATTAATGCTTCTGTCAACATTTTCAGTGCAAATAAACTGGTAGGTTTTCAAAATGTGGGTTTCTGCCTGGGTGCAGTGGCTCAAGCCTGTAATCCCAACACTTTGGGAGGCCGAGGTGGGCAGATCACAAGAGCAGAATTCTGTCTCAAAAAAAAAAAAAAAAGAAAGAAAAAGAAAGACAATGTGGGTTTCCTTTTGGCAATCTGGCTGCCTGCTATATACTCCCCTGAAGACCATCCTGCTGAGAGCCCTCCCTTCTACTGGAGCAGTTGATCATCCCACCTGTGCTGATAGCTAGGGAAACTTAGGCACCAAAGGTGCTGCTCCACCAGCCTGGCTGACCTTTCCTTTTCTCCATATGGACTGGACATGAGGAACTACTAAGCCTGGAGTGGCAAACCTATATACTACCCAACACTGCGGTCTCCATCCAGTCCTGGGTGTTCATACTCTATAACCCTCCATTCCTGCAGGCACCAGACAAAATCACTTCGGACCACGAAACTCCAGGCTGTAGAGGCTGCCCCATCCTACAGGCCCATCTCTCCCTTCCCTCACCTCAGGGACCATCTGAAAGAAAACTTTAAGATTCTCCCTCCTAAATACGAGCCCCAGGCCTTCCAGCTGCTCATGTGGACATGACACCTCCACTCTGGGACATCTCAGGATCACCATGCCCAAAACCTATTCCCTGCACAGCCTTACCCATCTCCATCCTTCCTGATATTCAGGAACAAACAAAAATACAAATAAAAATCCAGAATGGCTCTTCATTCCCTACTTTCTTTCACAGTCACATCTGATGCAACAGGAATTCCCGTCTGTTCAGTTTTTGAAATCCATCCAAGATCTGATCACTTCCCCTCCTCTGTGGCCCAGTCCCAGTAGACTCTCCACTAGTCTACTGAATTTACCTACTCACAGGTCTGTCTTCACCCGCCTCACCCCCACCCCAGTCTGTTTTGACTTGAAGGGCCTTTGGCAAACTTTGAGAAACAGATCTTGTCACTCTTCTGTCTCCAGCCCTCCGCGGCCACTGTGGCCCCCTCAGGATGAAAGCGCAGCTGCTCGGGCTGTCGCTCGACACGCGCCTCGTCCCTTCCCAAGCTGCCCACTACAGACACCAGGAGGCCTCAGGTTCGGGACTCGCTGAATGCGCCTCACATCTTTGCGAGCCGGGCCCCTTGCCCTCCATTGCCACCCCATCACACTGCGTGTCAGAAACGGGACGCCGCCCACGAACGCCCCACAGTTCTGCACCCGGGGACCTGAGCAGGCGGCCCTCACAGGGCTTTAGGATTCGGGGGAGGCCGGGAGGACGCGGCGCTCACCTGAGCGGGGTCCCTCAGCGTGGCCGCCGCCATCGGAGCCTGTGGCGGTGAGACAACGACCGAGGAAAGGGCCCGGGCCACCCTGGGCGCCGCCACCGAGCCTCAGACCCGCCTCTGAGCTGCGAGAACACAGCGCGTCCCCACCGCGCTTTCCGGAGCTGGTCGCCGCAGCGAACAACCAGCTTCCGGCAAGCTGAGTTCTCTTGAGGGCAGCGAAAGCAACCGCCGAGGGGAGACGCCGGAAGTCCCGCCCATTGCGCGTCGCACTCTCGGGTAGACCTCTTTTCATTGGCCAAGCATCGCGGCTCACGGCGCGGCGCCTTCTGGGCAGTGTAGTTCGCGTGGCTCCAAACTTCGAGGAAGTGGGCATAACTTCGGAGATGGAGATTGGAGACGGTAGATGATGGAGATGGAGATGGAGATGGAGATGATGGAGATGATGGAGATGGAGATGATGGAGATAGAGATGATGATGGAGATGGAGATGATGGAAATGGAGATGATGAAGATGGAGATGATGGAGAAGATGGAGATGATGGAGAAGATGGAGATGATGGAGAAGATGGAGATGGAGATGATGGAGTAGGAGATGGAGATGGAGATGATGGAGATGATGGAGATGGAGATGATGGAGATAGAGATGATGATGGAGATAGAGATGATGATGGAGATGGAGATGATGGAGATGGAGATGATGGAGATAGAGATGATGATGGACATGGAGATGATGGAGATGGAGATGATGATGAAGATGGAGATGATGGAGAAGATGGAGATGGAGATGATGGAGTAGGAGATGGAGGAGAAATGAGTGTCGAGAACTCTCGGACTCATCTGGAACCTGTTGTAATTGGAGATGGGCCTGGATTTCAGTTTCCTGCAGCTGATACTCCAATCTTTCCTTCTTTTGAAGGACTTGAAGAGGATCTTCAGGGCCACCATAAAGAGGTTTCACTGGGCAAAGCCACGTATACCTTCCTAAATTTCCTTTGGCAAGGGGACACCCAATATTAATGCCTGATGTATGATAATAAGAAAAGGCTCTGAATTCTGGATGTAGGTGATGAGAGAGTAGGGGAGCCCAAGGATTTACGTTCCTCTTTCACCCCATTCTCATTTGTGTTCTTTCCTTCCTCAAGGACCCAACATTGGTGTAAAGGCACAACAACAGGCAGCAAACCCATAAGCCAACTCCCCCTCAATTTCTCCCCTTCATCCATTTCTGCTCCATATTCCTGTCACAGTTACTATGGGACTGAACGAAGGGGAACGAATGCAGAAATGAAAACAAAGGCAAAATAAATCTGTTTTAAAGAAGGGGTCAGGGGGCTTCTTGCTTCTAGTGAGGAAGGGCCCTGAGCTTCCACAGACCTTCATATTTATTGGGTAGAAAGAGTAGGGAGGTGGTGGCTTACGCCTGTAATCCCAGCACTTTGGGAGGCCAAGGCGGGTGGATCACAAGGTCAGGAGATCGAGACTATCCTGGCTAACACGGTGAAACCCCGTCTGTACTAAAAAATACAAAAAATTAGCCGGGTGTGGTAGCAGGTGCCTGTAGTCCCAGCTACTCGGGAGGCTGAGACGGGAGAATGGCATGAACCCGGGAGGTGGAGCTTGCAGTGAGTGGAGTTCATGCCACTGCACTCCAGCCTGGGCGACAGGGAGAGAATCCGTCTCAAAAACAAAAAAAAAGAAAAGAAAATATCGCTCTGGTTTTGTAATGATAAAATAGAACCTACATATATTTTGTGTTATGCATTCTTGGCATACCTATTTCAATGAATTCTGGTTTTTTGAAATTGTCTCAAATATTCAAAAATTTTTTCCAGTATATTTATTGAAAAACATTCACATATAATTGGACCTGTGCATTTCAAACCTGTGTTATTTAAGGGTCAGCTGTACTGTCATGAAACCACCAACACAGTCATGATAGAGAAAATTACCATTGCCTGATAACGTTTTCCTGTACTCTTTCAGTCAGAACCTTCCCCCTCAGACCGCAGGCTCAATAACCAGTGATCTGCATTCTTTTACTCTAGTTTTGCAGCTTCTTCATTTCATATAAATGGAATCATACTGTATGTCAACTTTTGTGTCTGGCTTCTTCCACTTGGCTCAGGGATTTTCAGATTTATCTATGATATTTTTACTTGTATTCATAGTTTATTCTTTTATGTTGTTGAATGGTATTTTATGTTAAGATATACCATAATTGATTATTCATTCTTCTGTTCACGGAAATTTTAGTTTGTGTGTGTGTGTTTTAAAAACAAATTCTGGTGTTTGGGTTTTATAAATAAAACTGCTGAGCATGCAAGTGTAAGTATTTCTAGAACATATGCTTTTGTTCTCTTGGGGATATCCCAATAGGTAAGATTCCTAAACTATATGGTAAGCTTATGCTACCTTTAAAGCTGCTACACTGTTTTCTGAAGTTGTTTTACTACTTTTGCAACTTTCTTGAAAAGAGATTGACAATAGAGTGTTGTGTGAGTGTATTTCTGGGTTCTCTGTTCTCTTCTGTTCATCTCTGTCCTTTAGCTAATACTGTACTCTCAATTACTGTACGTTTGTATGTCCTAAAGTCATAAAGATTTTCAAACTTATTCTTATTTATAAAATTGTTTTGGCAATTAGTCCAGGCCCTTTGTATTTCCATGTAACTTTTTAGAATACATTTGTAAATTTTTATTTAAAAGATTAGGTTTTTATTAGGATAGTTAAAGGAAAACTGACAACTTCAAAGTATTAAGTCTCAGATTCAGGAACTTCTTGTGTCATTTATTTATGCCTTGTTTAATGTCTCTCAGGAATGTTTTAAAGTTCTTGAACATATTTTGTTAAATTTATTTCTAAATATTTCATATTTTTATGCTATTGTGAAGTACATTTTTTCAGTTGCCAAGCATGTATTTGCTAGCTATATACCAACCTAGTAGAGACACCTACTTTTTATACACTGGCCTTTTTATCTTAGGACCTTGCTAAACTCAATTATTAGATCTAGTAGCTTTTTAGTAGATAATTTCGAATTTTCAACATTATCATGTCATATGTAAATACAGACAGTTTGGGTTCTGCCTTTACAATCATTAGATTTTTTTTTTAATGAGAAGTGATGAATGTTGACGTATTTATGTTATTCCTAATGTTGGGGAAAATCAGCTTATCAAATATTTGATCACATATATATCAAATGTGCTGTTAGCTGTTTTTCATAGATGTGCTGTATCAGGTTGAAGAAATCACCATCTTGTTTAATTTGTTGCATGTATCATAACCTAGTTTTGAATTTTGTAAAATGCTTTTATTACATTTTGAGATTTTCATTTTAGTCTGCTAATATAGATTAATAAAGAGTTTGAATTGTTGAATCAAACTTGTATTATTGATAAACCTCACTAGGTTATGATTTATTATTGTTTGTATATGGCTGGATTCAATTTGCTAAATGTCTTTTTGTTTTGTTTTAGCATGAGTGCAAGTTTATTTAAAAAGGCTTTAGAACAGGAAAGAAAGGCAAGTATGCTTGGAAGAGACCCAAGGGGGTGATTTGAAGGACGAGTGCCTCAATTTGCTAAAATTTTCTTAAGGCTCTGTGTCTATATTCATGTGATTATTGGTCTATAGTTTTGTTTAATGTCATTGCCTGCTTTAGTGTCCTGTTAATGCTAACTTTCATATAGTCCAGAATTCTTTGAACCTTTGTCCTCTTGGAAGTTTGTATACAATTGGTATTACTTCTTCCTTTTTCATAAAAGTTCTTATATATCCTAGGAATGACCCTCAGCTGATGCCATCAAGAAAAAGGAATCTCAGTCCTACAACCACGAAGAACTTAAATATGCTAACAACTGAAATAAGCAAGAAACAGATCCTCCCTGAGACTCTAGAAAGGAACATAATCATGCCAACACTTTGATTTTAACCCAGTGAGACTTCTGTTATATTTGTGTTGTTTAAACCATAAGTTTGTGGTGATTTGTCAGGATAGCAATAAAAAGCTAATATGTCAACATTATTCTGTGAACATTTATTTATTTTCCAATGCAGTATTTCCTCAAATCATGTTGTACCTTTTCTGCCACAACTTGAAAACAGCCTCTTCTCTAAGGAGTTCTGGTTCCTTTTATTAAAAAATGATATAAACCAATAACTGGGTATTAAATGTGCTCAAAACTACTGGAATGCCATGGCTTGCTAGGCTCTCAGTAAAGATAGGGAATATGTACACATTTATCTATATATTGAATTATTTATTTGTAGTTAAACCTACAAATATTTCAGAAGTTGGATATTTAAAAAGATTCATAAGATTACAGTAGCATACTCACATAAGGCTTTTTTTTTTTTTTTTTTTTTTTTTTTTTTTTTTTTTTTTTTTTGAGACAGAGTCTGGCTTTGTGCCCCAGGCTGGAGTGCAGTGGCGCAATCTCGGCTCACTGCAAGCTCCGCCTCCCGGGCTCACACCATTCTCCTGCCTCAGCCTCCAGGATAGCTGGAACTACAGGCAGCCGCCACCACGCCCAGCTAATTTTTTGTATTTTTAGTTGAGAGGGAGTTTCACTGTGTTAGCCAGGATGGTCTCAATCTCCTGACCTCGTGATCCACCCGCCTTGGCCTCCCAAAGTGTTGGGATTACAGGCGTGAGCCACCGCACTCAGTCAAGGCTTTTATTTATAGGCAAAGATATGGTATAGTAAGAGGATGCAACACCAAATGCACAATGAATAAAATAACAAATGGATAAATTGGGCTCCATAAAATTAAGACAATCTGCTCTAGGAAAGATACTGTTAAGAACTGAAAACAAGGCCAAGCATGGTGGCTCATGCCTGTAATCCCAGCACTTTGGGAGGCTGAGGCAGGATGATCACTTGAGGCCAGGAGTTAGAGACTAGTCTGTGCAACATAGCACGACCTCATCTCTAAATTTTAAAAAAGAAAAGAAAACAAAAGCCATGGACCATGAGAAAATATTGACAATGCTTATATCAAATAAGGAATTTGTCTCCAGAAATATTAAGAACTTGTAACCAACCAAATGTTTTAAAAAACAGGCAAAAAATACATTTGACTAAAGAAGATATATGGGTGACAAGTAAACACATTAAAAAATGCTCAAAACTGAGTCATCGGAAAAATACAAATTAAGAACTACAATGAAATACTACTTCACACTTAGTAACATGGCTAAAATGAATGGCCTATGACTTCTACACATATAAACTGTCAGTAATGTGAAGAAATGGAAAATCTAATATATTCCAGGAGGAAATATGAAATGCTAACCATTTAGAACACAATTTGGCAAGTTCTTAAAATTTGAAACATTTGGATCAACTTACAGAATAACTGAATGAGGAGCTTTGCAGACCTGTTACACAGCCAAAAGGGTGAAAATTATAAAAACACAATTCAGTCTCTGGAAATGGTCATAAGGGTGTATGGGAAATAAATATTTATTAAAGAAGATCTAACATTCACAAGAACAGCAAAAGTGAGTCACATTTGAACCAAGACCACTCCTTTCCTCCCCCAACTCCAAACTCAGCGAGATCAAAACTCCATTCGACGGGTACAGCCAAGAATACAGGGCTCCCTCTCTCTGGAGCTCCAAGGCAGAGGGCTGTCTTCTCAGGAAGGACAATCTGTCAGGAATTCTCATCTTGCCTCCAGTGTGCATATTTAGATGAATGATGTTCAATTGCCAGCTCCCTCATAAAGGCCATCCTCAGAGTTTCTGTTTTAAGTGAGGTCATATTGATTCAGAGACAGTACATAACCTGTCACCCTAAGGCCTTTCTCCAGTGTAAACTTTCTGGTGTTGAATAGGGTTAGGCCTTTGGCTGAAACCTTTTTCCATATTCACTACATTGTCCACATTGTAAACTGTCCAGTGTTGAATGAGACTGGAGGTGTGGCTAACGGATTTCCATCTGTTACCTTCAAGATTTTTTCCACTGTGAACTTTCTGGTGTTGAATGAGGTTGAAACGCTGGCTAAAGGATTTCACACAATCACTGCATTTCTCCAGTGTGAATCCTTCGATGTTTAAAAAGACTGGAGTTGTGGCGAAAAAACTTCCCACATTCCCTGCACTCATAAGGCTTTGCTCCAGTGTGAACCCTCTGATGTTTAACAAGGCTGGAATTCTCTCTAAACAATCTCCCACATTCATTGCACTTAAAAGGCTTTTCTCCAATGTGAACTTTTCGATGTTGCATGAGGGTTGAGCTTTGGCTAAAAAATTTCCCACATTCCCTGCACTCATAAGGCTTTGCTCCAGTGTGAACCCTCTGATGTCTAACTAGGGTGGAATTCTCTCTAAAGAATCTCCCACATTCATTGCACTTAAAAGGCTTTTCTCCAGTGTGAACTTTTTGATGTTGCATGAGGCTTGAGCATTGGGTAAAAAATTTCCCACAGTCGCTGCACTTGTAAGGCCTTTCTCCAGTATGAACACGCCAATGTTTGATAAGGTTGGACTTGTGGCTATAGAATTTTCCACATTCACTGCACTTATAAGGTCTTTCTCCAGTGTGAATTCTCTGATGTTTCATGAGGCTGGAGTTGAAACTAAACAATTTTCCACATTCACTGCACTCATAAGGCCTTACTCCAGTGTGGATTTTGTGATGCTGAACAAGTGTGGAATTATGCCTGAAAGCTTTTCCACATTCACTGCATGTAAAAGGCTTTTCTCCAGTGTGAACTCTCTGGTGTTCAATGAGGTGAGCATTACGGCTAAAGGATTTTCCACAGTTACTACACCCGTAAGGCCTTTCTCCAGTGTGAACTATTTGGTGTATAAAAAGGTTGGACATATCTCTAAATAACTTCCCACATTCACTGCATTCATACGTCTTTTTCCCAGCATGTAGTCTCTGGTGCTGAACAAGTAAATATTTCTGACCAAAGGCTTTCCCACATTCACTGCATTTGTAATGCCTTTTTCCAGCATGAAAGGCCTCCCTACTTTTGGAGCTCCTATGTGACTTCTCTCCTGTGTGAGTCACCTGGTGCTTGAGAACACCTGAGCTGATCAGGAGGGCCTTCCCAACCTCCCTGCTTTGCAAGGACTTCTCTGATAGGTGAACTTTGCAACTCCTCAAAACTGGGACCCTGCCCTCTTGTCTTTTTAAGGGTTTCTCTCCACAGTGCTGCTTCTGGTGTTGCTGAATGTTTGAACTGAGCAGTCCTACAGAAGCAATCTGCTCAGGAGCCTCCTCAGCCTCGGCTCCATGCCAACAACCTGACAGAAGATAAATGTTGAAGAAGTAAATGTAGACTTTGGTGTGAGGAGGCAGCACTCTCACAGATGTGTCTAACACACCCAGTAATTAGTGCCTGGGGCTGCTAGCAGAAATAAAGAGGGCTAGCTCTCAGCAGGGAAGGGCCTGCTGTGCAGTGCTGAATCTGGCCAGCTCAAGGATTTGGGGAGGCCTCATGAGCACCAAGGATGCAAGGATGGGGTATAGCACAGGGAGGAGAGGCAGTGTCCCCAACACAATCCTCTGCAAATGGCTTTCCACAGGACTTTGGCTGCTGGAGACACAGGAACACGGCACAGAAGGTTATGTCCAGGTCCAGAAAAAACCAACTGCAACCAAATAGCTGATGCTCAAGGACTATGCAAGGATAAGCATCCACCTCACCACACATTCAGTGAAAGCCACTGCTGAAGGGTTCTGCTGATGACTGGGTGAAACATGGAGGACAGAGAGGTGGGGAATGGCCCTAGGTCAAACATCAGAATAGATATAAATGGGTGACTAAGGAAGAAAAGATAGAAATCAGCGACAACCCCTTGCCTTGGTATCAAAATATCTGGGCCTACTGGTATGATATGAATCCATCCCTGAGTTCACACCTCCCTGAGCTCCACCCACCAACTACCTCTCGGTATGGCTGAAGTCACAACTTCCCAAGCAGGCATGAAGGGCTCCTCCCATGACTCCAGCTGGGTTATTTCATGGGTCTTGGAAGATGCAAGTCCTAAGGAAAACGACAGGTGAGTGGCAGCACTGAGCCAGAATGACTTATCTCATCATGGACCACAGGAAAGAAAACAAAATAGTACAGAAAGAACCTTGGAGGAGGGTCTTGCAGGAACAACACAGTCAAACAGCAATCACATTGGTGACTCAATTGCTGGCACAGACCGACACCCAGGTATGTTGGCTAGAGGAGACAGGCAGAATGTAGGGGAATAGAACTACCACAGATCTGCACAGTGTCACCAGGCCACAGAGAGGCCACCAGGGATAAGATCCATCAAGCTGACTGCAAGACTCCTGACCCCCAAACCCTTTCCTGCACAGCTGTGGGGCAGCTTGGGGAGAGAAGGTGGTAGTATACACAGCCCAGGCCTATTACAATAGCTACTTCAGGATACTGGAGAAGGAATGAGTGCCCACAGTTCAGCTTTGGGAAGAACAGACCTCTCCCTAGGAAAAGGAGGAAAAGCCGAGCCCAGCTCAGGATGCTGGGGTGGGGTGTGAGAACCTTACCCAGAGAGGCCAGAAGTGTAAAGTTCTCCAGCATCACATTGCGGTAGAGGAGCCTCTGAGCGTCATCAAGCAATCTCCATTCCTCCTGGGAGAAGTAGACAGCCACATCCTCAAAGGTCACATAGCCCTGCTAAGATGGACAGAGTAGAGTTTATCTGCAGCCTCCTTACTGGGAAATTTAGGCATCTGCCTAAACATCCACCCCTGCTCACCCTCTTCCTTAATCCCCATCTCAGAGGAGAGACCCTGCCCCAGAGCCACTGATGCCCACTCTCTCCTCATGCTCCCACTGAGCAACAATAGGCAGGTAGGCAGATAAAGTCCATCTCAGCTCTGGGCATGGTATGCAGAGTCCTACTCTTCTCTTGCCAGACAATTTACCTTGGATCCCCTAGACTGTGTTTCTCAAATACAATCAAATTTGTGTCAGTGTTCTCCCTGAAGCCCCCAGTACAAGGTCCTGGGGACATCTGTTTACACTTATTAGAATGTGCACATACTTTGTACCACAACCACTACCCTCTACATCACCTCATGTGCTTCCCCTAGTGTCACCACATGCCAGTCTACACATGGCATCCAGAGGGCACTTACCAAATGCAATCAGAACTCCGTGCCATCCCAGACCCCCAATGGCACTGACTGCCAGGGCCAATCCTCAGCCCCACTTTGAAGGCCTCCCTCCTTGGCTCTTTTTCTTGCTTCATCTTTAGCTACTTGGAATTGCACACATATCAGGACACCTCAGCTCAGCTCCTCAGCCAATCACTTCATGTTGGCCTTATACCCGCTGATGCTTCCCCCAGACATAATGGAGATCTGAGGTTGTCTAAGCATTCCCAGCTCAACCTTACCTCCATGTATTTTCTAATGTTGATCACTATGCCTTCTAAACCTCCTGTCATTGGTTGCCAGAAATGAGAACCTCTCCATAGAATACATAGTCTGGGTTGGGCACGGTGGCTCACGCCTGTAATCCCAGCACTTTAGGAGGCCAAGGCGGGCGGATCATCTGAGGTCAGGAGTTTGAGACCAACCTAACCAACGTGGAGAAACCTCTCTACCAAAAATCCAAAATTAGCTGGTGTGGTGGCGCATGCCTGTAATCCCAGCTACTCGGGAGGCTCAGACAGGAGAATTGCTTGAACCCAGGAGCCAGAAGTTGCAGTGAGCCGAGATCGCGCCTTTGCACTCCAGCCTGGGCAACAAGAGCAAAACTCTGTCTTAAAAGAAAATAATAAAAATAATATATAGTCTGGACTCAGGGCCCTGACTGTGTGTGACCATCTTCCAGGGAACTCAAATGGAAGGGTAGGGAGAATAGCCAGCAAGGAGCCTCAAGACACCATAATTCTGAAGACCATGTAGGTAGGAGTGCAGGAGTGTGAGGACCTGAGACATCCTCCACTTACCTCCTCATGGTCTGTAAGCAAGTCTGCAGCCACAGGAACCTATGGAAAATCAAGACTATGAGAACCAGACAGTGATGTTGCCAAAGGATCATCCAAGCCCACTCGTCTAGCCTGGAGTCAGGTGTGCCTGACTATCTACAATCTGGGCTTTGGTTCTTAGTGATGCCTCTTACCTGTTGTGTGCCCTTGGAAAAGTGCTCAACTTCCCTGTGCCTTGGTGTTGCCATCTGCAACATGGCAATAATAATGGTATTTACTCAATAGGACGATTGTTTGTATCAAACTCATTCTTATGTGTCTAGGACTAAGTATCAACTCTTACTGTACACATAATTAATGCTTCTGTCAACATTTTCAGCGCAAATAAACTGGTAGGTTTTCAAAATGTGGGTTTCTGGCTAGGCGCAGTGGCTCACACCTGTAATCCCAATGCTTTGGGAGGCCGAGGTGGGCAGATCGTCTAAGGTCAGGAGTTTGAGACCAGCCTGGCTAACATGGTGAAACCTCGTCTCTACTAAAAATATAAAAATTAGCTGAGCGTGGTGGTGCATGCCTGTAATCCCAGCTACTCAGGAGGCTGAGGCAGGGGAATCGCTTGAACCAGGGAGGCAGAGGTTGCAGTGAGCAGAGATTGCACCATTGCAGTTTAGCCTGGGCAACAAAAGCGAAACTCTGTCTCAAAAAAAAAAAAAAAAAAAAAAGAAAGAAAGAAAGAAAAAGAAAATATGGGTTTCTTAAACTTACTTTTAAATTAAGAATGTGATACTTAAGGTGCTTTATTTTAATCAAATACTTTCCAGTATACTAACTTTACAACCAATTATGAAGTGCTTACATCAGTTTAACTTAATAAATCCGTGTTGTTTTATTTGCCCCTGTGTGTATATGAACTATGATCAATTAGTGCTTAAATACTTACCTCATAAATTCACAAGTTAATAAACTGGGACCTGGGTCTGAGAAACCTGAGCACATACCATTCCTTTTGGCAACCTGGCTGCCTGCTATATACTCCCCTGAAGACCATCCTGCTGAGAGCCCTTCTACTGGAGCAGTTGATCATCCCTCCTGTGCTGACGGCTAGGGAAACTTAGGCACCAAAGGGGCTGCTCCAGCAGCCTGGCTGACGTTTCCTTTTGTCCATACGGACTGTACATGAGGAACTGCTGAGCCTGGAGTGGCAAACCTATATACTACTCAACACTGCAGTCTCCATGCAGTCCTGGGTCTTCATACTCTATAACCCTCCATTCCGGCAGACACCAGACAGAACCACTTCTGACCACAAAACTCCATGCTATAGAGGCAGCCCCGTCCTACAGGGCCATCTCTCCCTTCTCTCACCTTAGGGCCCATCTGAAAGGGAACCTTAAGATTCTCCCTCCTAAATAGGAGCCCCAGGACTTACCCTAGTCCAGGCCTCTACCCAACCAGCCCATATCTACCATATCTCCAGCCCAGATCCCTCCCCAAACTTCCAGATGTGAGTGGGCAAGCTGCCCATGTGGACACGACACCTCCACTCTGGGTCATCTCAGGATTACCATGTCCAAAACCTACTCCCTGCACAGCCTTACCCATCTCCATCCTTCCTGATATTCAGGAACAAACAAACAAAAATACAAATAAAAATCCAGAATGGCTCTTCATTCCCTTTCTTTCAGTCACATCTGATGCAACAGGAATTCCTGTCTGTTCAGTTTTTGATATCCATCCAAGATCTGATCACTTCCCCTCCTCTGTGGCCCAGTCCCAGTAGACTCTCCACTAGTCTACTGAATTTACCTACTCACAGGTCTGTCTTCACCCGCCTCACCCCCACCCCAGTCTGTTTTGACTTGAAGGGCCTTTGGCAAACTTTGAGAAACAGATCTTGTCACTCTTCTGTCTCCAGCCCTCCGCGGCCACTGTGGCCCCCTCAGGATGAAAGCGCAGCTGCTCGGGCTGTCGCTCGACACGCGCCTCGTCCCTTCCCAAGCTGCCCACTACAGACACCAGGAGGCCTCAGGTTCGGGACTCGCTGAATGCGCCTCACATCTTTGCGAGCCGGGCCCCTTGCCCTCCATTGCCACCCCATCACACTGCGTGTCAGAAACGGGACGCCGCGCACGAACGCCCCACAGTTCTGCACCCGGGGACCTGAGCAGGCGGCCCTCACAGGGCTTTAGGATTCGGGGGAGGCCAGGAGGACGCGGCGCTCACCTGAGCGGGGTCCCTCAGGGCGGCCGCCGCCATCGGAGCCTGTGAGTAGAGCTGGAGGGGAGACAATGACCGAGGAAAGGGCCCGGGCCACCCTGGGCGCCGCCACCGAGCCTCAGACCCGCCTCTGAGCGGCGAGAACAGCGTGAGTCGCCACCGTGCCTTCCGGCGCTGGTCGCCTCAGCGCACAACCAGCTTCTCGCAGGTTAGTTCACCTGAGTCGCGAAAGTGAATACCAAACGAGACGCCGGAAGTCCCGCCCATTGCGTGTCGCACGCTCGGGCAGACCTCTTTTCATTGGTCAGGGATCGCCGCCTCGCGGCGCTGCGCCTTTTGGGCAATGTAGTTCCCGTGCCTCCAAACTTCCAGGAAGTGGGCATAACTTCGGAGATGGAGATTGGAGATGATAGATGATGATGGAGATGGAGACGGAGATGGAGATGATGATGGAGATGGAGATAACGGAATAGGAGATGGAGGAGAAATTAGGGTTGAGAACTTCTCTCGGACTCATCCAGAAACTGCTGTTTTTGGAGATGGGCCTGGATTTCAGTTTCCTGCAGCTGATACCCCAATCTTTCCTTCTTTTGAAGGAATTGAAGAGGATCTTCAGGGCCACAGTAAAGAGGTTTCTCTGGGAAGAGCCACGTATAGATCCCCAAATTTCCTTTGACAAAAGGACACCCAATATTAAAATTAACGGTGGCCAAGCAATGCCTGATGTATGACAATAAGAAAAGGCTCTGAATTCTGGATGTAGGTGATGAGAGAGTATGGGAGCCCAAGGATTTACTTTCCTCCTTTATCCCATGCTCATTTGTGCTCCTTCCTTCCTCAAAGACCCAACATTGGTGTACAGGCACAACAATAGGCGGCAAACCCATGAGGCAACTCCCCCTCCATTTCTCTCCTTCATCCCTTTATGCTCCATGTTCCCACTGCTCTTCCATTTCCAAATATAAAGCCAGTTCCTCACAGGTGGGTAGAATGCTAGACTGTTGTTTACAACACACAACTATTGATAAAAAAAAGATGTCAACCCTTTATTATGTGTAGTCCCACTACATCCATTCCCATTGAATCTAGTCCCCTCGTGTCAATCTAATTTCCCTACTTCTTTTCCTGCCCCTTCCATCTGTTGGCTGAATAATGATCAATTTCAACACAGCATTGGAGTGACTTATGAGGACAAGAGAAAATGAAGCCCTCCCTCCTTCTTGGAGCTTTCTGGAACTGGGTGTTCAGTACTACTTGACTCTGAAAAGGAGGAGGGGAGTCAATATTGGGATTGAGAACATGGTAGAATAGAGAGAGACACAAGCTCTTTACCCCTTCCATGGCAGCTATGGCATTAGTTATTTCAGTTAGACCATTATGTGGCATATGGAAGGGAGGGGAGGAGGAGAGTGAGGAGAGATGAGTCCATGACAGGAGTGGGACAATATGTAAATAATATCCTCCTTCTGAAACCAAGCACAGGAATAAATGTTTCACTTCCTTGAGAACATCTATTAGAAGAGCAGATTCTGGATTAATCATCTAATAGATTATGGAAATTAGCTTACCATCATGACAGGAACCTTTGTGGACAAACCTAAAAAACATATTATAGAATCTAGTCACCCATACAGTGTAAAATGTATAGAAAATTCAGAATCTGGAAATAAGAAACAGTATATCATTTAGGAAAATATATGTATGTAGTAAAACTATAAAGACATTTATAGAATGATTATCAAAATGATTAACAAAAATGTCATGCAAATGTTAGCTTAATGGGGTGTATCAGGCATGTGAGGTGATGTGAAAAGAAAGGATGCCTAGGAACTATATTTTTTAGCCAGGCGTGGGGGCAGGTGACTGTGATCCCAGCTACTCAGGAGGCTGAGGCAGAAGATCACTTGAACCTAGGAGGGAGAGGTTGCAGTGAGCTGAGACTGTGCCACTGCACTCCGGCCTGGGTGACAGAGCAAGACTCTGTCTCAAAAAAATAAATTAAAAAAAAAAAGAAAGAAACTATGTTTTATCACTACTGGTTGTTTCACAGATGTGGTTTTAATTAAAAAACAAACTATACCTCTTTTGAAAGTTGTAGTGAATTGTGTGATAGTTTTGAAATAAAGAGTATATGTAGACATTTTAATTTTATCACAGGAAGAGACAACCCACTAAAGCAGGCTCATATGTAGAATTGCAAATAACATGACTGGTGAGGACCAAGTAGACTATCTAATTATTTGGTTTAGGTAAAATCATTATCTACATAAGAAATTCACTTATATCTCATTGAATTCACAAAAAAATCCCATGAAGCTATTTTATTTTTTAAAAGCAACATATGCCGGGTCTATATGTTTTCTCTCTAACTTCTGGAATCTATTTTTATTTCCAACCTTTAGGAATATTTACATGTCTATAAGGAGTGTGAACATCAAAGTTTGAGTCCAAGACTCTACCTTTGGCCATATCTCCTTCAGGGCTAGCAAGCACATTCCTCTGTGTTTGGGAAGTCTAACCCATCCAAGATGGCATGAAAAGCAGATGCACCTCAGGGTCTAATCACAAGTCAACCCTCAACACATGAGCAGCTGCAGGGAATGAGGGAAGGCTGAGGGCTGTAACCAACTAAACAAATTTTGATGACATCTCCTGCCCTCCCCAAGGTTAGAGCTTAACGGAAGAAGTCACCACCCAGCAGCTCTGGAAACTCTGGACTTCCATGGAGATGGCTACCTGGTCCTCAGACACTTGAAGTCTGGTCGCCTCAGCTAGAGAGCCAAGACTAACCCATCTGAACTATCCTTATAAGGAAAAGTAGGCAGGGAGATGAGGCCACAGGATGGGAAAATATAACCATTTCCTCAACGAGGAAGGAGACTAATATTTCAGAAGAGCAGTTCTGCTCTACAACAGGTAAGCAGCCCTATGTCCTGTTATTGCCCAAACATAGTCTTATGCTCAAAGACACCATCCCAGCAGATGTTGGCTTGGTGATTATAAACTCTTCGGAAGCTCCAGTGGAACTGAGGAACCACGATCACCAACTACTCAAGAGTACAGCTATTCCTAACCACTACAATCATCTACTCTTCCATAGATACCACATCTTTGAGACTTACCTGGATGTCCTTGCTCTGCTGAACACTGACTCACCAGAAAATGACTGAAAATACTGAGAAAAAGTTTTTTCCTCTGCTCATACCACCCAAATACACCATTCTCTCCTCCCAGGTCAAGCCTTGAAAATATTGGTCTGGTTTTGTAGAATTTGCCAAGTCCACATTCTACCTGGAAACTGAACCTAGAATGGTAAAAAAACAGACAAACATAAATAACAAATGCCAGAAGTTGTTCTAAGTAGTGATGAAAATAATAGGGGATATGAAGGGGAGAATGTGAGGGAATGGCAGTTGTATTGAGGACAGAGTTGGAAATGTTTAAACTGAAGGCTGAGGACACTGCCCATTCAGATGAGTTGGATGTGGGTGGCTTTCTTGAAGGTGATAATTGAGTTGACACCAAAAAAAAAAAAAAAAATGAGAAGGAGGCAGCTATGAAAGAACCAAGTTTAACATATTCAGGTAAAAGGTAGAGCAAGTGCCAAAGAGATGTGGTGGGAGAAAACTTAGTGAGCTGCAGTAACAGGAAGGAAGACACAGTGGCTGGACCAGGGCATGCGGAAAGCAGTGATGTGAGAAACTGGACATGATTGTGCTCAGTGGTCAGTTTGCAGCTCTCTCCTCCTCTCTCATGCCACTTTGAGGTTAATTCGTTCCCCTACTCCTGGCCCCAGGATCATGGATGTGATTTCTGTCTTCTTGGAGTTTTAGGAACGTACACATTTCCAGGGTTACATACGTGGAATCCAACAGCACGTAGCTTTTGCAGTCTGGCCTCATTCACTTAGTGTAATGCATTTGTGATTCACCCTTGTTTTGTGTAGCAATGCTTTATTTATACTGCTGAGTAGTATCCCATTGTCTGTATATATCATAGTTAATACACCTCATGTGTTAATAATTTGTCAGAAACTGTACATTAATAATAAAACCACTGTATATTTGCCTTAGGATTAAAGAATTTTTTTTCTTACAATTCTACCAGATCACTGGAAGAATTTTTTTTTTTTTTTTAAAGTTTCCCATGTCTACTTCTTTCTACACAGACACGTCAACCATCCGATTTCTCAATCTTTTCCCCACCTTTCCCCCCTTTCTATTCCACAAAACCGCCATTGTCATCCCGGCCCGTTCTCAATGAGCTGTTGGGTACACCTCCCAGACGGGGTGGTGGCCGGGCAGAGGGGCTCCTCACTTCCCAGTAGGGGCGGCCGGGCAGAGGCGCCCCTCACCTCCCGGATGGGGTGGCTGGCCGGGCGGGGGGCTGACCCCCCAACCTCCCTCCCGGACAGGGCGGCTGGCCGGGCGGGGTGCTGATCCCCCCACCTCCCTCCCGGACGGGGCGGCTGGCCGGGCGGGGGGCTGACCCCACCACCTCCCTCCCGGACGGGGCGGCTGGCCCGGCAGAGGGGCTCCTCACTTCCCAGTAGGGGTGGCTGGGCAGAGGTGCCCCTCACCTCCCGGACGGGGCGGCTGGCCGGGGCGGGGGCTGACCCCCCCACCTCCCTCCCGGACGGGGCGGCTGCCGGGCGGAGACGCTCCTCACTTCCCAGACGGGGTGGCTGCCGGGCAGAGGGGCTCCTCACTTCTCAGACGGGGCGGCTGGGCAGAGGCGCTCCTCACATCCCAGACGGGGCGGCGGGGCAGAGGCGCTCCCCACATCTCAGACGATGGGCGGCCGGGCAGAGACGCTCCTCACTTCCCAGATGGGATGGCTGCCGGGAAGAGGCGCTCCTCACTTCCTAGATGGGATGGCGGCCGGGCAGAGACGCTCCTCACTTTCCAGACTGGGCAGCCAGGCAGAGGGGCTCCTCACGTCCCAGACGATGGGCGGCCAGGCAGAGACGCTCCTCACTTCCCAGACGGGGTGGCGGCCGGGCAGAGGCTGCAATCTCAGCACTTTGGGAGGCCAAGGCAGGCGGCTGGGAGATGGAGGTTGTAGCGAGCTGAGATCATGCCACTGCACTCCAGCCTGGGCAACATTGAGCACTGAGTGAACCAGACTCCGTCTGCAATCCCGGCACCTCGGGAGGCCGAGGCTGGCAGATCACTCGCGGTTAGGAGCTGGAGACCAGCCCGGCCAACACAGCGAAACCCCGTCTCCACCAAAAAAGTACGAAAACCAGTCAGGCGCGGTGGCGCGCGCCTGCAATCGCAGGCACTCGGCAGGCTGAGGCAGGAGAATCAGGCAGGGAGGTTGCAGTGAGCCGAGATGGCAGCAGTACAGTCCAGCTTCGGCTCGGCATCAGAGGGAGACCATGGCAAGAGAGGGAGAGGGAGACCGAGAGGGAGAGGGGAGAAGGGAGAGGGGAGAGGGGAGAGGGGAGAGGGGAGAGGGGAGAGGGGAGAGGGGAGAGGGGAGAGGGGAGAGGGGAGAGGGGAGAGGGGAGAGGGGAGAGGGGAGAGGGGAGAGGGGAGAGGGAGAGGGAGAGGCAGAGGCAGAGGCAGAGGCAGAGGCAGAGGCAGAGCTGGTCTTAAAGGGAGAAGAGCCGAATTTTTCTTAAAGACAGTTTTTCATTTCAATCAGGCAAATACCCAAGAATTATTATTTCAATTGGGTAAATGCCCAAGAATTATTAGTATTATTATTAATTATTATTCCACATTGGAGAATAATATATATATTATTCTACATTGGAGAATTATATACACACACACACACAAACACACACGTATATATTTGAGACAGGGTCTCCTTCTGTTGCCTAAGCTGGAGTGCAGTGGTGCCATCCTAGCTCACCACAACCTCCACCTCCCAGGATCAAGGAATCCTCCCACCTCAGCCTCCTAAGTAGCTAGGACCACAGGTGCAAGCCACCATACCTGGCTAGTTTTTTTTTTTTTTTGCGGAGACGAGTTTTGCCATGTTGCCCAGGCTAGTCTTGAACTCCTGAGCTCAAGCCATCTACCTGCCTAGGCCTTCCAAAGTTCTGGGATTACAGGCATGAGCCATCACATCCAGCCTGCATAACAATATGGAATAGGCACTTCGGGTTTGTTAGCATGAACTTTTGGTAAATTTTAATTTACAAATGACATTCACAAAAATTAACATGTAGTTGTACAGCTCAATGAATATTCCCAAAGTCAACACATCTCTAAAAGCAGTGTGCCAATCAAAAAAGAACAGTGTTAGTATACCAGCATTTCTTTTTTTTTTTCTTTTTTGAGACAGAGTCCCACTCTGTCACCAGGCTGGAGCGCAGTGGTGCAATCTCAGCTCACCGCAACCTCCGCCTCCCAGGTTCAAGCGATTCCCCTGCCTCAGCCTCCCGAGTAGCTGGGACTACAGGCACGCACCACTATGCCCGGCTAATTTTTTGTATTTTTAGTAGAGACGGGGTTTCACCATGTTGCCCAGGATGGTCTCGATCTCCTGACCTCGTGATCTGCCCACCTAGGCCTCCCAAAGTACTGGATTACAGGTGTGAGTCACTGCGCCCAGCCATACCAGCATTTCTGTAACCCCCGCTGTAAGTCATTCACCCATCAAGGAGGTCTAATTTGTGGCATGTCTGATTTCTTACATTGTCATCTAACATAGTTTTGCCTATTTTTCAGTTTGCATTCATTTGAATCTGGTAAATGCTCATCCACCTCCTTCATTAGAATTCTGTCAGGATGATTACTAGAATTTAGAGCTGTATGTACTGCATATGGCTTAGAATATATGTCTGATGAGAAATGACTCACAAGGATGTGTGGATAGCAGTACAATTATTGTTTTTTTAAAAAGACTGTGCAATGTGCAATGGCCCATCCTTCATTGAGCCTTAGGGCTTCTGTGAAGTCCTGCTCCTTTTGTTTTTTAGCTTGGCTTCCGTCTTGGGATTGAGACAACAAGGATGTTCTAGTTTCAAAGCACAGGAAAACAAAATCATTGGCTTTAAATGGAATAGGAATTATATGAGATTTTTATTTGAGAATTCTTTTTAAAAAAATTTTGAGAATTCCTAATTGAACACCATCCATCTGCATATTGGATTAAACAGTTACTCTAAATGTACCAAGATTGCACTCTCACATAAATGGCACATGGCTATGCTCTCTCTGCTGGGAAGTGGACTCAGACCCTCACTGAGCTTTCATGTTCCATGAAGTGTGAAGGGCAGCACCAAATCGATAACATGGTTGTGAATCTCCTGTTCGCTGGCCTAGGTCTGCAAGGAAATGATTTTAGTTCTTGCTGTAAAGGAGAGAGGAGGAAGAGAATGTGGATTGAGTCAGGGGCATTACAGGAGTCCTCTGCTGAGGAAGAAATCCTAGGGGCTGGACAGTAGCAATGAGCCTGACAAAAAAGACAACATAGAAATTACTGGTGGGACCACTGAAAATGCAGGACAGGTTATAACCCTAAACCATGTTATAACACTAAAGTTTGGAGGGAAGCCCTTCCCCCTCTAGCCACCAACATGCTTCTGATTCTCCCAAATAGAACCTGATTTGTGTTGAAGTCATCTTCTGCATGATATGTGGAGAATGAACTAAAGTAGAGAAAAAACTGATGTAGGATACAAGGCAGAAGGCATTGTGTAGCTCAGGAATGTTGGCAGATTGGCCCAAGGGCATGAAATTGGAGGTGTTGAGAAGAAGATGACCTGAGACATATTAGGAGGCAGAGGTAACAGGATATGTGGGTGGTTGGGATGATACGGTGAGGCTCAGGCAATAACATTTCACCTATCAAACCCTCTGTATTTGTGGGCCAGCAGGACTTTTCCTGTTTTGATTCTTGATTGGCATCCAAGGAACCCACGTTTAGGGAATAAATGAAGCTGAAGGTTCATGTTTCTGTGGTGAAGAAAAGGCAAGACACATTCTTGTCCTCATGTCAGCTGCCTGGGACATTGAATTTTTCATAGCCTTGTTTGTCTAACATAGAAAGGGCTCTGAACCTACCCAGATAGATGACCTAGGGTAGGAGGCCATGCTGGGAAGTAGTTAGTCATGGCTCCTTGGACTCCATTGCCAACTATGCCACTTAACAGCTACAGCTGAAAATAAATTATAGACCCAAGAAACCTCAGTTTCCTCATATTAATTTAGGTGACAAATCCACTTTACAGGGCAAAAGTGCGTAGTGTTTATAAAAGGTCTGATAGAATGTCTAGGATATGGACATTATTAAATGTAAATTATTGTCATCCTTATCCCACCCCTGTATGAATAACCAGAAGATGCTGATGATATGCAGTTCCCTGATGACATCTCAGCCCAGTTGGGTGAGTCAAGGGCCTGGTAACCTTCAAGCGTAGGTCTTGGTTTCTCTAAAGCAGATTTTGGACGTTTCTAACTACAACATGATTCTTTTCTTACTGACAGAGTAGGGAGTCTGGGAATGTTAGTTGTGCTTTCAATCACAATTCAAATTCTGTGGAAATTCACTGAAGAAAAGAGAATACCTCGTGAAGCGTGTTTTGGTCCATCAAAAATTACTAACTGCTTATTTGAGTATTTATTGCATAGTCATTTAGGTTTTGCAAAAGTTGTCAAAACCAAAATGAGTAACTTGTGTAAAATAAATAAATAAGTAAATAAATAAATAAAGCCAGGAGGCTGAGAAAAGAGGGCACTCAAACACACATGCTTAAGATAAGAGCTATTACTGTCTCTGAGGGCTCTTAATGCACATATTCCCGTTAAAAGAAGTTTTGACAAGAACTTCTCAAACCGCAGCTTGCTACAGGAGTTACAAGGACAGCTCTAGATGTAGTAGAACACTTGCCTGACAGATTGTCTCCACTAATGAACTGGTGTTAACCTCTGCCATAAACATCTGTGACCAATGTTCTTTTTATCTCAAAACAAATTATATATACTTTTCCCTTTTGCCTTTGAAAGCTTCTCCTTGTTTCAAGCTCTCTGGATATGCCTATAGTCCCTATAGCCTGCATGTCCTGGATTTGCAAATCCCCTGTGCATTCCTGAATGAACTCAACATCTTTGAAGAATCTCTGTTATTTAGGTTGACAGTTTAAATATATCCTACATTGTGCTTTTCTTTGCCTCACTTCTTCCACTTATTTTACTATTATTTTACCTTTCTATTGATTATTTATTTATATTCCAAACATTTCCTCTTCTAGTTTGAAAAGTATATACGCTGACTGTATTTATTATATTTAGGCTAAAAATTACAAACGTTTAACACATTAGCGTGCCATACAGGATTGTAATACATTTGCTTTCCACTTGGAAATATAAAAAATTTAAAACTTTGAGCAACTAGCCTCCTTTCAATTTATATGTAGTTGAGGTTACGCACGGGAATTCCATCATTCTAACTCAATAAGTATATCTACTTATGTTTTACACTGTAATATGCTGTTATTTTAATCAAAAGATGCACTTCTTTTCATCTTCATTTCTTCTCTCATTGCAGACTTTTCACCTGAGATCAACTTTCTTTGGCCTTGAGTATTATTTTAAACATTATTTTTTGTGTAAATGTATTTCCATTACATTTATCATTTTTGGTTTCAAATAGTTTTATATCACACTTCCATAAAAGACATTTTGTTGTGTATAGACATCTAGTTTGGTGGTTATTTCTTCTTTACAGAAAGTGTTCATGTTGCCCTTTTCATTGCCATATGACATTTGATGAATTCTGTCTTTTCAGACACTTGTAAAACACTTAAAATATTGAATACATCTCTGTATATGGAGTATGAAATACTATCTTGAACAAGAGTATTACTTGTTGGGTTTGACACAATCACTGCTGTATAAGCAGGATAAATATTTTCTGAGGTAACAGACAGAAGGGTTATTCACTTACTTCAAGGCCACCAAACATCCCCACTCCACGTTCCACATCATGGTGTCTGGAGTCTTTTCTTTCTTGTGCCTGACAGAAAATGCTGAGGCTCGCCAAACTAACTCTGGAGCATCAGGCTACACGCATTTGAAAACAATATTTGTTAACTTCCAGCCATAGAAATCTGAGTGACGTCAGTGTATGGTGTGTCCATTTTATTTTTTGATGAGCATTCTCTGCGTAAGGAAGGCTGAAATCATGTCTCTAAACATTCCTTTGATGTCAAACACGACGTTCACCAGAAATACAGATATGGCTCCTTCAAGAGGAAGCTAAGCTCCGTCTGGGCCTTGGAGACGAGGGACACCATTTCCACGCGCCCCTGGCGGTCTTCTCTGGGCTTTTAACCTGGAGGTGAAGCGAGACGCCGCTTACTAGTGTTGGTGCCGTGGGAACTACATTACCCAGGAAACTTGGCGGCTCTGGGCCAATGAAAACCCAGGAAATAGGCGTTTCCGTTGGTCCTCACCAACGTCAGGGCGGGACTTCCTCTACCATCCTCGGGTGGACATTTTGTTTGCTTTTCCATTAATCCACTGGTTTAGTTTCCAGAACGCAATGTCAGACCTGAGGTGACAGAAAAGGGAAAACGTGAGAGAGTGTCTTCTTCCCTGAAGAGAGGTGGGCCTGAGGCTTGACAGTGGCGCTGCCTGAGTGACCTAGCCGCTGGGCTGGGCCCTGGACAGCTGATCCCAGGTTCCTGCACTTGTCGCCACCCTTCCGTAGTCCACAGGCCTGATGGCGGCGGCTGAGCCGATGGGCCCGGCACAGGTGGGTGCTGCGTCTGCGAGTCTGCGCGCTGACCCCCATCTCTGAATCCCAAAGCTTCGAATGAACGATTCCTCGGGTTACTGCAGCTCAGGCCCCTGTATCTAGAACAGTGGGGGCGCTCGTGTTTGGGACCCATTTTGACAGCACGAGTTGAAGGACGTTCCAGGCAGAGAGACCAGTGTATGCAAAGGCTCAGAGATGGTTCACAGCTGGAGCATTTGGGAAAACTGGGCCTTTAGTGTCTGAAAGGATCAGAGCGCTTTATAAGTGATTGCACCTGGAATATCATCCTGAGCAGCTGGGTCTCTATTCTGAGGGTGATGGGAGCCATGGAAGGTTCTGAACAGAGGAGAGCCAGAATCCGAGGGTTTAAAAAGTATTCCATAGACTGCTCATGGAGGGCAGACTCTTGTTGGCCATGGGGGCGGATAATGAGCACTGTTCCGAGCTAACACAGTTAAGAGGTATCCTTGAAGATGGAAGCACAGAGGGTAGACATTCAGCTCCCAGGCACATTGTAACTGGGTAGGAATATGGGATGGGGTTGAGCCTTTGGGGTTCCTTCAAGATTGCTTGACTCGCATAGTCTCCCTCTTCCCCACAGGTTCCCATGAACTCAGAAGTAATTGTGGACCCTATACAGGTGAGGGGAGAATGTCCATGCTCTCACCGATCCCACCCCCACCCAATACGCTCTCCAGCATTGTGGTGTTATATAGAACACTCTCCTGCTACTCTCCGATCTCTTGGGTCTGAGGACTCTGGAGAAGCCCCAAGCCCAGGGTCCTGACTCCGGGCCAGGGGTTTTATGGAGGGGTTTCCATTTCTGCCAACCATTGGAATAAGGTTGGAAGGTTGTTCCAGGCACAGGAACCAGCCTGTGCAAAATACTTAGAGGTGAGACTGAGAAGGGAGTTTTCAAGAAATTGCAGGTCTCTGTCATGTCTGGTGGGAACCAAGAGCAAGGGGGCGGGAATCATCCTGAAATGGCTTAAAGATGATTATGTAGATTGGGAGTTAAAAGAGAATATTCATTTCACAGTGGTAGTGCATTTAGTGAGCCAGGAAAGTGATGGTGGAGAGCCAGAGTTGTGAGATAACTGTGATCCAAAGAGTGATGTACATATGGAAAGAAGTGTAGACTGATGACGTCTGGGCTTAAAGGAGAAAGGCAAGCCCATCTTTGGTTGTCTGGTAAGCATGATGTTAGTGACCCCAGAGGAATTTGCTTACAGAAGGGTGAGGCCCTGTATGCTAAGCACAGAGCTTAGAGGGTGACAACTTCTTCACCTGCCTGTGGTTGCTATGGGTAGACACAGTGATCCATTGGGACCATGAGGCGAGAGAAGACACCAATGACATCTGGTCCTGATATTTCCTGAGTTGAGGAGTTAGGTAGGAGGGTGTACAGGAGGGAGATGTGTGGGGGCACGGATGGGGGTTCTTGGGAGAGATGCTGCTCATGGACTTGGCTCTCCTGATTGTGGCAGGGGCAGGTGAACTTTGAGGACGTGTTCGTGTACTTCTCCCAGGAGGAGTGGGTGCTCCTTGATGAGGCTCAGAGGCTCCTGTACCGTGATGTGATGCTGGAGAACTTTGCACTTATGGCCTCTCTGGGTAAGGCCGTCACATCCACCCCAGTGACTTGGACTGGGTCCTGCCCTTCCCCTTTTTTTCAGGGCATCTTTGTCCTTCCTACATCAGAGCCGTGGACACTGTCTCATTTCTTAGTGCCTGGAGTAGGTTCTGTGAGTGCTGGGCTTGGGCTGTTTGCACTCCTACTTTCTCCTTTTGAGCATTCCCAGCGCTTGCTGTCTCAGAGCCTTGCAGGCATGGATTCAGGAGTTATGCATTGTATTGTCAGCCCAGTGGGTCATATCCATCTTGTCCTTTCCCTGTCTGAATTCCTCTGTCTGTATCCATGACACCTCTGTGCCTGGGATTCTGCGCTCTTCCTTTAGCTGACATTTCCTGTGGCCTGCCTATGTCAGGAATTGTAGGGACCATTATGGTCGCTACTTGCTAGGACCACTGCACTATTCCTGCAAGACCTTACTCTGAGATTATTTTAATAATATTTAGTTTTCTATATGGGTTACCCAGACCAGTGCTGTTCTATCTTTCCCTTAGGACATACATCTTTCATGTCCCACATAGTTGCCTCACTGGTGATGGGTAGTGAGCCCTGGGTACCTGACTGGGTGGACATGACCCTAGCTGTTGCCACAGAGACTCCAGGTGGGAGTGACCCTGGTGAGTAGGAGCTGGGGAAAGGTGTGATGTCAGGGCTGGGTTCATATCATTCCATAGCCTCTTTGTGCCTACAGTTGTATTAGTGCTAAGGCCACTGGCCTTTCATACTCTGGCCTTTGGCCTCTGGATGTTCCATACCTCTGCCTTCATGTCTCACCTGTTCCTCTCCATGGCTTGTTCTACAGTGCCTTCCAGCATTGGCCTGTACTTAGTGTTTCATGAGATGTGTAGCCCAAATAGTCCTTAAACACCAACTACTGAGTAGCAATTTGATTTTCTTTGGTATGGACCATAACCTTCTGCACAACTCTCACCTGTCCCCAGCAGCCAAGAAAATCTGATTGTGAATGACTTTGAGACCTGCCTCTTTTTTGTGCTGTACCCCACATCTTTGTCCTCTCCCAGTTGAGGCCTTCTCCATTCTATGACATTTAGATGCCAACTACCGTATAGTACACATTTGCTGAACTTGAGTTTGGACCCTTGTCCTAACAACAGTCCTATGACCTTGGTCTTAGTTGTGTTAGACACATATTTGTAGTGAGGCTTCCCCTCTTCCACCTGTGTCAATTTGTACTTCACCAGCATTTCTCTGCTTTCAGGTTGTTGGCATGGAATGGAGGATGAAGAGATACCTTTTGAGCAGAGCTTTTCTATAGGAATGTCACAGATCAGGATTCCCAAGGGAGGTCCTTCTACTCAGAAGGCTTACCCCTGTGGGACATGTGGCCTGGTCTTAAAAGACATTTTGCACTTGGCTGAGCACCAGGAAACACACCCAGGGCAGAAACCATACATGTGTGTGCTGTGTGGGAAACAGTTCTGCTTCAGTGCAAACCTTCACCAGCACCAGAAGCAGCACAGTGGAGAGAAACCCTTTAGAAGTGATAAGAGCAGGCCCTTTCTTCTGAACAACTGTGCTGTGCAATCAATGGAGATGTCTTTTGTGACAGGGGAGGCTTGTAAGGACTTCCTAGCCAGCTCAAGCATTTTCGAGCACCATGCCCCTCACAATGAGTGGAAGCCACACAGCAACACCAAGTGTGAGGAGGCCTCTCACTGTGGAAAAAGGCATTACAAATGCAGTGAATGTGGGAAAACCTTCAGCCGCAAAGACTCACTTGTTCAACACCAGAGAGTCCACACTGGAGAAAGGCCTTATGAGTGCGGTGAATGTGGGAAAACCTTTAGCCGCAAACCCATACTTGCTCAGCACCAGAGAATCCACACTGGAGAAATGCCTTATGAGTGTGGCATATGTGGGAAAGTTTTTAATCATAGCTCTAACCTTATTGTACATCAAAGAGTACACACTGGAGCAAGGCCTTACAAGTGCAGTGAATGTGGGAAAGCCTATAGTCACAAATCTACACTTGTTCAGCATGAGAGTATCCATACTGGAGAAAGGCCATATGAGTGCAGCGAATGTGGAAAATACTTTGGTCACAAATACAGACTCATTAAACATTGGAGTGTTCATACTGGAGCAAGGCCTTATGAGTGCATCGCATGTGGGAAGTTCTTTAGCCAAAGCTCTGACCTTATTGCACATCAAAGAGTTCATAATGGTGAAAAGCCTTATGTGTGCAGTGAATGTGGAAAAGCCTTTAGCCACAAACATGTACTTGTTCAGCATCATAGAATTCACACTGGAGAAAGGCCATATAAGTGCAGTGAATGTGGGAAGGCCTTCAGGCAGAGGGCTTCCCTCATCCGCCACTGGAAAATTCACACTGGAGAAAGGCCTTAGGATGGGAGATAATTCCGTTTCCTTGTTCAACATAATAACTGACATCAGAGAGAAGCTCCAAGCATAGCCTTTATGTGTAGCCGACAGCCAGAAGTAGAACTTTATACACTCAAACACTCACCCTGGGGAGGTTCTTCCGAGTGCCAGCTATATGGGAAGCCTTCTGGAGCTATGCTGAATTTTCTAGACTCTTGCTGGAATTTCGTCAAGGCAGTGCCTGTTAGAAGCCATCTGTCTTTGTGCTGGAAGAGTCCTGCCTTGTGCCAAAGTAACCCCAATGTGTTTCAAAAGACAGACCTCTGTACTATTCCCTTCCCTGGAGGGAATCATCAGTAGCCTGAGGCCATCAAGGATTCTCACTTTTTTTCTGCCCCACTACTGGTTTAAGCATGAGCATGACCCAGTTTTAGCCAGAAAAATGGGAGCTTTGTTCTGCTGACCACTGGCAGAGGTTTCCCTTCATGGATATAGTTGATCTCACATGGCACTTGGGACGAATTTTTCTAGCCTTCAAGACACCTGACCTGAAATTGGCTGCCTCATATTCTGGTTTTGCAACAAATGCCTTAATTTTTAGACTATCTGAAATCTTGAGGATTCTGTTCGCTTTGTGGGTTGGGTTGAGAACAGAATTGAGCTAAGCCAGTATGAAGGGAAGAACAGCTTTTGTGAGAGCTCCAACTATCTGTATCTCTGAAGTGATAGTAGGATGGCAAAGACTAGCTCTTATGCTAGTGTCAAGCTAACTTACTTGACTGCTTCAGCTCTCCTAGGAAAGAATGCCAGTCTTTGTAGGCCTAATCTTTTGGTCTATATGTTAAGATTTTTTGTGTAATTGAGGTCACCCTAAGCAGTGGGCATTTGTTGTGATAATCTCTAATGTGTCTGGGAGCAACATGAATTACGTCCCTTGTTCCCAGAAGATACTTCATATTCCCAAGGCTTCTTGAGGAGAATTTGAACTCAGTGGACATGTCAAGATCTCTGAAGTCTATTTTTCAGTAGGCAGTTGATATTGGCTGTCCTCCAGAAGGCCCAGGTAGGAATCATAGTTGGTGCAGAAACCCAGATTAATAAAGGAATGAGAAAACTGCAGCAAACTATAGGGAATATGACCCTTCTAAAGGTACATCCACATGTGTTTCCATTACTCTGGCTCCATTATGAGGGTTTACAGAAATATTTCCATACCTGTGTCTCTTATGGCTAAGGTTACTGTCCAGAAGTCAGTCTAAACATTTTTGCAATAAACTGCACATATTTATAGTGTACCATTTGATAAGTTTTGATACATGTTGGCACTTCTCAAACCAAAAGTTTCCTGATTCCTTTTATATTTTCTCCCTTTCCTTCACCCATCCCCAGGCAACTATTGATCCGTTGTCACTGTAGATTTGTTTGTATTTCCTAGAATTCTACAGAGATAGAGTAATTTAATATGTATTCTAATGTTTTTGGCTTCTTAAACTCTGAAATTAAGGCTCATGGTGGTGTTCTGTGTTTCATAGTTCATTTCTTTTCATTTGTACTTTGCTAAGAGTGTTCCATTGTAGAGAAATAGTTTCAAAGCAAGTGATCCAGGAGAGAACTCACACAAGAACAAAGCCACAGTATCTGTCATTACCTTAAACTGAAAGTGATGAGCCGTCATTTCTGCTATATTTCATAAGTAACCCTAGCTAATCCTGGTTAAAAGTGGAAGAGAACTACACAAAGGTGAAAATAGGGATTTGTGGGGCGTTTTCTTGGACTCTGGTGACCATAATCCTATATGGTTTTTTTCTTTTTCTGTTTTAGTTGTTTAATATGAATTACATTGACTGATTTTTTTAAATGTTAAGCCAACCTTGCATTTCTGTAATAATTCCCATTTGGTCATGATGTATTAGTCATTTAGTATATTGTTGAATTTGATTTGCTATTTTGTTTTGTTTTGTTTTGTTTTTTTGTAACAAGTTTTGCACCAATGTTCACGAGTGATATTTGTCCCTAACTTTCTTTCTTGCTTGCTTGCTTTTTTTTCTTTGTAATTTTATATCTTGCCCAGGTTTGGCTTTGGTATCAGCATAATGCCAGCTTTATAGAGTAAGTTGGGAAGTATTCCTGCTCTTCAGCTCTCTGGAAGAGTTTGTGAATAATTGGTATTATTTCTTCCTTAAATGTTTGGTAGAATTCACCAAGGAAGCTGTCTGGGCCTGGAGTTTGTTTTGTAGGAAAGTTTCTAACTATAAGTTTGATTTCTGTGGTAGATAGAGGGCTGTACAAGTTATATGTACATCTGTCTGTGTGTGTGTTGTCTGTCTGTCACTCTGGCCCTGAAGTGTGTTTTGTAGGACAGCATCTAACTACAAGTTTGATTTCCATGGTAGATGGAGGGCTATACTAGTTATATATACATCTGTCTGTCCGTCCATCTGTTTGTCACTCCATCCATCCATCTATCTCTAGAGTGAGCTTTGATGGTTTGTGTCTTTCAAGGAGTTTTTCTGTTTTATTTAAGTACTCAAATTTTTCAAAATATTATTTTCATACTTGTAGAATTTGTAGTGGTGCAACCTCTTCTATTCCTGATACTGGTAATGTCTATATTTTTCTTTTAACCTTGATTGGTTTGGGTAGAGATTTATCAATTTTACAATTTTATTGATCTTAAAGTACTTGGTATTATTGAATTTTCTGTTTTCTGATATTTTGGGATTTTTCTTTTCCATTTTGAGTTTTACTAATGCCTTCCGCTTTTATTGGATTTCATTTCTTTTGCTACTTTTTAACATGGAAGCTGAGGTCCTTCATTTCAAACCTTTGGGTTTTTTTCCCCTAATATGGGGAAGAGATGTTAATGTTAAAAATCTATCTGAGAACTGCTTTAATTACCTCCCATCAAGCTTGATGTGGTTTCATTTTTTTTTTTGAGACAGTGTCTTGCTCTGTCATCCAGGTTGGAGTGCAGTGGCGCGATCTCGGCTCACTGCAAGCTCTGCCTCCTGGGTTCACACCATTCTCCTGCCTCAGCCTCCCGAGTAGCTTGGACTACAGGCGCCTGCCACCATGCCTGGCTAATTTTTTGTATTTTTAGTAGAGACGAGGTTTCACCGTGTTAGCCAGGATGGTCTCGATCTCCTGATCTTGTGATCCGCCTGCCTCAGCCTCCCAAAGTGCTGGGATTACAGGCGTGAGCCCAGCCGATGTGGTTTCATTTTAGTTGAGTTTAGGATGTTTTCCAGTTAAAAAAATTCTTCTTGACACATGGCTCTTTTTAAATGTATGTTATTTAATTCCTAAATATTTGGGGATTTTGCTTATCTTTCTGGTAGTTTCTGCAATAATTCCATTGTGGTCAGAGTACATTAAGACTTGAATTATTTACATTTATTGAGATTTGCTTTGTGGCCCAGAATATGGGCTATCTTGGTATGAGTTACATGTTCACTTGAAATGTATACTGTACTCTCGTTTGATGAAGGGGTTCTACAAGTGTTGATTAGGTAAAAATGGTTGATGTTATTTAAGTTTTTTCTATCTTTATTGACATTCTGTGGTTTTGGTTCCAGCAATTATTTTAAGAGGATTGTTGACATCTCTGAATATTAAATTGGATTTACTTCTCTGCAGTTCTGTCAGATTTTGCTTCACATATTTTAGTATGTTTTTATTAGGTGAATAATAAATATTTCCTATTTTATGTCCACTTGATGTGTTGACCACTTTATCATTATGATCCTGTTAATCTCTGGTAATATTCTTTCTCTAAAATCTCCCTTGTCTGATACTGTTAACATGGTTTAATTTTGAATGGACACTGAATTTTAGGTACTGATTTTTTTTTAATTTTCTATAGATATTCTTGATTTCTTTTTTCTGTTACATGGTTAAGTTACTTGGAAACAATATGATCTTTTGGGGAGTCTTGATTCTAAACATTTCTCGATGAGATTATTGCAGCATACATTTTAAGACAAATTCCCCTCCCATTACTGAGACACAACCTTCCTATATTCTCTACCTAATGCTTCATGAGTTATGAGTTTTTTTTACTCAAGCTGGTTGAAATGAGAACTATCATGTTTTCTGTATAAGCCTTGGGAATTGCTTCCCGTATAATCCTTTCAGGTGGTTCTTTACCCATCCTCTGGTCTTTTTCTATATGCAAACACAGATTATACTCAGCTGAATACTTGGGGATGGCCCTCTATATCTCTGAAGTTTTTTCTCTCCTGTACTCTGCTCTGTAGACTCCAGCTACCTTGGCAAACCGAGACTCTTAGCTATGTCTCCTTAACACAGGATGACTTTTGGGCTCTGAGCTCTCCATCTTTGTACTAGGGCCTCAGAATTAATTTTCACAGTAACCTTATTTAGTTTTTTCTTTTTTGAGAAAATCTATGAACCCATGTTTTTTCTTTCTGATATAGTGGAAGGTCTATCAATTTTAATAATTTATTCAAGGTGTCTCCTTTTTTTAATCAGAAAGAACGTAAATCACATATTACAGATAGGAGCAATGAAACATAGTATAGTACTAGATAACTTTGAAACATATAATGGATAATGTGTGATTGTTTTAAACAACCCTTTCTCAGTAAGTTGAAACTTGGAAAACAAAAATCCATTGAAAGATACCAACTGACCAGGCTCACTCGAGATCTGAAAAATCCTCTACTAAAGATATTTAATACATATATCTATATATCTCTTAGAGAGAAAGAATAAGTCATATTCTAGTGAGATTTGTTAGGATTTTTTTTTTTTTTGAGACGGAGTCTCCCTCTATTGCCAGGCTGGAGTGCAGTGGCGCGATCTCAGCTCACTGTAACGTCCGCCTCCTGGGTTCAAGCAATTCTCCTGCCTCATCATCCTGAGTAGCCGGGATTACAGGTGCACGCCACCATGCCCAGCTAATTTTTGTATTTTTTGTAGACACAGGGTTTCATCATGTTGGCCAGGATGGCCTTAATCTCTTGACCTCATGATTTGCCTGCCTCGGCCTCCCAAAGTGCTGGGATTACAGGCGTGAGCCACCGCACCCAGCCTTGAGATTTGTTAGGATCTTAAAGTTGGTTTAACAGTAGAAAATCTATTAATTATTATATTAAATACAGTCTGTGGTGTAATAAAAAATATATCTGGATCTTTGTCCCAGGCTTAGTACTACAAAAATCTTGTAATTCTTTGAGTGAGAGAAGTGTATTTTTTATACTAACGAAGTGATTCATTATAGGCTCCTAGAAAGGTTCAGAATGGGGGCTCTTCATCAGAAAGACCAACCATGTAATAAGAGGGTTGAAACTTTGAGCCAGATTGACCTTTGGGGAGAGGAAAGGAACTAGAGATTGAAGTCAGCCATGTGGTTGTGATTTAATCACAGCTACAAAATGAGATACCCCCTCCTCGTTCCTCCCTACCAACTTAGAACTCTTGACGCAGAGGCTTGGTGGAGTTTCCTGGTTGGTGAACATGTTGATGTACCAGGAGGGTGATGTGCCTTGACTTTGTGGGGAGAAGGTATGGAAACTTCACATCTAACCAATAACTAGAACACTTAAAAAAAATTCTCAAATGACCATCCATAGGTGAATGAGTAATTGTATTAATTTTCTAGGGCTGCCATAACACAATACCAAAGACTGGGTGGCTCAAACAACAGAAATTAATTTTCTAACAATTCTAAAGTCCAAGATTAAGATGCTGGCAGTGTTGGATTTCTCTGAGGCCACTCTCCTTGGCTTGCACATGGCTGCCCTCTTTCTGTCTCTTCACAAGGCCATCACTGTACGCATGTGTACCCCTGGTGTCTCTGTGTGTCTTAATTTCTTATAAGGACACTGGTAAGATTAGGGTCCAACCTAATGGGCTGATTTCAACTTAATTCTTTAAAGTCCTACCTCCAAATACATCACATTTTGAGGTACTAGGGGGTTAGGATTTCAACATATAAATTTTGGGTATGCACAATAATGTCCATGGCAGCAATCGATTGTAGCATCTCTATGAAATGGAACACTATCCAGCAATATAAAAGGATGCCTATACATAATATGGACAAATCTCAAAAGCCTTAAGCTCAGTGAAAGAAGCCAGATGCAGATGATTACATGTAGTATCATTCAATTTATGTAAAAATCTAGAAAAAGAAAAATCAGTGGAGCAAGAAGGCCAAAGAGAAACATTCATCAATTTTCTCCCCACAGGAACACGAGCTGAACAACTACTCATGCAAGAAAGCACATTCATAAGAACCAGAAAACTAGATGAGTGATCGGAGTACCTGATTTTAACATAATATCAAGAAGAAAGGCATTGAAGTGGGTAGGAAAGGTAGTCTTGCATTGCTTAAACCACCCCTTTCCCATCCCTTGGCAGACCAACATGCAGAGAAAAATCTGTGTGCTTGTAGAAGAGAGCACGAAGTGAGTGTGGGACTGCATTGGAACCTGGTGCTGCCCAGGCACAGAAGAACACAACACGGCACAATTCTACTTGTGCCCATGGAGACAGCATTTACACCAGCCTGGGGCCAGAAGCAAATTCCTTTCAACCCCCGTGAAAGGAACCTGAGTCTCAGCTGGCACCACCAACAGCTGACCGAAGTGGCCTGGGGCCCAGAATAAGTTTGAGTGGCAGTTAGGTCACAAGGACTGCAGTCCTTGGGCAAGCCCTGGTGCTGCAGTGGTCTCTAAGGCTGTGGACTTTGGGTGCATGTGACCCAGCATGACACCAGCCGTAGCAGCCAAGGGAGTGTGCCACACCCCTCCCCCAACTCCAGGCAGTGTGGCTCAGAAAGAGACTCCTTCTGCTTGAGGAAAGGAGAGGGAAGAGTACAGATGACTTTGTTTTTCAACTTGAGTACCAGCTCAGTCATAGGAAAATAAAGCGCCAAGTAGAATCCTGAAGCCACCGATCCCAGGCCTTTCTTCCTGGACAGTGCGGCTAGACCCAACCCAGGCCAGAAGGGAATCTGCTGTCCTGGTTGGTTGGACACAAGTTCTGGCTGGTTTTACCACCTGCTGACTAAAGTGGCCTCAAGCCTTGAATAAACGTCAGTGGCAGTCAGGTAGTACTGACTGTGGACCTTGGGCAATCCCCAGTACTGTGCTGGTCATAGAGTCCATGGGTTTAGACTAGCATTACTGTGATGCCAGCTGTGATGGACACAGGAGTCCCTGTGTCACGTCTCCCCCAATTACAGGCAGCCTGGTATATATAGAGGGACTTCTTATACTTCGGGGAATGAGAGAGAAGAGAGTAAGGGACTTTGCCTGGGAACCCAGAACATTGTCTTCTCTTTCCCACATCTATCTAGGCTGGGTATCTAGGAGTCTGCAAGATTTATTGCATACTTGGGATTATGGCACCCTCTAGTGCTGAAATGGCTGCAGTGACCACAGCTTAGGGAACTCAGCACTCAGTCCCCTTTGAATTCTTTGAAGGCCCTCTGAAGAAGAATGAGTACAAGCAAGGCCAGACTGTGAAGACTGGAATAAATAAGAAACTCTTCAGTGTTCAGACATGTACAAATATCCACAAGTATTGAGAACATTCAAGAAAATATGATCTCATCAAATGGACTAAATAAGCTGCCCAGTGACCAGCCCTGGAGTGATAGAGATCTATCAGATAGGGAATACCTTTCAGACAGGGAATTCAAAATATCTGTCTTGAAGAAGCTCAAAGAATGTCAAGAAAACATGAAGAAAGAATTCAGAATTTTAGCAGAGAAATTTAACAAAGAGATTGAAATAATTACCAAAAAAAAAAAAAAAAATCAAACAGAAATCCTAGTGCTGAAAAAGACAATGGATGAACTGAAAAATACATCAGAATATAACAACAGCATAATTGATTAAGCAGAAGAATTTGTTAGCTTAAATACAGGCTATTGAAAATACAGAGGAGAAAAAAGAAAAAGAATGAACTGTGCTTAAAAGATATAGAAAATAGCCACAAAAGGGCAAGTCTAAGAGTGATTACCTTTAAAAAGGGAGTAGAGAAAGATGTAGGGATAGACAGTTAATTCAAAGAAATAATTATAGAGTACTTTCCAAATATATATATATTCATATATATGATTCATATTCATATATATATTCATATAGATATATGATTCATATTCATATATATATGAATATCCAGGTATAAGAAAGTCAAAGAATGCCAACCAGATTCAACACAAGACATATAACAATCAAACTCTCAAAGGTCAAAGATGAAAAAGAGGAAAGGTAGCAAGAGAAAAGAAACAAATAACATATAAAGGAACTCCAGTAGATTGGCAGCAGTCTTCTCAGCAGAAATCTCATAGGCCAGAAGAAAGTGAAAAGACGTATTTAAAGTGCTGAAGGGAACCATCTTCAACCAAGAATATTCTAGTCATCAAATATATTCTTCAACCATGAAGGCGAAATAAAGGCTTTCCCAGCAAACAAAAGCTGAGGGAATTCATCAATACCAGGCCTGTCTTACAAGAAATAGTAAAGAGAGTTCATCAGTCTGAAAGAAAAGAATGCTAATGTGCAACAAGAAATCATCTGAAGGAGTAAAACTTACTGGCAAAAGTAAATACACAGACAAATTGAGAATATTTTAACACTGTAGTTCTGGTGTGTGAACCCCTCATATCTTTAGTGTGAGCACTAAAATACAAATCTGTCAAGAATGATGACTGAATAGCTTTTTAGGAGATATATAAAAAGATATAAAGTGAGACAACGAAAAGAAAAGGAGTGATGAGTTATAGTGTAGAGATTTTTAGTTTATTCTTTGCTTATTTCTTTTCATTGTGATCAAAGTCAAGTTGTCATCAGTTTAAAATAACTTGCTGTAACTGTAAGATACTTTTTATGTCTCATGGCAACCATAATGCAAAAATTTATAGTAGAGATACTAAAAACAAAAAGCAAAGGATTAAATCATACTACCAGAGAAAATCACTTATCCACAAAAAAGGGAGTAAGAAAATTAGAGAAGACTTAGAAAACAAATAACAAAATGGAAGTAGTAAGTCCCTAACTATAAATATAAGATTTAATGTAAATGGATGAAATTCTTCAACTAAAAGACATAGAGTAGTTGAATGGATTGAAAAAAAAAAAGACCCAACTATATGCTGCCTACAAGAAAACTCACTACACCTATAAAGATGTACAGACTGAGAGTGAAGGGATAGAAAAAGATATGCCATGCAAATGAAAACCAAAATGGAACAGGTCTAGCTATATTTATATCAGGTAAAATAATTATTTTTAAATAATGCAGTTTTTCAAGTTAAAAACTAAAAAAGAGAAAGTAATTATATAATGAAAAAAGTCAATTTAGAAAGATGTAACAATTGTAAATATATATGACCCCAACATTAGGGCACGCACAAACACATAAAGCAAATATTAGTAGATCAAAAGGATAGACTTCAATACAGTAATACCAGAGAACTTCAACACCTCATCTTCAGCAATGGGCAGATCATTCAGAGAATACATTAACAAAGAAAAAAACCCAAAAGAAACTAAAGCAAAAAACCTAAAACTAAAACAAAGAAGAAAACTAAAACAAAGAAATTAAACTCAAAATTGGTAGAAGGAAATAAAGATCAGAGCAGAAATAAATGAAATAGAGATTTTAAAGTACAAAAGATCAACAAAACGAGTTTTTTTTATTTTAATTTTTAGTTCTGGGGTACATGTGCAGAATGTGGAGGTTTGTTAAATAGGTAAACATGTGCCATGGTGATTTGCTGCACCTATCAACCCATCACCTAGGTATTAAGCCCAGCATATATTAGCCATTTTTCCTAATGCTCTCCCTCCCCCAGCCCCATCCCTCGACAGGCCCCAGTGTGTATTGTTCCCCTCCCTGTGTCCATGTGTTCTCATTGTTCAGCTCCCACTTATAAGTGAGAACATGTGGTGTTTGGTTTTCTGTTCCTGCATTAGTTTGCTAAGGATAATGGCTTCTAGCTTCATCCATGTCCCTGCAAAGGACATGATCTCATTCTTTTTTTTTTTTTTTTTTTTGAGGTGGAGTTGCACTCTTGTTGCCCAGGCTGGAGTGCAATGGTGTAATCTCGGCTCACCACAACCTCTGCCTCCCGGGTTCAAGTGATTCTCCTGCCTCAGCCTCCTGAGTAGCTGGGATTACAGGCATGCGCCACCACGCCCGGATAATTTTTTGTATTTTTAGTAGAGACGGAGTTTCTCCGTGTTGGTCAAGCTGATCTCGAACTCCTGGCCACAGGTGACCTGCCCACCTCGGCCTCCCAAAGTGCTGGGATTACAGGCGTGTGCCACTGCGCCCAGTCTAGCTCAGTACTTTGTATGAACACATAGTTTGCATTAAGGTTGAACTGCATATATGGTTTTACTTAAGGGTATATGCTTAAGTGAAAAAGGCATGGGTCAGAAGAGTGTACAAAGGATGCTGAATTATTTGAAGCCAGCAGAGGCATATGTATATAGGGACAGACAGGTGGGGAAACAGAAATGAAAGTTAGGATTCTATGGAATTATTCTGTGATATATCTTTGGGTTTTTACAAACATAAATACTTTATATAATTCCTAAATAATGTTCAATTAAAATGAAATTATAAAATCCATAAAACTCAGGGGTTCTACACTCACAAAGGAATAGAAATAAAACAAGGGAAATATTTAAAAGATATAAGATCTATCAAAGTTAATAACATTATTGTGATATTATACTATAATTTGCAAATGTAACCATGAGGAAAAACTGGGCGATATGGGCCAGGCTCTTTCTGTTTTATTTCCTACAACTGCTTGTGAATCTATAATTATTTCAATAAAATTTTCAATTAAATAGCCCAGTGATATGTAAGATGAAAATAAGATATTGTAAAACCTTGTCTTAATCATATCTTGGTAAACACCATTGGGTATTGATGAATTGAAACAAATAAACCTACAATGTAATTGGTAGCAAAGCTTTCACCATAGAACAAAGCAAGTACAAATGCTAACTCAAATAATTTAAATAATCTCTAAACTACAAAAATTTTTGGAAGACTAAACTAACTCATTTTATTTTAAATATATATTTTGTATTAATTTCTATAGAAAATACATTGTGATTTGACTGCATAGTAATAATCATTGTAATCTATAAATTAATCATCAAAGAAATAGCAACCACAAAGATTGGAATCTCAACACATATGTTAAAAAGAAGTCCTAGGCCGGGCGCGGTGGCTCACGCCTGTAATCCCAGCACTTTGGGAGGCCGAGACGGGCAGATCACGAGGTCAGGAGATCAAGACCAACCTGGCTAATATGGTGAAACCCCGTCTCTACTAAAAATACAAAAAATTAGCCAGGCGTGGTGGCGGGCGCCTGTAGTCCCAGCTACTGGGGAGGCTGAGGCAGGAGAATGGCGTGAACCCGGGAGGCGGAGCTTGCAGTGAGCCGAGGTGGCGCCACTGCACTCCAGCCTGGGCGACACAGCGAGTCTCCGTCTCAAAAAACAAAAACAAAATACCAATACTATGCTGTTTTGGATACTATGGCTGTGTAAGGTGTTGAAGTCAGGTAGTGTGATGCTCCAGGTTTGTTCTTTTGGCTCAGGATTGCTTTGGCTATTTGGGCTCTTTTGAAGATCCATACAAATTTTAGAATTTTTTTCTATATCTGTGAAAAAATGGCATTTGTATGTTGATTGGGCTTGCATTAAATCTTTAGATTGTTTTGGGTAGTACTGTCTGTTATTTTAACAATATGTATTCTTTGAATACATGAGCATGGGATGTCTTTCCATTTGTTTGTGTCCTCTTCAGTTTATTTTATCAATGCTTTGTAGTTTTCCTTGATGTCTTTCCCCTCTTGATTAAATATTTCTCAGTGTTCTATTTTATTTTATTTTGCTTTTTATAGCTATTGCAAATGGAATTGCCTTCTTGATTTCTGTTTTGGCTATTTCATTATTGGTGTACCGCAATGCTACTGATTTTTGTATATTGATTTTGTGTCTTACAACTATATTAAATTTGTTCCCCAGTTCTAAGAGTTTATAAGATCATATTACAACAAAGAAAAACAATTTTACTTTATATTTTCTCACCCGAATATCTTTTATTTAGTTAGCTAGGTATTTTTCTTGCCTGATTTCTCTGGCTAGGACCTCTAGTACTATACTGAATAGGAGTGGCAAAAATAGGTATCTTATACATGACATTCAGAAATGTGCACACATTATAGTGGTATGCTTCAATACATTTTTCTTGTAGGTCAACACATCTCTGAAGGCAGGACACATTCAAAGAAAGTCCAAAAAGACCAACACCACATGGTCATGGTCTCACTTGTATGCAGAATTTAGGCAAGTTGAGTTTATAAAAGTAGAGAGTAGAATGGTGGTTACCAGAGGCTAAAGAGATAGAGGGCAAACTGAAAAACGGGAGGTTTTTGTGAAAGCATACGAAGTTTCAGTTAGACACAAGGAATGTGTTCTAGTGATCTGTTGCACGGCGTGGTGACTATTGTTAATGTCTATTCCAAAATTGCCAAAAGAGTAGATTTTAAATGTTCTCATCAGAAAGAAATGATAAGTATGTGAGGAGATGTGTATTAAAACATAATGACGGACAAGGTTTTATAATGCCTTATTTTTGCCTTACATATTCCTGAGCATTTTTACTGACCATTTTATTAACAATAATTTTAATTTAATTTTAGACTCACAAGCAGTTTAAAAAATAACTCAGAGAGCCTCTACACATGGCCCAGTTTCCACCCATGGTTACATTTGGCAATTACAGTATAATATCACAATGATGATATTGATTTTGATATATTCACTATCATCTTTTTTTTTTTTTTTTGAGATGGAGTCTCACTCTGTCGCCCAGGCTGGAGTGCAGTGGCGCGATCTCGGCTCACTGCAAGCTCCACCTCCTGGGTTCATGCCATTCTCCTGCCTCAGCCTCCCGAGTAGCTGGGACTACAGGTGCCCGCCACAATGTCCGGCTAATTTTTTGTATTTTTAGTAGAGACGGGGTTTCACCGTGTTAGCCAGGATGGTCTCTATCTCCTGACCTCGTGATCCGCCTGCATCGGCCTCCCAAAGTGCTGAGATTACAGGCATGAGCCACCACACCCGGCCCTCACTATCATCTTAATATTTTCCTAATTTTACTTATACTGATTTGAGGAGAGTCTCTTGCTACAAATGTGTTGGACTTGCTGCTTGTGTCTGTATAGGACAAAGACTATGGAGCCACTGACCCACACCAAGAAGCCAAAACTCAAAAAGTCAGGAGAAAAGTATATAATTGTATATAAGGTGCCAAATATTTCTTGCATTGCCCAGGAGCAGACTCCATAATTGTTTTTCACACTAAGGTTTTTGCTGTTCAGTGGGCTGTTATTAAAACGTCAAGAAACAACAGATGCTGGCAAGGTGGTGGAGAAATAGGAATGCTTTTCCACTGTTGGTGGGAAGGTAAATTAGTTCAACCATTGTGGAAGACAGTGTAGCAATTCCTCAAAGACCTAAAACCAGAAATACCATTTGACCCAGCAATCCCATTACTGTGTATATATCCAAAGGAATATAAATCATTCTATTATTATCATTCTGTTATAAGGATACATGCATGTATATGTTCATTGCAGCACTATTCACAATAGCAAAGAAATGGAATCAACCCAAATGCCCATCAGTGATAAAGAAAATGTGGTACATATACACCATGGAATACTATGCAGCCATAAAAAGAATGAGATCACGTCCTTTGCAGGGATATGGATGGAGCTGGAAGCCATTATCCTCAGAAAACTAACACAGAAACAGAAAACCAAACACCAAATGTTCTCACTTATAAGTGAGAGTTGAGCGATGAGAACACATGGAGACAGGGAGGGGAACAACACACACTGGAATATGTCAAAGGGGTCGGGGGATGGAGCACATCAGGATAAATAGCTAACGCATGCTGAGCTTAATACCTAGGTGACGGGTTGATAGGTGCAGCAAACCACCATGGCACACGTTTACCTATGTAACAAACCTACACATCCGGCACCTGTATCCTGGAACTTTAAAAAATTAAATTAAATTGGCGCGGTGGCTCACGCCTGTAATCCCAGCACTTTGGGAGGCCAAGGTGGGTGGATCACGAGGTCAGGAATTCGAGACCAGCCGGGCCAACATGGTGAAACCCCATCTCTACTAAAAATACAAAAAAAATTTAGCCAGGCGCAGTGGCAGGCGCCTGTAATCCCAGATACTCAGGAGGCTGAGGCAGGTGAATCGCTTGAACGTGGGAGGTGGAGTTTGCAGTGAGCCGAGATAGCGCCACTGCACTCTAGCCTGGGCAACAGAGTGAGACTCTGTCTCAAAAAAAAAAAAAAAAGAAAGCAAAGAAAGAAAAAAAAATTAAATTAAATTAAAAAAAAAAAGGAAAATCTGTCTGAAAATTCTCACCAGTTACCAACACTTCTTTCTGAGGCTAGGAGGAGAAGGAGGTGGTATGTTAAAGTCAATAATCACACTAACTTTATACATACAAGAAGCTTTCAAAATAGTCATAGTAAAAATGGTACTTTATAAGGAGAAGCTGAAAAAATAGGAAACCAAATGCATATTGGAAATAAATTATACAACTAGGACAATGGAGCAAAATAAGAGATTAAAGCAAAGAATCAGGAACTATCTTGAAAATAAATGATGAGTTCATATAAATAGGAAAAACATTTGTCAACAAGTGGTTTGTGGGAATCTAAAAGGTTTTCATACCTCAGAGCCTGAGTTTTTTTTTTTTTTTTTTGAGACCGAGTTTCACTCTTGTTGCTCAGGCTGGAGTGCAATGGCATGATCTCGGCTCACTGCAACCTCCGCCTCTGGGGTTCAAACGATTCTCCTGCCTCAGCCTCCCGAGTAGCTGGGATTACAGGCATGCGCCACCACCTCTGACTAATTTTTGTATTTTTAGTAGAGACGGGGTTTCTCCCTGTTGGTCAGGCTGGTCTCGAACTCCCGACCTCAGCTGATCCACCAGCCTCGGCCTCCCAAACTGCTGGGATTACAGGCGTGAGCCACCTCTCGCCTGAGAATCTTGATACTGCTGTGTTATTGATTGCTCCACCCCTAAAGAGATGTAGTTATTCATGGGAGAAAATACCTCATAATTTTCCCTGATGATAGCAATTCCATAGAGACACCAAAAGAATCTAAATTATGGCCGGGCGAGGTGGCTCATCCCTGTAATCCCAGCACTTTGGGAGGCCGAGGCGGGCGGATCACGAGGTCAGGAGATCGAGACCATCCTGGCTAACACGGTGCAACCCCGTCTCTACTAAACACACACACACACACACACACACACACACACACACTAGCCGGGCGTGGTGGTGGGCGCCTGTAGTCCCAGCTACTCAGGAGGCTGAGGCAGGAGAATGGCGTGAACCCAGGAGGCTTCAGCCTCCCGAGTAGCTGGGACTACAGGCACGCACCACAACACCCAGCTAATTTTTGTATTTTTAGTAGAGACGGGGTTTCACCATGTTGGCCAGGATGGTCTCCATCTCCTGACCTTGTAATCCACCCGCCTCAGCCTCCCAAAGTGCTGAGATTACAAGCGTGAGCCACCGTGCCTGGCCGCAGTTACTATTTCTTTTGTGATTGATATATATGAATATTGTGCAATGAAATTCCCTCCCAATTGAATTATCTTTCCCTAAAAATAAACCCAAGCTTTCTGGAACATATTGAATTTCCTATTTAACAAGTTTTAAGGATATCTTAGGTGTTTCTGGGATTAGTATTTATTTTCAGGATCTTTTGCATTTACTTGTGAGAAATGGCATTGAGATAAAAATGTGTGGGCTCAAGGTGGTCATGGTTATTTCTACGGAGTCAATTCACAATCTCTAGACCTGTCCGGTGGAAAATAACAGAAATATATGTGCTTAAAATAAAATATACCATGATGCAATGTTGATTGTTCCAAAAATTATAGTTTTTAAAAATTCTTCAAGTTAGCATTTGTACTGTGCTGAAGGCCTTGTTACCAATTGTATTGTAGCGTTTTTTTAATTTCTTTTTTTTTTTTTTTTGAGACAGAGTCTCGCTCTGTCGCCCAGGCTGGAGGGCAATGGTTTGATTTCAGCTCACTGCAACCTCTGCCTCCCAGGTTCAAGCGATTCTCCTGCCTCAGCCTCCCGAGTAGCTGGGACTAGCACGCGCCGCCATGCCCGGCTAATTTTTGTATTATTAGTATTTTGTATTATTAGTAGAGACAGGGTTTCACCATGTTGGCCAGGATGGTCTCCATCTTGGCCTCCCGAAGTGCTGGAATTACAGGTGTGAGCCACTGCACCCGGCCTAAAATTTGTTTCAATGCATCAATAACAATGGTGTTTACTAAAATATTAGTGTGGAAAAGGTTTTATGGTGTATTATTTTTGCTTTTCATATCTCCAGGCTACTTAATTGAAGGTTTTATTGAAATAAGTGTAGACTCACAAGCAGTCATAAGAAATAATACAGAAAAAGCCCTGTCCATATTACCCAGGGTTCCGTCATGATTACATTTTGCAAACTATAGTATAATATCACTCTAATGATATTGACTCTTCTGTGTTCTGTTTTTATATATTTCCCTAGTTTTGCTTGTATTTACTTGTTGCATGTGTGTAAGCCCTGAGTTTTATAGGTTTGATTTGTGGATCTGTTGTGCGGTTGAGCCCTCATTCATTCACCTGCTTCTCTGCAGTTGGACACACAAGCAATTGCCTTTGCACGAACAGGGACAATCTTAATTTCTGTTTAAGATGAGAAAATATGGTTGGAGACACATTAAAACTTCTGTCTCCACTGATGACAAGATACTTCTTTCTGCTTTTTTATTCTACTGATTCTTCAGACCTCAATGAAAATCAACATCCCCTAGATTTTGATGAAATGGCTTTTGGAAAAGTAAAATCAGGGATTAGCTTCCTCATTCAGACTGGAGTTGGGATCCTGGGAAATTCCTTTCTCCTTTGTTTTTATAACTTAATTTTGTTCACTGGACACAAGCTGAGACCCACGGACTTGATTCTCAGCCAACTGGCCTTGGCTAACTCCATGGTCCTTTTCTTTAAAGGGATACCTCAGACAATGGCAGCTTTTGGATTGAAATATTTGCTGAATGACACTGGATGTAAGTTTGTCTTTTATTATCACAGGGTGGGCACAAGAGTTTCCCTCAGCACCATCTGCCTTCTCAATGGATTCCAAGCCATTAAGCTCAACCCCAGTATATGCAGGTGGATGGAGATCAAGATTAGATCCCCAAGGTTTATTGACTTCTGTTGTCTCCTCTGCTGGGCCCCCCATGTCTTGATGAATGCATCTGTTCTTCTATTAGTGAATGGCCCACTGAATAGCAAAAACAGTAGTGCAAAAAACAATTATGGATACTGTTCTTACAAAGCATCAAAGAGATTTAGCTCATTACATGCAGTCTTATATTTTTCCCCTGATTTTATGAGTTTGGGCTTCATGGTCTGGGCCAGTGGCTCCATGGTCTTCTTCCTCTACAGACACAAGCAGCAAGTCCAACACAATCACAGCAACAGACTCTCCTGCAGACCTTCCCAGGAAGCCAGAGCCACACACACCATCATGGTCCTGGTGAGCTCCTTTTTTGTTTTCTATTCAGTCCATAGTTTTCTGACAATTTGGACAACTGTAGTTGCAAACCCAGGCCAGTGGATAGTGACCAACTCTGTGTTGGTCGCCTCATGTTTCCCAGCACGCAGCCCTTTTGTCCTCATCATGAGTGATACTCATATCTCTCAGTTCTGTTTTGCCTGCAGGACAAGGAAAACACTCTTTCCTAATCTGGTTGTCATGCCATGAGTCTTTTCTCTTCATGGAATTCAGCTATTTATCATAACTCTTGCTAAGATTTAGGAAATATTAACTACTAGTTATTTGTGATAGCAACATACACATGGCCAGTAATGCTCTTGTCCAGGAAGATCTAATACCAGAGCTAAAAATGAAAGTCATGGATACTGTTACACAAAGAACACTCTATATAACTGTGTTAAGTCCTTCAGACAAGTTCAGGAAATCAAAAAGTTTAAAAAGGGAATTCTTTAGAGATTTAGGGGAGATTTCTCATTTTTGTACTATGAAGAATCATGGAATGTTTTAAAAATATTTTTAAAGCACAGTTTGATTCAGGTGCTTCTTGAACAGCATAAATCCCCTGGAGAGTCCACATGTAAGAAAGACATGTGCAGGCCGGGCACAGTGGCTCACGCCTGTAATCCCACCGTTTTGGGAGGCTGAGGCACTCCCAAATGCCTCAAGTGATCCACTCAAGATGACTTGAGGCCAGGAGTTCGAGACCAGCCTGGCCAACATGGCAAAAACCCTGTCTCAAATACAAAAATTAGCCAACCATGTGGCACACACCTGTAGTCCCAGCTACTCCAGAGGGTGAAGCACGAGAATTACTTACCAGCTTGGGTGACGGAGGGAGACTCAAAATAAAAATAAAAATAACTAAAAGTGGCTGGGCACCGTGGGTCACGCCGGTAACCCCAGCACTTTGAGAGGCTGAGGTGGGCAGATCACTTGAAGTCAGGAGTTCAAGACCAGCCTGGCCAACATGGTGAAACCCCATCTCTATTAAAAATACAAAAATTAGCCAGACATGGTGGCAGGTGCCTGTAATCCCAGCTACTCAGGAGACTGAGGCAGGAGAATCCTTGAACCCAGTAGGCAGAGGTTGCAGTGAGTCGAGATCCCACCACTGCACTCCAGCCTGGGAGACAGGGCAAGACGCCGTCTCAAAAAAAAAAAAAAAAAAGAAAGAAAGAAAGTGCTTCTGCACTCCAGCCTGGACAATAGAGCAAGACTATCTAAAAAAAAAAAAATTAAAAATCAATATCAAAATAAATGAGTATTCTCATAAGCAAGACAAGCCTAAAGAAATGTGAGTACTAACTGTAATGTGGTTACATTTAGAGACACATGAAAAAAAATAAATAAAAGAATAAAAAATAATAAAATAAATGCAATGTGGTATCCTAGGTGGAATTCTGGAACAGAACATGTATTTTGGTAAAAACTGAGGAAATCTCAATCAAAGATGTACTTTAGTTTAATAATGTATCAAAACTGTTTCACTAATTGTAAATAATGCTGTATACTAATATATGACTATATATTAGTAACAACTAGGTGTGCTTGTAAATGAGATATCTCTGTACTATATTTGCAATTTCTCTGTACATCTTAAAATGTTCTAAAATTAAAACTCTATTAAAATAGAAAAATAAGATTTTTTTTTAAAAAAAGGGAAAAGATTTAGAAATTTGGCCAAATATACAGATAACAAATAAGCATATAAAAACTTATTCAGCATCATTAATTATTAGAGAAATGCAAATTTAAAAACCACACTGACCACAACACATCTATGAAAATGGTTAATCTTTAAAATACACCATAACCATCATGGACAAGGAGGTATAACAAATGCAATTCTGCTAAATATATTCATATAAACACTTGTATATGAATGTTCATGGGTCTTTGTTAGTTTTTTAGTCCAACACTAGAAACAATCAAAATATTTATTAATAGATTAATAAATTGTGGTATATTCAATGCAATACTCTTCATCAACAAAAAATGAATACGCTTAACATGTATAAATATCAAAAAATGCTCCATATGAATGTAATGTAGGATTTCATTTGTATAAGATACTAGAAAATTTATAGGCCGGGCATGGTGGCTCACGCCTGTAATCCCAACACTTTGGGAGGCCAAGGCAGGTGGATCACTTGAGGTCAGGCGTTCGAGACCAGCCTGGCCAACATGGAGAAACCCCCGTCTCTACTAAAAATACAAAATTAGCCAGGCGTGGTGGCGCATGCCTGTAATCCTAGCTACTCAGGAGGCTGAGGCAGGAGAATCGCTTGAACCCAGAAGGTGGAGGTTGCGGTGAGCTGAGATCGTGCCATTGCACTCCAGCCTGGGCAACAAGAGTGAAATTCTGAGAAAGAGAAAGAAGAGAAGAGAGGAGAGGAGAGGAGGAGGAGAGGAGGAGAGGAGAGGAGAAGAGAAGGAGGGAGGGAAAGAAACAAAGAAAAAAGAAAAGAAAAAAGGAAAAAGAAAAGAGCAGGAGGGAGGGAGGAAGGAAGGAAGGAAAGATGTATATAGTGACATAAAGTAAACCAGTGGCTACCTGAGCATAAAAATTTGGGTAGGACTGTGAGCGAGAGAGAATAGAAAAGGGTACAAACAAACTATTGAGGCAATGGATATGTTTATTATCATGACTTTGGTGATTGTTTTTATATATTTTACACTTTAACAATGTGCAACTGAATGTCACTAATACCTCAATAAAGCTGTTAGAAAAGAAAAATTCCAAATAAAATCTGGATTTCTCAATCCTCTTTTATAACCTCTGGCAAAGCTGTGTTGATTCCATCATTAGCCTCTCCTCATGTCTTACGTGGGTCAACTCTGATTTTATAGTATCAAAAACTGGAAGCAATGTTGTTGGAAATTCAGAATCTCGGGGAAGAAGAACTGGAGACAAGGAAGGTTATGTCCACCTGAGTCACCAGGAATTATGTTTAGGTTTAAAAAAAAAAAAGACTTATCTCAGAAGTATAGAATCTCCCTTCATTCAGTCATGAGGCTCCTACCTGTGCAGTAGTGGTTTGAATTAACAGGCTTTATGTCTGTGTCTGTCTTCCACTACTATAGCAAAACACCACAGATTGCGTAATTTATAAAGTAGTTTGTTTCATACAGTTCTGGAGGCTGGGAAGTCCAAGGGTATGGCACTGGTATCTGCTTGGCATCTGGTGAGGGCCTTGTTACTCTGTCATAATATGACAGAAGGGCAAGTGAGCATGAAAGACAGAGACAGCTGATTTTATAAAAACGTCACTCTCGGGTTAACAAACCCACTCTTATGATAAAGGCATTGATTCCTTTATAAGGGCAGAGCCATCATGACCTAATCACCTCTTAAAGGTCCCATTTCTCCACACTGTTAAAATGGCAATTAAAATTCAACATACGTTTTATAACGCCAGAGACACAAGAATCCATAACACCTTTGGATTACTTGCTCTGACAATGACTTTGCCTACAGGAGATACACACGTCTGTAGGTCCTCAGAGTTTCTGTATACCCTCATCTCACATAGCCATAGTTACTGAAACATTCATGGATGTCTCTTTACAAGGCGCTCATCCATTCCACTCTAGTTTGCTGGTGTCTCATACTTCATATTAATACAATCACTGTTTCTGTACAGACTATGGTTCCCAAACTGCTTGCTATGGTTTGACCATCTCCTCCAAAAGTCACATTGAAGCTTAATCTACAGTGTGGTAGTACTGAGAGGTGCGACCTTTAAGAGGTGATTGAATCATGAGGGCTCTATCCTCAGGAATGAATTAATCAATTTATGGGTTGATAGACTAATGGGTTATCCTGGGAGAACTGGTGGTTTTATAAGAAGAGAAAGGGCCAGGGGCCGTGGCTCTTGCCTGTAATCCCAGCACTTTGGGGGGCCAAGGCGGGCAGATCACCTGAGGTCAGGAGTTCGAGACCAGCCTGATCAACATGGGAGAAACCCTGCTCTACTAAAAATAAAAACTTAGCGGGGTGTGGTGGCACATGCCTGTAATCCCAGCTACTCAAGAGGCTGAGACAGAAGAATTGCTTGAACCCGGGAGGCAGAGGTTGCGGTGAGCCAACCCAGGAAGCGGAGGTGCAGTGAGCCAAGATCGCGCCATTGCACTCCAGCCTGGGCGATAAGAGCGAAACTCCGTCTCAAAAAAAAAAAAAAAAAAGAGAGAGAATGATTTGCGCTAGCACGTTAACATGTGAGCACACTCAGCAGCCTCACCATGTGATGCCCTGTACCACCTTGGGACTTTTTGCACAGTCTACCAGCAAGAAGGCTCTTACCAAATGCGGCCACTCAACCTTGGACCTTTCAACCTCCATAACTGTAAGAAATAGATTTTTCTTTATAAATAACCCAGTTTCAGGTATTATTTTATAAGCAATGGACAACAAACTAATGCACTCTTACATTTTACATCCAGGAACATAACCTACATCATTTTTGGGTTCAAGACACATAGCTCATAAGGCACATCACAGGAGCAAGCTATCCCTAAACAATACTGGAGAATATGGGACATGCATGGGTACAAATACCCAGCTCTCACAGCTGCCATAAATCCTGACAGTTGTCAAACCAATTGTCCTGGCTGCAAGCTGACTGTGCAACCATAAATAATCTTCAAATTCAGGGTAAAGGATTTTGGATAGAAATCCTTCTTTTTCCCAGGAACCTTCTGAAGCAATATACATCAGGCGTTTGTGGATTGAGTTGTTTTTTTTTTTTTTTTTTTGGTTTTTTTGTTTTTGCTATTTCCTTGGAAGTACATAAAATTGAAAACCTCACAAAACCACTCACTTTTTCATTTTGGCAGACTCCAATTTTGCTCTCAACCCACAGCACACAGAGAATAAAACTGCAATGAGTAAATGTAGCTTAAACAATGACTTTATCATCACTAAAACCAGTATAGTCACGTGGAAATTGACTGGGTTTGGGCAGCTTGGAAGGTGAAAAATCTATCACCAACATTATAAGACAAGCAATAATACCCATGAAGAAAGGAAAATCTTTACAAGCTGCCAGCTCAAGCCAGCCTGTATCCTCTGTCCAAAGTTGGATGATGTCTGCACCCAAACCAGCCATGGAAGTGGGAATGAGGCCTCGCCCGAAGGGATCAGACTCAATAACTCCAGATAAAGGTAGAGAGCACAGCTATCTGCCCTCCCTAAGCATTTTAAGGTGATACACACTGTGATATCAGCTAATAGTGGATGGAAGTCTTTTGTAGTACACACTTTCAGTGACTTAACACTGGCAAGGATCCCAGGCAGGTCAGAAAGTGCAAGGTAATTCACAAAAGCTTCTCATATAGCAGACAATTACAACAAACCTCCCTTGTGTGGATGTTTGGATGTAAGATTCCATTTCTGGTTGAGGTCTCCCTCACAAAAGCTAATATCCACAGCTTTACTATTTTATCTGCTGGCAAAAGCACTTTGCCTGCCTGCATTCCTAAGGTCTTTCTCCAAGATGGTTTACTGGTGCTGAATGAGGTTAATGGCTGAAGACTTTCCAACATTCGCTGCACTCATGATACCCTTCTGGGTATGTAGTTTTAAGATTTAGAAGTTTTCTTGATGTCAGGACATGACATGACAGATAGATGAAAGGTGGAGCATGTTGTAACTTACAACTCAGAACCAGAGGACATGATTCAGGGCTGCACCGGAGTTGTGAAGGAATATAGATAGTAATACAGCAAACTGGAGTTGTAGGAGGCAGCTTGTGTGTGGCAAGTGGATTCGGGTTAGCTAGATTTTCTGGGCTTTCTATACTTGGCCAATTTGAGTAATTTTACACATTTCAGGGCATAGGAGTTGTCCCCAGATGTCTGATACCTGCTCCTGGGGTGACTGGGGCTGATATATATTGACCCAGAGTTTGACAGCCTGTTAAGGAAAGTGGTTGGAAGTGTACTTAATCAGCTGTTCCAAATGTAGCACTGTCAAGCCTCTAGCAAGGGCCTCAACAGTGGACAGAAACATTATTCTTTTAAAAGAATTATGTATCAAAACACCTTGGTACTAGCACAAATGCATACATATAGTGGAATAAAGAGGCCAGACGGAAGTCCTCATACTTATGCTCAGATTTTTGACAAGAGCGCAAAAACTTATTAAGGAGTCTTTTCAACAAATGACTTTCAAAAAGCTGGATATCTATATGCAAAAGAATGAAGTTGAACTCTTACCTTCCTCCATTTACTAAAACAAACTGAAATAAATCAGACATAAAAGTACAACTTAAAACTATAAAACTCCTAGAAAATAACATGAAAAAAGGTTCATGACACTGGATTTAGCAATAATTTCTTGGGTATAATACCAAAAGCATAGGAAACAAACATAACATATATTGGACTCCATTGAAATTTGAAAACTCCTGTGCAAAAAAAAAAAAAAAAGACATGAACAGAATGAAAAGGAAGCAGACTGAATGGTAGACAGTATTTGAAAAACACATATCTGCAAGGGGTTAATATTTAAAATACGTATACAGAATATGTACATATATAATACGTACATGTTAACCACTCAACAAAGTATATATACTTCACATCATGTTGTACACAACAAAAGCATACAATGTTATCTGAAAATTTACAAAAACTTTCTTCAATGGGCAAAGACATTTAACAGATATTTCTCCAAAGAACCTATACAATTAGTCAACAAGCAAATGAAAAGATGCTCAACACCAATACTGAAATGCAAATTAAAAAACCATAATAAAATAACATCTTACACCCATCATGATTAAAAAACAAAGTGTTGGCAATAATGTGAAAAACTAGAACCCCTGCACTGGTGAGAATGTAAAATGGTGCAGCTGCTATGGAAAATAATTCCCCCCACAATTTAAAATAGAATTAACGGGAAGTGGCCAGGCGTGGTGGCTCACGCCTGTAATCCCAGCACTTTGGGAGGCTGAGGCGGATGGATCACAAAGTCAGGAAGATCAAGACCATCCTGGCTAACACGGTGAAACCCCGTCTCTACTAAAAATACAAAAAATTAGCCGGGCGTGGTGGCGGGCACCTGTAGTCCCAGCTACTTGGGAGGCTGAGGCAGGAGAATGGCGTGAACCCGGGAGGCGGAGCTTGCAGTGAGCCGAGATTGTGCCACTGAACTCCAGCCTGGGTGACAGAGCAAGACTCCGTCTCAAAATAATAATAATAATTATTATTATTATAATTATTATTATTAACGGGAAGCACCATTTCCACTTCTGGGTATATGTCCAAGAAGAATTTAAAGCAGGGCCTCAGGAGGTATTTGTATATTCATGCTCATAGTGGCATTAACAAGAACAGAAGAGTGGAAGCAACCCAAATGTACACTGAAGAAAGAATACAGGAAAAGTGGCATATACATATACCACAGTCATATGCCACACATTTCTGTCTACCATGGACCACATGTATAACAGTAATCCCGTATTATAACAGAGCTAAACAACTCCTATCACCTAGTGCCACCACAGCCACTGTAACTCAATCCCATTACTCAAGTGTGTGTGGTGACACTGGTGTAAACAAACCTACTGGTCTGCCAGTCATATAAAGAGCACAGGCCGGGCGCTGTGGCTCATGCCTGTAATCCCAGCACTTTGGGAGGCCGAGATGGGCGGATCATGAGGTCAGGAGTTGGAGACCAGCCTGGCCAACATAGTGAAACCCCATCTCTACTAAAAATACAAAAAATTAGCCGGGCATGCTGGTGGGCACCTGTAATCCTAGCTACTCGGGAGGCTGAGGCAGGAGAATCGCTTGTACCCGGGAGGCGGAGGTTGCAGTGAGCCAAGATCACACCACTACACACCAGCCCAGGCAACAGTGCAAGACTCTGTCTCAAAAAAAAAATAAAGCCAGGCGCGGTGGCTCATGCCTGTCATCCCAGCACTCTGGGAGGCTGAGGCGGGCGAATCATGAGGTCAGGAGTTCGAGACCAGCCTGGCCAACATAGTGAAACGCCATCTCTACTAAAAATACAAAAAATTAGCTGAGCGTGGTGGCAGGCACCTGTAATCCTAGCTACTCGGGAGGCTGAAGCAGGAGAATCACTTGAACCCAGGAGGCAGAGGTTGCAGTGAGCCGAGATTGTGCCACTGCACTCCAGCCTGGCAACAGTGCGAGACTCTGTCTCAAAAAAAAAAAAAAAAAAAAAGTGTGAGGCAAGGCTTCAGAAAATATTCCAGAATATTGTTATCATAGGAGATAACAACTCCCTGTTATTGAGCCTGAAAACCTTCTAGTGGGACAAGATGTGGAGGCAAAAGACAGTGATATTAATGATCCTCACCCTCTGTAGGCCTTGACTAATGTGTGTGTCTGTGTCTTCATTTTTAACTTATTTTTTACGAAGTTAAAAAATTAAATAGAAAAAGTTTATAGAATATAAAGGAGTACTTCTATACAGGCTGTATAATGTGTTTGTGTTTTAAGCTATTATTACAAAAGAGTCAAAAAGCTTTTTAAAATTTTAAAAGTTCATGAAGTAAAAACGTTACAGTAGACTAAGGTTAATTTATTACTAAAGAAAAAATTAATTTAGAGTAGCCTAAGTGTACAATGTTTATAACATCTACAATAGGGTACAGTAATGTCCTAGAGCTTCACATTCACTCACAACTCACTCCCTGACTCAACCAGAGGGGTCCCGCAAGCTTCGTTCATGTTAGTGCCCTATAAAGTTTTTACCATTTTTCATACATTTTTACAGTACCTTTTGGAAACTTAGATATGTTTAGATACACATTTACTTATCATTGTGTTTCAATTACCTACAATATTCAATACTGTAACATGCTGTTAAGGTTTATATCTGAGGCGCAATGGACCATATCATATAGCCTAGGTGCGTAATAGGCTGTGCCCTTCAGGTTTGTGTAAGTACACTCTTTGTTCACACAATGACAAAATCACCTTAAGATGATTACTCAGAACACAGTCCTCTTGTTAGGCGACACATGACTACAATGGGATTTTATTCGGCCTTTAAAAAAGATGAAAATCATAAGCTATGCTACAACATGGATAAACCTTGAAGACATTTAGGGAAATAAGCCTCAAAATAAGTCACAAAAGACTAAAACTTAAGTTTCCTCATATGAGATATTTATAGTAAAATTCATACAGTAGTATTGTCAGGGGCTGGTTGGCGTAGGGAATGAGGAAGAGGAGTAGTTTAAAGCAGCGGTCCCCAACCTCTTTGGCACCAGGGACTGGTTTCATGGAAGCCAATTTTTCCACGCATCAGGGACAGAGGAGGGGGCAGACAGTTTCAGAATAAAACTGTCCCACCTCAGATCATCAGGTATTAGTTAGATTCTCATAAGGAGCACACAACCTAGATCCCTCACAGGCACAGTTCACAATAGGGCTCAGGCTGCTATGAGAATCTAATGCTGCTCATCTGACAGGAGGTGAAGCTCAGGTAGTGATGCTGGCCCGGTTCCTAACAGGCCACAGACTGGTACCAGTTTGCAGCCTGGGGGTTGTGGACCCCTGGTTTAAAGGGTATAATGTTTTAGTTTCATTAAGTTGAAAAAACTTCTGGATATTAATTGACAACAATGCGAATGACTTAACACTACTGAACAGTACAGTTAAATATGGGTTAAGATGGTAGATTTTAAGTTACCTGTAATTTGCCACAATTATAATTTTTTTCTTTTTGAGACAGAGTCTCGCCCTGTCACCCAGGCTGGAGTGCAATGGAACAATCTCAGTTCACTGCAACCTCCGCCTCCCAGGTTCAAGTGATGCTCCCTGCCTCAGTCCCCTGAATAGCTGGGATTACAGGCACCTGCCACCATGCCCAGCTAATTTTTGTATTTTTAGTAGAGATGGGGCTTCACCATGTTGGCCCGGCTGGTCTCAAACTCCTGACCTCAGGTGATCCACCCACCTCTGCCTCCCAAAGTGCTGGGATTACAGGCGTGAGCCACCACGCCTGGACATAAATGTTTTTAATGTAGTTCCCAGCAGGAAATCCTCGCAGATTTCCATCTGAACTCTTTCAACATTAGATTTACATATATTAATAGGTTCTTGGTCCGATGTGAACCTTTTGGTGCTGAATGAGGTGACAGTTTTGGTGACTTTCCTGCATTCACTCCACTAAGGCCTTTTTCCAGTATGAATTATCTGATGTTTAATGAGGCTGGAGTTGTATTTAAACACTTTGCTGGATTCACCACACTCATAAGACCTTTCTCCAGTGTGAGTTTTTTGGCGCTGACCAGTATTACATTTGTTGAAGTCTTTCCCACATTCCCTTAACTTAAAAGGACTTTCTCCAGTGTGAGACTGCTGATGTATAATAAGGCTCGATTTAGTCCTAAACAATTCCCTACATTTACTGCACTCATGAGGCTTCTCCCCAGTGCAAACTTTATGATGTTTAATGAATGTAGAGCGGTATCTAAGAAACTTCCCACAGTTGCTGCATTCATAAGGCTTTTCTCCAGTATGAACTCTCTGATGAATAATGAGTTTGTAGCTATCTCTAAAAAATTTCCCACATTCACTACACTCATAAGGTCTTTCTCCAGTGTGAACTTTCTGATGTCTACTCAGTGTACAGCGATATCTAAAGAATTTCCCACATTTGCTGCATTTATAAGGCTTTTCTCCAGTGTGAATTCTCTGATGAATAACAAGTTTGTAGCTGTCCAAAAAGAATTTCCCACATTCATTGCATTCATAACGCCGTTCTCCAGTCTGGATTTTCTGGTGACCATCTAGATGAGCCTGTGTAAGGAAGGCCTTCCCACATTCACTACACACATAAGGCCTTGGCCTGAGGTCAATCCTCTTGTGTTGAATGAGGTCAGACCTTTTTGAAAATGCATCAGTGTGGATTTTCTCATGCTGAACTAGGTGGGACTTTCTAACAAAGGCCTTCGCACATTGAGTGCATTCATAAGGCCGTTCTCCAGTATGGATTTTCTGGTGACCAACCAGATGAGCCTGTGTAAGGAAGGCCTTCCCACATTCACTGCATGTATAAGGCCTTGGCCTAATGTCAATCCTCTTGTGTTGAATGAGGTCAGACCTTTTTGAAAATGCATCAGTGTGGATTTTCTGGTGCTGAACTAGGTGGGACTTTCTAACAAAGGCCTTCTCACATTCAGTGCACTCATAAGGCCGTTCTCCAGTATGAATTTTCAGATGCTGAACAACATTATGTTTGAGGCTAAAGGCTTTCCCACATTCGCTACACTTATAAAGCCTTTTGCCAGCATGAACTCTCTGGTGCATATTGAGTGTGGAGCGGTGACTAAAGAATTTTCCACATATGCTGCATTCAAAAGGCCTTTCTCCAGTATGAACTCTCTGATGTCTACCGAGTGTGAAGCTGTCCATAAACAATTTCCCACATTCACTGCACTCGTAACGCCTCTCCCCAGTGTGAACTTTCTGATGTCTGATGAGTTTGGAGTTATACATAAAAAACTTCCCACACTTGTTGCATTCATAGGGCTGTTCTCCAGTATGGGTTTTCTGGTGACCAACCAGATGAGCCTGTGTAAGAAAGGCCTTCCCACACTGGGTGCATTCATAAGGTGTTGGTCTACTGAGAATCTCCTGATGTTCAATGGGGTCAGACCTTTTTGAAAGAAAGCCTTCACTGTGAATTTTCTGGTGCTGAACTAGGTTGGACTTTCTAATAAAGGTCTTTCCATATTCAGTGCCCTCATAAGGCCTTTCTCCAGCATGATTTTGCTGATATTTAATAAGGTTGGAGTTGTACCTAAACAATTCCCCACATTCACTGAACTCATAAGGCCTCTCCCCATTATGGGTTTTTTGGTGCTCAAACAGCCCATGTTGGTGGCAAAAGTCTTTCCCACCTTGGCTGGAGTTGAAATCATTCTGTTCACCTTGAAAGGCTTCCCCATCCTGGGTATCCCTGTACAGCTTCCACCCACTGTTTAAGACCTGTTGCTGGAGAAGGTCTGAGCTGGCAGTAAAATCCTTGCCACCCTGCGTGCATGTGAAGTTCCTCTCTCCCACGTGAGCACTGTGGTTCACAAATGAAGGCCTCCACTCATCACTTCTGGTGAGCTTCTCTCTAATCTGCTCCTTTTGGTGCAGGTCATGCTCTGCTGCACATGTGTACAGCCCTTGCTCAGGGTGTGTTCCATCGTGCTCAGCCAGGTGCAGAATGTCCTTCAGAATTGAGCTACACATCTTGCAGGGCTGGGCCTTCAGGGTGGACAAAGCTGGCTTTGGAATTGTGACCTGTAACACTCTTACAGAAACACACTGCTTGGAAGGTACCTCCTCATCCTTGGCTCCATGCCAACAACCTGTAAGAACAGAAATGCTGGTGAAGTGCACGTGAACTCCGGAGGGAGGAGACAGCCCCATCACAAATGTCTGTGAGACACACCCACAAATGAGGGCACAGGACTGGTCACAGGCAAGGAAATAAGGCCAGTGAGAGGAAGGCCCAGTGTTCAGAGGTGGGCCTGTGAAGTGTGTGTAGTGGGGGAATCCTGGTGGTAAGGACACAAGGGAGAAGTACCATGCAGGGAGGGCAGGTGGGGTCTCCAACTCACTCCTCTATAAATGGCTTTCAACAGGCCATGACGGTTGTGTCCAGATCCAGAGAGATCTGATTGTGTGAGAGCGAGTATTCATGGACTACTGAAGGATACACGCAGACCTCATAACACCTAAAGTACAGGTCATACATTAGACAGCACTGCAAAGGGAGAGGTGGAAGAGAATGGTGGAGAGATGAAGGCTGGAGAGGAGGGGTCAGAGGTGGAAGCCAGGGGTCAGAAGTCAGAGTAAAAATAACAACAGGGAAGGAAAGGAAGAGTGACGAGTGGCCAGTGGCCCTGCATCAAACAATAGTGGTCACAAGGTAAGTTCTCAATGTGATTTGAACCCAGCCTTGATATCACATCCTTTCCCAGCTTTCACCCACCAGGGCCAAGTCCTTCTGAGTGTCTCTTGCCATTAATAGAGGACTATCCACTCTGCCAGGCACCCAGAGACCTCCCCCTTGCTCAAGGTGAGCAACTATCTAGCTGCGGCATAAGTCCAGCTACGGGAAAGGCAGGGAAAGGGAGGGGACAGCATGTACACAGAGCAATAAACCCAGGACATGCTGCATTCTAAAGCTACCAGAACACCCAGTAGAGCGTCCTGCAGAAATAACTTCACAATCCTCACAAGTGGTGACCAGGGAGGTGCCTGAAATTCCTAGCACAGACACTGTCTCCAAGTATGTCAGCAAGGGGAACAGGGAAACCCTTGGACAGAGGTTTCACACATTTGGACAGAGTAATCAAACCAGGGACAGGCACCGCCATTAGGATATCTTAAAGAAACCTGAAGATTTCTGACTTCCGAGCCTTATCTTGTAAAGTTTCAGAGCAACAGAAGCTGGGGCTGCTTAAGGGGAGGTGGTACAGTATACACAGCCCAGCTCTGGCTGCCTTATCACATTTGCCAGGAAACCAGGAGAGGACAGGACGTAGCACTCACAATCTGGTGTGGGAAAGACAGAGTTGTCATGGAAAAGAGCAAAAAAACAGCACCCAGCACAAGACACCAGAGTAGGTATGAAGGCCTTACCTACTGATGACAAAAGCGCAAAGTTCTCCAACATCACATTGCTGTGCAGGTGTCTCTGAGCATCATTAAGGATCCCCCATTCCTCTTGGGAGAAATATATGGCCACATCCTCAAAGACCATACAATCCTGCCAAAATTATGACACTTCAGTCTATGAACAACTTCTTATTCTGTGTTTCCTTAGATCTGTATTTATCTACTTAAAATCTAAGAATTGGAGGGCCAAACTAACAGCCAATGTTTTTACATTTCCCTTGCGATCCAGATCCCATATGCTGAACCACTATCTAATGCTCATACATGATTATTTCTCCTGTCCTAATCAACACAAGCCCTGTCACCACACAATAAGGGATAATCTCTTAGCCCTAAGGCTGCCAGACTTATGCAAACCACTGAGTTTTAAGCTCCTCATCCCACCCTGCATGCCTTTCCTGCCAAAACCCCAATACAGTCTCTGATATATGCTTTCCCTTCAGTCATGCCTCTGCCTCCTAACCAAATCTAGTATTTCCCGTGGCCTGGTGCAGCACGGCATTCCCCCTGCACTAAGGAAATGAAAGTAATTAAAATTATTTCAATGCCATTAGCCTCTCTGTCATCACTCACTCTTTTCCAAAAATGAAAATCCAGCGGGTCAATCACTGATACACTTCCCTCTCCAGAATCTTCAGTGCTTCCCCAGTACCCACACACATCCATCCCCTGCTTAGCCTCCACCCACTTCCCAAGGAGGAAGAGACTCCACATCCTGGTAGCATTCGCACTTCTCTCGCCCCCACTGCTACTGATTGCTGAGTCCAGCACAGCACAAAGATGGGTGGGGAGAAAGCAAAAGCATCATCAATGCCTAGCCCAGGGCGCCCTACCCTCTTTTTTTTTTTTTTTTTTTTTTTGAGACAAGAGTCTTGCTCTGTCACCCAGGCTGGAGTGCAGTGGCTCACTGCAACTTCTGCCTCCCAGGTTCAAGCAATTCTCCTGCCTCAGCCTCCTGAGTAGCTGGGATTACAGGCACCTGCCACCACTCCCGGCTAATTTTTGTATTTTTAGTAGAGACGGGGTTTCCCCATGTTGGGCAGGCGGGTCTCGAACTCCTGACCTCGTGATCCACCTGCCTTGGTCTCCCAAAGTGCTGGGATTACAGACATGAGCCACTGCGCCCGGCCGGCCCTACCTTCTTTTGTCACCCCATTTCCTTGGGGTCTCCAGATCTTGCCTCCCAGACACCCAAACTCAGGCTCACTCTTCTCCCTTACGTGCCCATTGCCAGGGCTGGGACCACGCATTCATGCTCCTCCTCACCTTCGCATCTCGCTTTGGACAGTACCTCTCTCATGTATCTAATGCCTCCACTCTTGCAATACTAACAGCAGCCCTGGCCCAACCAGGAGCATTTCCATGGCCTCCCAAGATGCCACTCTGTACATGGAGTCCTGCAGTGCACCAGAACCCTATTTGCTCCTGGGCTGCCCAGAATATAATGTTCCCTAGCGCCTGGGGCAGCACCGAGCCCTGTTCTGAAGGTCTCCCTTCCCAGTCCTGTTTTCTGGTTTAACCTCAGCCCCCCCAAAACCCAAGTGACAACCTCACAGTTCTTGCATACCTCCTCTGAGTTCCAGATCTTGGCTGTCTCCCCCTTTTGCAATGTACATGTTTTCCCATAAGCAGTCACAACATTCTCTATCCCCCTAATCCTAATCCAAAGCCCAGATACACTGACCTCCCCAATGCTATCCCCACCCCAGGCCTAGCAATGCTCCTTGCTGATCCCATCTTCCCCTAAAGTAGTCTCACAGTTTGCATGAAACTACCCAGGTCCAAGCAAGACTCACCATGAAACCCTGGTGAGTTTGTGGAGATGCCTCACCATCCATCTCATGGCCACTCTCCCCTCAAAAGCCCTTCCTTATACTCCACAGGCTGCCCCCAACATAACACACAAACATACACACACATACCCTCAGTCGATCCACTCTCTCATCTGTCTTTGTGACACCCACCAACACCATCCAGGTGCCCAGTGGAGACACCCAGTCCTCAGTCTGTTCCTTCTCCTTCCTTCCTACTAACACCATTGCTTCCTAAATCTGACCCAGTTTCACAACAGTTCAGCTATCATGTAGTGGATGTCTCCTTCCTGAACACCTCCAATGAACTCCATTCCTGTGTGTACAACTGCCAGCCTGGCACCTCCACTCAAAGTCTCTGAAACATTTTTTGTGTATTTTTGTTTTTGTTTTGGCTTGGATTTTTGTTTTTGTTTGTCTTACTCTGTTGCCCAGGCTGGAGTGCAGGGGCACAATCATGGCTCACTGCAGCCTTTACTTCCCAGGCTCAGGTGACCCTCCTGCCTCAGCACGCCGATTAGCTGAGACCACAGAGAGACGCCACCACACCCAGCTATTTATTATTATTTGTAGGGACAGAGTCTCCCTATGTTGCCCAGGCTGGCCTCAAGCAATCTTCCCACCTCTGCCTCCCAAAGTGCTGGGATTACAGGTGTGATCCACCATGCCTGGCCACTGGAACATTTTTGACTTGGCCAAAACTTGGTTCCTCATATGCTCTACTATATAAACACTCCCCCTACTACAGAACTTACTACATCTTAGTTGCTGGGACATCCATCCTTCCAAATAAGGCCAAAACTGTGGGGCCATTCCTGACCCCCTCTTCCATCTCAGCTCCCAAGCTTCCTTGCTCTCTACGTTATAAAATACAGGCAGCTCTAGATCAAACACATACAGAAGCCCCCCACTCCTCCCACTTCCACCACCGCCACTCTCGTTCAGTCACCAACAACCTCCACCTGGGCTGTTGCTGGACCCATCACCCAGGTATCGGTGGCTCCACCCTCACCTGCACGTGGTCTTCCATTCTGCAGGCAGAGGGAGCCACTAAAACCTGGGTCAGGTCACCTCTTTTTCCCCCCTCCTCAAACCTTCCCTAGTTACCATCGCCCTCAGATGAAAGGCCCAGAACCTTAGACTGCCATTCCATGCCGATCCCGCATGCCCTGTATGCCCCAACCTCCTACCCTGCTGCCATACTCTATCACGACCAGATACAACATGGATTTTCAGTTCACTAAACATCCCAGCTAAGTCGCACCAGTAAGCATTTGAACTTTCTATATCCCGTGCCTGAACGCCCTGCCACATCTTATCCCATCAGTTGTCGGAACTAGGACCACTCTATAACCAGAGGCTGAGTTCTGACTCCTGGTTGTCGTGGAACCACAGTCTTCAGACCCAAGGAAGGGAAAAACATGAAGTTTCAGGACACCACCTTTCCCTATATCAGGATGCCTAAAATAACGGAGAGATAAGTGGTGGGGGCCTGGGGTAGAGAGCCTGAGAAATCCTTGACTTACCTGTGCAGGGTCCTTATGCATTGCTGCCACTGCAATGGACCCTGTGGGAAGATGTGGCAGACTTGTACAGTTACTACTTGAGACCATCACTACGACAGTTACTGTTACTACTTGAGACCATCATTACGAGACTGAATGAAGGGGGACGAACGTAGAAATGAAAACTTAAGACGAAAGAAACTGTTTTAAAGAAGGCGAACTGGGGAAGAAGAGAGCTCCCTGCTTCTAGTGAGCAAAGGCAGCCCCTGAGCTTCCACAGCCCTCCACATTTATTGGGTAGGATGAAAGGGAGGAGGAGGTAACGACTGGTCAGCTGCTTAATTGATCACAAGTTCACATTATTGTTAACAGGCTTCAATTATGCCTAATCACAAGAAACACTTGTGCCTGGGTCGTGACTGCCTTCAGCATTCCTTCTGGGTGGCAGACGCAGTTTGTCAGTTTGCCAACATCCTGCTTTCATGAGAAACAGTTTGCTGTTTACTCATATAGCCTCCAGTGGCATACTGAGTTGATCACGACCCTCATTCTTTCGGCCTGTAACAGGAAGAAGCAAGCCATGAGTATCAGGACAGTACTGTGGCATCCTACAGGCTGAGCTGTACAACCATCTCTGCCCTGTACTGGAGCAAAGTAATCTGAAGCTACAGCAAGTCCTAAGTTCAGTGCTGCCTCTTAGCAGCTCTGTGTCTTTGGACAAGGACTGAACCTCCCTAAGCCTCAGTGCCCTTATGTGTAAAATGGAGATTAAAAGGGTTCCCACTTCACAGGGCTCATATTGACAAGAAGCATAAGTAGTACACACTATGTATAAGCATTACTTTCTATAGGATTAATGGTTTTGTACATGTTTTCAGCACAAAGTAGAAGGGTTTTGAAAATTTGAGTATTTTTCCCTTTTTTTTTTTTTTTTTTGAGACAGTGTCTCGCCCTGTTGCCCAGGCTGCAGTGCAATGGCACAATCTCAGCTCACTGGAACCTCCACCTCCCGGGTTCAAACGATTCTCCTGCCTCAGCCTCCTAAGTAGCTGGGATTACAGGCGCCCGCCACCACGCCCAGGTAATTTTTGTATTTTTAGTAGAGACAGAGTTTCACCATGTTGGCCAGGCTGGTCTCAAACTCCTGACCTCGTGATCCGCCCACCTTCGCTTCCCAAAGTGCTGGGATTACAGGCATGAGCCACTGTGCCCAGCCCACACTTCTTAATGTTTTAAGGAAATGTGATATATATATAAAGCTTTGTACTATAAGCAGAGTTACAGGTAAATTAACATTCTAACAATAAATATTTTAATACATTTAAATTATTGATTACATCTATTTCCAATTGCCTATGTGTACATATTTAGAAGGATATTGGCTGAGGAAAAAAAAAAATAGCCCAGACCTGTCTGACCTACACAAAATGTATCAGGCTCAGAGAGGCAAGAATATATGAGATGTCAGTCACATCCCTGAACCTATGCCTGAGGACAACTGTTTTAAGACATTCTGTTCCTGACTAGCTGTCTCACCTATTATCTTCATGTTTCTGTAATCTATAATATAAATAAGAATGTATAGCCAATAAAAACTTATCTTATTTTAACATAAGTTATTGGTAAACAACTCAGAAACTGCTTCTTTTTTCCTTAAAAAAAAAGCAAACACTTGTCACTGTGGTAATTGAAGTGTATATTCAGGACAACTTGAATCTATGGTCCCAGATGGCTATCATCAACATGTGAACTTGAATAAACTCTCTTTAAACTAGATTCTGACTTGCTTGGTTATTTAAGATTGATATAGTTCCTTACTGTTTAAGTCAATTACCTGTTTTTACATCCCTAAGTTAATGAGTTGTAGGATGGGGCTGAGCAGTCAATCAGTTACTGGTCCGTTCAGCAAACAGGTCAGCCTGCCATATAATGCAGTAAAGGGAGCTTGCTGGAGGCCCTTAACTGTGGTGGAGGATGTGAGAAAGCCCTGCCCAGTTTTGGACCCAGTTGCTGCATGGCCTTATCTTGTTCCCTAAAGAGTGGCCCTCAGGGCCAGCTGAGTTAGAAGGGTGGAGTGACTACAATTATCTCATGCCTCAGTCTCTGTATTCCAGGGCAACTCCTTATCCATCCAGGCCTCTTTTTCAACAGAAACAGACCAGACTCTTAGCCCATATCTGCTCCCTTCTGCAGGGAGTATCAGAGATGCCCTCCCTACCATGGTCTTTCCTCCAAATCTGAGCCCTCCCCTACCTCAGCCCATATGAAAAAACGATGTAGGATTCTTCCTTCTCAATCTGATCCACAGGCCAACTTCTCAAGTGCACAACTTCTAACTCATTTAAAGCTCCAGGCCAGCTACCTTCCCTCACCTTTGGAAATTACGTCCACCTACCCATGTGATGTCGCCCAAAATCCAACCCAGGATCTTCTGTCTGAAACCCGCTCCTTAAGCTGATATCTCTAATTCCATTCTTTCAGATTTTTCAGGCCAAAACAAAACCTATGGAAGACACCATTCACTACCGACTTTCCCTCACAGCTATGTTTGATGCAGCAGGAAATCCTGTTGACCCTATCTCTGAGATCCATCCAGAGTCTCATCACATCTCCCCTCTACTGCAACCCCTCTGGCCCAGCCCTACCATAACTCAAGGGGTCTCCTCAGCGGTCCCCCTGCCCCCGTTCAACATCCTGTTTTCCCCAACTTTAAACTTCTAACTCTGGGCGTGACCCTCCCATTCGTCCTCCCTGCACAGCCCTCTATGGCTCTCTGCGGCTCCACTGCCCTTCCAGGGGAGACTCCGCCTCAACCTCTGCTCCTTGGAGACAAAGACGCTCGGGCTCCCCAGTGCCGCCCGTTCTGCAGTGCCTCCAAGCCCCAGAGACGTGTCGGTCTCCGACGGGAGCTCCCCCGCCTCATCGCACCGCAGTCCCAGTCCCGGGCACCCCACACAAGAACGCCCCTCTCTTAGAGACACAAGGGCCTAACCTGCAGGGCGGCTCCTTGGGACTTCAGCACTGGGAGGAGGGGTTGGGCGGGGCGGCCTGGGACGCTGCACGCACCTCGGTCAGGTTCATCGGCGCGGCCTCCTCCAGTCCACCCAGGGAAGAGCGGGGCGGGAACGGCGGTCACCTGGACGCTGACGGAGGCAGGGGCGCCTGCAGCCGACTCAGCCGATCCGCACTCTAGCCTCTGTGTAGAAGGAACACCGCTTCTCGCGTTTTTCCGCTCTTTCACCTCAGTCCCGACCCAGAGCTCTGGGACCCTCTAAATCAGTGAACAGATCCCTAGGTAGCCATGCTAACGCAACCATGAGGGCGCCGCCAGAAGTCCCGCCCACACAATTGAGACCTCATTAGTCGTCTCTCTGCTAGACCAATGGCTACACTCGCTGCCCTGCCCCCGCAGTGTCTTCTGGGTAATGTAGTTCTCACGTTGCTGCCTGTGTCGCCCGCAGTGTCTTCTGGGTAATGTAGTTCCCACGCTGCTGCCTGCCTCGCCTCACAATGCTGGGCGCGCGGACCTTACGGAAAAAAGCTGGAGGCTCCTGGAGGAGCGTTAAGAAATGCAGTTCCGGGGCTCTTAAGGACGTGGAGGGGCTTTGCTGACTCCTAAACTGCAAGTAACCAGATTTTCCCGGAGAGCAGTCTAGGACAAGTCTGAGAAATATTTCAGAGACCTGTCGTTTCAGATTCTCTGAAGCACAGCAAGTCCCGAAAGGAAGAACATCAGAAGCGACATGGCTGACCATAATGAACTGGTCCTCCATTCATAGCGGTCAGCTCTTTTGTGCTTGTCAAGTACACACATACTGAGGCTCTGGAGACTTTTTTTTGATCGTTAGTGTGCTTCTGTTGGGACAAGAAAGAAAAGACCCACACAGGATGTGATGGAGAGTTGAAGGAGGAATATCTTTCTGTCGACGAAAAGGGTGGAACTTTGTGAAATAGTTGAAGAGATTTATTCTGAGACAAATATGAGTGACTAATGGCCCATGACACGGCTCCAAGATATCCTAAGAACATATGCCCAGGGTGGCCCATCTACAGCTTGGTTTTAACAATTTAGGAAGACGTAAGACATCAATCAATACATGTAAAATGTACATTGGATTCCTCTGGAAAGGCGCAACTGGAAGGGAGGGGCGGGGCTTCCAGGTCAGGTGGGTTCAAAGATTTTCCGATTGGCAATTGGTTGAAAGAGTTTGTATCTAAAGACCTGGAATCAGTAGAAATGGTTGTCTGGGTTAAGGGGTTGTGGGCCGGGCGTGGTATCTCACGCCTGTAATCCCAGCACTTTGGGAGGCCGAGGTGGGCGGATCACCTGAGGTTGGGAGTTCGAGACCAGCCTGACCAACATGTAGAAACCCCATCTCTACTAAAAATACAAAATTAGACGGGCATGGTGGCACATGCCTGTAATGCCAGCTACTCGGGAGGCTGAGGCAGGAGAATCGCTTGAACCCGGGAGGCGGAGGTTACGGTGAGCCGAGATCTCGCCATTGTACTCCAGCCCGTGCAACAAGAGCGAAACTCCGTCTCAAAAACAAAAAAAGACAAGGGGTTGTGAAGACCAAGGTTATATCATGCAGATGAAGCCTCCAGGTAGTCTTATAAGGCCTTATGATAAGGCCTCAGCTCCTGAGCTAAAGCTATCTTCCCACCTCAGCCTCTAGAGCAGCTGGGACTGTAGGTACAGGACACCGTCCCTGGCTTTATTCAGCTTTTTACAATGCACTACAAAAAGTCGGCATTTAGAGCTATTTTTCTCTCACTGCAATTGAGTAGCAGTGAGAGAAAAATTGAGTAGCAATAGTATTGCCATCAGGTGGTGGCAATACTACCTGAAAACCATGCCCCCAACAAATGAAGATTTGGATAATGCCTTATGGTCTCTTCTGCAGGATTAGTGAAGGAAGAACAAAGAAAAGACCAAAAATTAAAACCCATTCTCTTTATATTCAGAAAAGGAAAGGGCTATTTTTTGGCCAAAGCGTTACAATTTAGTTTGCCAACCAGTTTAAAAAAAAAAAAAAAAGGAAAAATTAACTCTGCCCAACTGAAGGTCTGGCAAAAACAAACCTTTGAAAGGGTTGTGGGAAATTAATGAATATTAAACTAATTTTCAACATAACCAGTTAAAAATAAGAAATCCCACTAACGTGGATAGTTCCTTATTTAGGTGTGAGAAATTTGCTATACAAATGGACAACGGCTACACCAAATATAAAAATTGACTCTGACCCATAATCTACACCAACCCATTCAGAAATCTAATGTGGTATCTACAGTAACCACTCCCAAGTCAGAATACTATGTCTAGCAACAAGGCCAGGAAGCCAGACAACATCCCACATAACAACTCGCTTAAAATGGCTAAGACATGACTAAGAACTGACAGCTTTCTAATTGTTGCCCATATGTTCAACTTAGGACCAACTGGAGAAAGTCAGTGCATCACTAGCCAATCACATAGGATGTCAACCTTCTAAATAACCCCTTCACACACACACACACACACACACACACACACACACACACACACTCCTCAAGACTATAGCCTCCAGTCATGGCATACCTAATACTTTACCTTTTATCTACTATGAAGCTTTTTACACCTCTGCTTGCCTTTCAAGCTCTGCTGAGTGCAAGAGATTGTGGATGACTCCTTTACTACGGTGTGGTCTGATTTAATAGGCTATGTTTGTTCTCATTTGGGTCTTCATTTATTTCCAAGTTGTCTGTTTGCAGTCCATGAATGCTACCATTAAGCATACTTCTTACTAATGAAGGTGCAGTGAACAAAGGATTGATATAATTAGATGTGACCATTGTAGAAATTATGTTACAATGTATCATACTTACAGAGGTCCCAGTGAAATAACGTCTAACCTGTTCATCACCATGGGCCATAGTCATCAAACAGGTATAGTAACCACAGAGGTCCTTTATGCTTTGCTCTTCACACCTTGTCAAATCCATGATGACATGTTAAGTTAGCAACAAGTTTGAACACTACTGTCTTTGCACTGGGTTTCTTGGCTATTTAGACTCTGTTTAGTCCCCCCCACCTTTTTTTTTTTTTTTTTTTTTTTAAGACAGAGTCTCACTCTGTTGCCCAGGCTGCAGTGCAATGGCAGGATCTCAGCTCACTGCAACCTCCACCTCCCAGGTTCAAGCAATTCTCCTGCCTCAGCCTCCCGAGTAGCTGGGACTACAGGCTCGTGCCACCACACCTGGCTAATTTTGTATTTTTAGTAGAGACATTGGCCAGGCTGGTTTCGAACTCCTGACCTCAGGTGATCTGCCTGCCTCAGACGCCCAAAGTGCTAGGATTATAGGTGTGAGCCACCGCGCCCCGCCTCCTTTTTTTTTTTAATTGGCTCCCGTGACATTGCCATCCTTGATAGTATCACACCATTTCTTTTCATCTCTTTTTGCTATCTTATATGTAACAGTTTAGTGATGTACTTTCTTAAAGCATTGTCATGAAGAGGATAATAATAGGGTAAAACTCAAGCATAGGCTGGGCGCGGTGGCTCATGCCTGTAATCCCAGCCTTTTGGGAGGCCGAGGCAGGCAGATCACCTGAGGTCCGGAGTTCGAGATCAGCCTGACCAGCATGGAGAAACCCCATCTTTACTAAAAACTCCATCTTTACTAAAAAATACAAAATTGGCCAGGCATGCGCCTATAATCCCAGCTACTCGGGATGCTGAGGCAGGAGAATTGCTTGAATCCAGGAGGCAGAGGTTGCAGTGAGCCAAGATCACGCCATTGCACTTCAGCCTGGGCAACAAGAGTGAAACTCCGTTAAAAAAACAAAAACAAAAAAAACTCAAGCATAGGCTCTAGTGACTTGTTTCAGCTAATATCACAGACCAAGGGTTTTCTGATTCTCAACAGACTGGTGACCATTTGGACAGACTTTGCTTTGGGTCACTGATAAAATGGGATAAGATTCTCTTATCTTCTTTTTCTTTTTTTTTTTTCTTTTTTGTCCAGAGAATTAGGCATTCATTCAGAAAGAGTATTCTCAGATTTTCTGCATGCTGAGGTGTGAAGATTGTCGTGTTCTTGTGGGGAAGTAGCCACCTATCATGCTGTAGAACCAGGCCTAAGGTACATAATCATTACACTCCTCTCAGACAGTGCCAGCACTTATTGGATCGTCTAAATTGAAATCGTCTCCTTTCCAGGAAAGTCTCCTGCATGTTATATGTACTCTGATTACAATCACAATTCTAGTGTTTAGGTTTCTAAGTGGCATAACTTCACCCGGATAATTTTTGCCTTCAGTGGCTACTAGGAGGAACATTTCAGTTGAAAAGAAAACAAAAACTGTTAATTTAAGAGATGCATTAGAAAAGAAAGAAAACAAAATTTCTCAGGCCCAGTAAGCAGTAGTTTTTTATTGGAATGAATCGTATTTGTACAATCTCCAAGGTTCTGAATAAAAAATTGTTTCAGTAAAAATTTCCTTGAATAAAGCCATTGAACAATTTGGCAAACTTAAGCAATATCCTCCCCCTCCTATTCCTCTAGTTGCTGCCTTATATCTAACTCTTCTACTTCCCCTTTACCCTTCTAATCTTTCTCTTTTTTTTTTTTTTTTTTTGAGACAGAGTCCTGCTCTGTCATCAGGCTGGAGTGCAGTGGCACAATTTCGGCTCACTGCAATCTCTGCCTCCCGGGTTCAAGTGGTTCCCCTGCCTCAGCCTCCTGAGTAGCAGGGACTACAGGCACGCACCATCACGCCCAGCTAATTTTTTGTATTTTAGTAAAGACGGGGTTTCACCATGTTGGCCAGGATGGTCTCAATCTCCTGACCTCGTGATCTGCCCACCTTGGCCTCCCAAAGTGCTGGGATTACAGGCGTGAGCCACCGTACCCTGCCTAATCTTTCTCCTTCTGCACCTCCTCCCTCTTCTATCCTTTGCCCAGGCCCCCTTTATTTTCCCAAAAAATATCCTAAAATTCCAAAATGCCAATTACCTCTAAAGATCTATGCTTTCAAGAGCCAAGTATGTAGGCAACTGTCAGATGTAAACCTTGGACCCAGGATGAATTAACAGCTGCAACTAAAGATTTCTCTAAACCCAAATAAGACTAGCATGTGTTCATAGAGAAATTTCGAATTCTTTCATATGCATATGACCCAGAGTTATGTGACTTACACCATGTTATGGTTTAAACCTTTGTCTTCTCCAAACTCATGCTGAAATCTAATTGCCACTGTAACAATATTAAGAGGTGGAACCTTTAAGAGGCTTCAGATCATGAGGGCTCCACCCTCATAGGTGGACTAATGCTATCATCGCAAGAATGGGTTCTTATTCCCTCTTGCTGTCTCTTTGCTCTTCTACCATTTGATGGCTTCTGTCATGTTATGATGCAGCGAGAAGGCCCTCACCAGATGCTAGTATCTTGGTATTGGACTTCCCAGCCTCCAAACTACGAGCCAATAAATGTCTCTTCTTTGTAAATTACCCAGCCTGTGGTATTCTGTTATAGAAGCACAAAACAGACTAAGACATGCCACTTGTATACATGTTGGTGTGAACCTCAGATGATAAATCCTGAATGATGAAAGGTGATTAGACTGACCTGGATAGGCAGCTACAGGGCACCTTTTTCCACAATAAACCACAATAAAACTATAGGTCAAAAAGGCTAGGAAATTAAGATCAAGTCTCCTAAAAGCCATACCTCAAATGTTTTCAATCAAAATCCATTCGAACAGAGTAGCTACAATTAAAAGAAACAGAAGAACACAACAAGTGTTGTCAAGGATGTGGAAAAATTAGAAACATGTGCCTTTTGATAAGAATGTAAAATGATGCAGCCACCATGGTGGCTGTGCACCTGTGGTCTCAGCTACTCAGGAGGCTGAGGTAGGAGGATCACTTGAACCTGGTATTGGACTGTGGTAAGCTGAGATTACACCACTGCACCACTCCAGCCTGAGTGCCAGAGGAAGACCTGCCTCAAAAAATAAAAAATAAAAAAAATTCACCAGGCATGGTGGTGGCACACTTTTAGTCCTAGCTACTTGGAAATCTGAGGCAGGAGGATCTCTTGAGCCCAGGATGTCAAGGATGCAGTGAACTGTGACTGTGCCACTTACTCCAGCCTGGGTACAGAGCAATACCCTGTCTCCAAAAGATAATTTAAAACTAAGAAAAAATTTTAAAATAGAATTATATGTGATCCAGCAATTTTACTTCTGGGTATATACAAAAAGAAATTAAAGTAGGGCTTCATGAAGATAGTTCCACACCCATGTTCACAGTAGCCAGAATGTGGAGACAATCAAAGTGTTGATTGATGTGGCTGGGTGCAGTGGCTCACGCCTGTAATCCCAGTACTTTGGGAGGCCGAGGCAGGCAGATCACCTGAGGTCAGGAGTTCGAGACCAGCCCGGCCAATATGGCAAAACCCCATCTCTACTAAAAATACAAAAAATTAGCCAGGCGTGTTGGTGGGCACCTGTAATCCCAGCTACTCAGGAGGCTAAGGCAGGAGAATCGCTTGAACCCAGGAGGTGGAGGTTGCAGTGAGCTGAGATCGCCATTGCACTCCAGCCTGGGCAACAAGAGCGAAACTCTACCACACACACACACAAAAAAAAGTATTCATTGATGAATGACTGGATAAAGAAAATATATATACAATGGAATATTATTCAGCCTTAGCAAGGAAGGAAATTTTGACACACACAGCAACATGGAAGAACTTGAGGACTTATTGTAAGTGAAGTAAGCTAGTCACAAAACAATACATTTGTATGATTCTACTTGTATAAGCTACCTCAAGTAGTCAAATACATAGGAAAGTAGATAGGGGTTTCCAAGAAGTGGGAGAGCAAAAACTAGAAGTTCCTCAATTCAGATCACTGAGTGTCTTATGAGGAAAGGTAGTGTCTAATATCTTCCCATACACTTAAACGCTCAGATTCAAACATAAATGTACCTGATCATCCTCATCTATTCCTGGTAGATAACAGGTGCTATACTTTCTACATTAAATCTTGTCAAAATAATAATAACAGTAGCCAAGTGTGGTGGTGCTCACCTGTAGTCCCAGCTACTTGAGAGGCTGAGGCAGGAGGATCACTTGAGCCCAGGGGTTCCAGGTGGCAGTGAGCTATGATCATGCCACTGTACTCCAGCTTAGGGGACAGAGTGAGATCCTGTCTCTAAAAACAAAGTAAACAAAAAAAAAAAAAAAAAAAAGAAAGCACAACAAAACAACAGTAAGAAATTTATTTTCTTTACAAATTACCCAGTTTAAGGTATTTTGTTGTAAGCAATGGAAAATGGACTAATGCACTGTTGTTGTATGTCTGACATGCCCCAGGGATATAACATACCTGATTTTTAAATTCAGGACACATAGCTCCTGAGGCAGGATCTAGACACCAGCTATTCCTATGCAATGCTGGAGAATATGGGACATCCATATGTACAGATACCCACCTCATACAGCTGCAACATGCTCTGACAACTGTCAAACCAACAACCCTCAAGCTGACTGTAGAACTACCAATAATCAAATTCACGGCGCGATTTTGGATAGAAGTCCGTCACTTTCCCAGGAACTCCCGAAGCAATGCAAATTGGGCCTGATGTGGATTGAAAGCTATTTTGTCTTCTTATTTCTTCAAGAGCACAAAAAGTTGAAGGCCCCAAAAACCATTCACTTTTTCATTCTGGCAAAGCCTAATTTTGTTCTCAACCCGCAGCACACAGTGAAGAGAACCCCAAGAGTAAATGTAGCTTAAACAATATGACCTTTATCATCAGAAGAAAACAGCAATGCTTAGGTGGAAATTGACTGGGTTGGGAAGCTTGGAAGGTAGAAAATTTATCATCAACATTATCAGTATCAGACAACTAATAATACCTCTGAAAAAAGGAAATCTCTACAAGCTGCCAGCTGAAGTTGGCGTGTGTTCTCTGTCCAAAGCTGGGTGATGTCCACACCCAAACCAGTCAGGGGACTGGGAATGAGGCCCCCAAAGGGAACAAATGACTGAATATTCCAGATAAAGGTAGAGAACACAGCAATCTATGCACCACCCCCCCACCCCCCATTTTTTAAAAACATTTAACCAGAAGTCCAGACCTTATCACTCTCTAAGTAATTTAAGGTGACTAAGGTGATGCACATTGTGGCACCATGACAGCTAATAGCAGGAGTCTTCTGTAATGCACACTTTCAGCAACTTAACTCTGGAAAGGCCCCAGGCAGGGTCAGAAAGTGCAACATCATTCACAAAAATTTACCATATATCTGACAATTACAACAAATCTCCCTTGCGTGGATGTTTGGATGTGAGATTCAATTTCAGGCTGAGATCTCCCTCAACAAGCTAACACAGGGTCATCCAAGGGAAAGAATACAGTCATGGGTTCTTAGTTTGTTTCTAGCTGGGCCAGTAAAGCTCCTTTCTCATCTCATTCCTCTTGTCCACCTACCACTAGAGACAGAAACAAAACCATGGCTTCAGGCTAAAAGCCTAAAACAAAACAGAGCAACAAAAAAATAGGGTGAGTAAGACAAGCTCGATAGAGCTTTGCTGTTTTTGACCTGTTGACAAAGGAAAAAAAGTATATTGCCTGCATTCCTAAGGACTTTCTCCAGGATGAACTTACTCTTGCTCAGTGAAGTTAGGCTGAATACTTTCTAACATTTGCTGCACTCATAATATTCTGCTGGTTGTATAGTAATAACATACAAAGGTGTTTTTCTGATGTCAGGACATGTCACAATGATAATCATAAAATGTAGACCACTTTGCTACTTACAGCTTGAAACCTAAGGACATAGGCAGGGCTGCAAGAGTTATGAGGGAACCCAAGATAACAGCAAGCTGGAGCTTAGGGGGCAGCTTGTGTGTGCCATGTAAATTGGGGTTAGCTAGGTTTTCAGGGACCCCTGTGCATTGACCAATGGAATAATTTTACAAGCTCCTGGGCACAGAAGCTGTCCCTAGATATCTGATTCCTGATCCTGGGGTGATTGGGTCTTACATATTGTGGCCCAGAGTTTGAGAGCCTGATAAGGAAAATGGTTGGGAGTGTGGACTTAATCTGCTGCTCCAAAATTGTAACTGACAAGCCTCTACCAAGGGCCTTAATGCTAGGCAAAAACATTATTCTTTTGATGTTAAAAAAAAAAAACTGGATATCCACACGCAAAAGAATTAAGTTGCTAAAATGAACTCAAATGCATCAAAGACTTATAAAACAGATATATTAGACTCCATTTAAATTCAAAATTCCTGTGTAAAAAAGGACATAATGGACAGAGTGAAAAGGAAAAAGACTCAATGGGAGAAAGTATTTGAAAACCACATATCTGAGAAGGAATATCTAGAATATGAGGGGTCTTCAAAAGTTTCATGAAAAATGAGAAAAAAATGTATATTATGAAAAAATTGGCCAGGGGTGGTGGCTTAAGCCTGTAATCACAGCACTTTGTGAGGCCCAGGCAGGTGGATCACCTGAGGTCAGGAGTTCGAGAGCAGCCTGGCCAACAGAGTGAAAACCCATCTCTACTAAAAATACAAAAATTAGCTGGGCGTGATTGTGGGCACCTGTAATCCCAGCTACTCAAGAGGCTGAGGCAGGAGAATTGCTTGAACCCAGGAGGCGGAGGTTGCAATGAGCCGAGATCATGCCACTGCACTCCAACCTAGCGTTAGTGAGACTCTGTCAAAAAAAAAAAAAAAAATTATGTATGGATTTCAATTTTTTACACCAAAGTGAATTTGTAATAACTTGTTCTAACAAGTATGAACAGGATCTAGTTTGAGGCACTAAGAACGGCATCAGTTTGAAAACACCTTCTATCAGAGGAATGTGAATTCAGCTAAGGTTGAAGAAAGAACAAATATCAAATATATAGTAAAGCTTGGCTCTAAAAATGGTAAAACCGGCCGGGTGCGGTGGCTCGCGCCTGTAATCCCAGCACTTTGGGAGGCCGAGTTTGGGCGGATCACAAGGTCAGGAGTTCAAGACCATTCTGACCAATATGGTGAAACCCCATCACTACTAAAAATACAAAAATTAGCCGGGCGTGGTGGCGCATGCCTGTAATCCCAGCTACACAGGAGGCTGAAGCAGAAGAATCGCTTGAACCCAGGAAACGGAGGTTGCAGTGAGCTGAGATCGCGCCACTGCACTCCAGCCCAGACGACAGAGTGAGACTCCGTCTCAAAAAAAAGAAAAAGAAAAGTTTATGGGCACAATGACCCAGAGAAATCAGAGTTTACAAACTGATAACCTGTTTTCTTTTTTTTTAGACGGAGTCTCACTCTGTCGCCCATGCTGGAGTGCAGTGGCACGATCTCCACTCACTGCAACCTCCGCCTCCCGGGTTCACGCCATTCTCCTGCCTCAGCCTCCGGAGTAGCTGGGAGTACAGGCGCCCGCCACCACGCCCGGCTAATTTTTTGTATTTTTAGTAGAGACGGGGTTTCACTGTGTTAGCCAGGATAGTCTCGATCTCCTGACCTCATGATCCACCAGCCTCGGCCTCCCAAAGTGCTGGGATTACAGGCGTGAGCCACCGCGCCCGGCCTGATAACGTTTTAAGAAGAGATGAGATGATGTTGACCACGCAGCCCACAATGGCAAACCATTAATAACAATTTGCGAGGAAGAAATTCATCTTGCTCATGACCTTATTGAAGAAGACTGATGATTAACAGCAGAAACAGTAACTGACACCACAGACATCTGAATTGGTTCAGCTTACACAATTCTGACTGAAAAATTAAAGTTGTGCGAACTTTCCACTCAATGGGTGCCAAAGCCACTGAATCCAGATCAGCTGCAGACAAGAGCAGAACCTTCAATGTAAATGTTAAACAAGTAGGATCAAGATGCTGAAGCATTTCTTTGAAGAATTGTACAGATGAAACATGGCTTTATTATTAATTACTATTTGAGATGGAGTTTCACTCTTGTTGCCCAGGCTGGAGTGCAATGGTGTGATCTCGGCTCACTGCCACCTCCGCCTCCCGGGTTCAAGCGATTCTCCTGCCTCAGCCTCCTGAGTAGCTGGGATTACAGGCATGCACCACCTCGCCAGGCTAATTTTTGTATTTTTTAGTAGAGAGGGGGGTTTCTCCATGTTGGTCAGGCTGGTCTCAAACTCCTGAGCTCAGATGATCCGCCCAACTCGGCCTCCCAAATTGCTGGGATTACAGACGTGAGCCACGGCGCCCGCAATGAGAGTGTTTTGAGAAAGTTAGCTAAAGCTTTAGCAGAAAACCCATGGGAAAGCTTCACCAGGAGTCCTTCACTTCAATGCTCCTGCTCATTCCTCTCATCAAATAACTGCAACTTTACAAGAATTCTGATAACCCTAAGGCATCCACCTTACAGTCCGGATTTGGCTCCTTCTGACTTCTTGTTTCCTACTTTTAAAAAATCTTTAAAGGGCACCCATTTTTCTTTAGTTAATATTAAAAAAGATTGCATAGACAAGGTTAAATTCCCAGGAACCTCACTTCTTTAGGGATGGACTAAATGCCTGGTATCATCACTTATAAAATTGTCTTGAACTTGATGGAGCTTATGTTGAGAAATAAAACTTGTTTTCTTTTTGTATCCTTTACTTTCATGTTTCCACAAACTTTCTGAAGTCCCCACATATACTAAAAAACTCCTACATCTCAAAACCAAATAACCCTAAAGAAAAAAAAAAAACTCAACCCAGTAAAACTACTAAAAAAAAAAATTAATAATAAAGTTAAATTAAAAAATGATGCAGCTGCTATAGAAGAGTCCTCAAAAATTTTAAAACAGAATTAACATAGAATGGGAACATTGTGAGTCAGAAATTTAAAAAATTAAAAATATTTTTTAAATGAACATAGGGGGACAGGTGAGTGGATCATGAGGTCGAGATTGAGACCATCCTTGCCAACACGGTGAAACCCCGTCTCAACTAAACATACAAAAATTATCTGGGCATGGTGGTGCATGCCTGTAGTCCCAGCTACTTGGGAGGCTGAGGCAGGAGAACTGCTTGAACCCCGGAGGCAGAGGCTGCAGTGAGCTGAGATCAGGCCACTGTACTCCAGCCTGGCGACAGAGCGAGACTCCCGTCTCAAAAAACAAACAAACAAACAAACAAACAAAAAAAAAACATAGAAAGCACCAATTCTACTTCTGAGTAAATCCTCAAAAGGAATTTAAAGCACAGCCTCAAAGAAACATTTGTACATTCATGCTCATCTGCTATTAACAACAGCTGAGTGGAAACAACCCAAATGTCCACTAATGAAAGGAAAAGTGGCACATACATATATAATCATGCACCTCACTTTTCAGTCAACAATGGGCCACATTCATGACAGTGGTTCCATAAAATTACAATGAAGCTGAAAAATGCTTATTGCCTAATGACATGATAGCAGTAGTAAGGCAATATATTAATCACATATTCATGGTGATGCTGGTATAAACAAACCTACTGTGAGGCCAGTCATATAGAAGTATAACATATACAATAATGTACAGTAGATAAAACTTACGAGTTACTAGCTTATGTTCTTAGCATACTACACTTTTTATCATTAGGTGTTCTCCAACAGTAGAGTATATATGGAGTTGTGTGTATGTCTATAAATATACAGGTGTACATACACACAAACTGTAACACAGCCTCGGGCAGGTCCTTCAGGAGGTATTCCAGAAAAAGGCATTGTTATTTTAGATGACAGCTCCATGTGTGTTACTGTCCCAGAAGATCTTCTGGAACAGGTTGTGAAGGTGGAATAAAATGACATTATCCTGATCCTGTGCCGGCCTAGACAAATGTGTGTATCTTAGTTTTTAACAAAAAAAATTTAAGAAGTTAGGATATAAAAAATATTTTTGTACAGTTGTACAATGTTTTAAGCAAAACATTATTACAAAAGTCAAAAAGTTTTTAAAAATACAAGCTTATAAAGTAAAAAATGGTCAGCTAAGGTTAATATATTAAAGAAAAATTTCTATAAATTTAATTTTGTCCAGCCGGGCACGGTGGCTCATGCCTGTAATCCCAGCACTTTGGGAGGCCAAAGCGAGTGGCTCACTTGAGGTCGGGAGTTTGAGACCAGCCTGGCCAACATGGTAAGACCCCGTTCTCTACTAAAAATACAAAAATTAGCGGGGCATGGTGGTGCATGCCTGTAATCCCAGACACTTGGGAAGCTGAGGCAGAACTGCTTGAACCAGGAGGTGGAGGAGGTTGCAGGAAGCCAAGATTGCACCACTGCACTCTAGTCTGGGCAACAGAGCAAGATTCTGTCTCAAAAATAATAATAAAAATAAAAATGTATTGTCGTCTAAGTACACAATGTCTATAAAGTCTACAGCACAGTAACAACCTAGGCCTTCACATTCACTTACCACTCACTGACTCACCTAGAGCAACTTGCAGTACTGTAAGCTTCATTCATGGTAAGTTCTCTGTGAGTCTATCATTTTTTCTTTTATACTGTATTTTTACTGTACCTTTTCTGTTTAGATATACTTAAAAACAATTACTTACCATGTGTTCCAACAGCCTACAGTATTCAGTACAGTAATATGCTATACAAGTTTGTAGCAAGGTGCTATAGGATATACCATACAGCCTAGGCATTCACGCAACCCCCCCACCACCAAAAAAAGAAAGAAAATCACCTAATAACACTTTTCTCAGGACACTTCCCCACTGTTAAGCAACACATGACTAACAGAATTTTATTCAGCCTTTAAAAAGGATGGAAATTCTAATGGATTAGAACATGAAACCTTAAAAATATAACGTTAAGCAAAATAAGCCACAAAATAAACCACAAGAAGACCAAAACTTAAGTTTTCTTATATGAGGTACCCGGACTAGTAAAATTCATACAGAGCGGTGCTTGTCAAGAGGCTGGATGGAGTGAGGAATAAGGTTTTAAAAGGTATAGACTTAGTTTCATAAGTTGAAAAGACTTCTAGATATTCATTGCACAATGTGAATGACTTAACAGTACTGAACTATACACTTTAACATGGTTAAGATGTTAGATTTTATGTTATCTGTATTCTACAAGAATACTTTTTTTAAAACGTAGGTCCCAGTGCTAAATCAGAGTAGATTTCTGTGTGAAGTCTTTCCCCATCTGCTTTATATATACATTCTTTATCTGGTGTGAACTTTCTGGTGCTGAATGAGATGAGAATTTTGGTTAAAGACTCTTCCACATTCACTGCACTGATAAGGTCTCTCTCCAGTGTGAATTCTCCGATGTTTAATGAGGCTGGAGTTGTATCTAAAGACTTTCCCACATTCACTGCACTCATAAGGCTTTTCTCCAGTATGAACTCTCTCATGACTAATGAGTGTGGAGCTGTCCATAAAAAATTTCCCACATTTGCTGCATTTGTAAGTTCTTTCCCTAGTGTGAACTTTTTGGTGCCGAATGAGGTGGGAATTTTGGCTAAAAACTCTCCCACACTCAGTGCACTCAAAAGACCTTTCTCCAAAGTGATTTCTCCGATGTCTAATATGATTTGAGTTGTGCCTAAAGAATTTCCCACATTCACTACACTCATAAGGCCTTTCACCAGTGTGAATTCTCTGATGTGTATCAAGTGTGGAGCGACATCTAAAGGATTTCCCACAAATGCTGCATTCAAAAGGTCTTTCTCCAGTGTGAACTCTCTGATGACTCTTCAGTGTACAGCTGTCCACAAAGAATTTGCCACATTCACTGCATTCATAAGGCCTCTCTCCAGAGTGAACTCTCTGATGTCTATTCAGTGTGAAGCAATACCTAAAGAATTTCCCACATTTGTTGCATTCATAAGGCTTTTCTCCAGTATGAACTCTCTGATGAATAATGAGTGTGGAAGTGTCCATAAAGAACTTCCCACATTCACTACACTCATAAGGCTTTTCTCCAGTGTGAACTTTCTGATGTCTAATGAGTGTGGAACGGTATCTAAAGAATTTCCCACATTCGTTGCATTCATAAGGTTTTTCTCCAGTATGAACTCTCTGGTGAATAATGAGTGTGCAGCTGTCCATAAAGAATTTCCCACATTCACAGCAATAAAAAGGCCTTTCTCCAGTGTGAACTTTCTGATGTCTAATGAGTGCTGAACTGTACATAAAGTATTTCCCACATTCATTGCATCCATAAGGCCGTTCTCCAGTATGAATTTTCTGGTGACCAACAAGGTGAGCCTGTGTAAGGAAGGCCTTCCCACATTCACTACACACATAAGGCCTTGGCCTGGTGTGAATCCTCTGGTGCTGAAGTAGGTGAGACTTTCTAAGAAAAGCTTTCCCACATTCACTGCACTCATAAGGCCTTTCTCCAGTGTGAATTTTCTGGTGTTGAACAACATTGTATTTGAGGCTGAAGGCTTTTCCACATTCACTACACTTATAAGGCCTTTCTCCAGTATGATTTCGCTGATGTTTAATAAGGTCGGAGTTGTACCTAAACAATTTGCCACATTCACTGCACTCATAAGGCCTTTCCTCTGTGTGGATTTTCTGGTGCTCAAACAGTGTATGTTGGTGGCAAAAGTCTTTCCCACATTGGGTGCAGCTGTAATTATTCTGTCCACTTTGAAAGGCCTCCACACCATGAGTGTCCCTGTGTGGCTTCCACCCACTGTGAAGAGCCTGTTGTTGAAGATCTGAATCACCAGTAAAATCCTTGCCACCCTGCATGCATGTGAGGTTCCTCTTTGCCAGGTGAACACTGTCATTCACAAACGAAGGCCTCCCTTCATCACTTCTGGTGAGCTTCTCTCTAAGATGCTCCTTTTGGTGCAGGTAAAGCTTGGCTGTACGCTTGGGGTGTGTTCCGTCATGCTCAGCCAGGTGTAGAATGTCCTTCAGAAGTGAGCTACATGTCTCACAGGGCTGGGCCTTCTGGGTGGACAAAGCTGGCTTTAAAGTTGTGACCTGTGACACTCCTACAGAAACACATTGCTTGGAAGGTGCCTCCTCATCCTTGGCTCCATGCCAACAACCTAAAACAGAAATGCTCATGAAGTGCATGATGACTTTGGAGGGAAGAGGCAGCCCCATAACAAATGTCTGTCAGACCAACTCACAAATAAGACCATGGGATTGGTGACAGGCATGGGACATTAAAGCCAGTGAGAGGAAAGCCTACTGGGCAGAACCGGGACTGACAGAAACCCATAACGAAAGAGTCCTGATGATGGGGAACAACATAGGGAGTGGTACAGTGCAGAGCACAGAAGTGGAGTCCCCAAGTTACTCCTCAGTGAATGGCTTTCAACAGGCCATAGCTTCTGGTGAACAATGTGTAGAAGACTGTGTCCAGACCCAGAGAGATCTGATGTGACAGTAGAGCTGGTGTTCAGGGACTGCTGAAATATATACATCCAGACCTCACAACACCTTAAGTACAGGTCATATGTTGAGGGCACTACAAAGGGAACAGTAAAAGGAACAGGTGGCTGGGTGCAGTGGCTCACACCTATAATCCCAGAACTTTGGGAGGCCAAGGCAGGCGGATCAGCTGAGGTCAGGAGTTCGAGACCAGCCTGACCAACATGGAGAAACACCGTCTCTACTAAAAATACAAAATTAGCCAGGTGTGGTGGCGCATGCCTGTAATCCCAGCTATTTGGGATGCTGAGGCAGAAGAATCGCTTGAACCCGGGAAGCAGAGGTTGCAGTGAGTCAAGATCGCGCGCACCATTGCAAGAGCGAAACTCCATCTCAAAAACAAAAACAAAAACAAAAAAAAAACAAAAAACGGGAACAGGTGAGAGGTGGAGGCCAGAGACGTAGGGTCAGAGGTGGGAGCCAGGAGATGAAAGTCAAAAGAGAGATCACAATAGGGAAGAAAAGAGAGACATGCGGTGTGGCCACTGGCAGGGGCATCAAACTGGATTGATTCCCAGTGTGATGTGAACCCAGCCCTGTCATCACACCCCTTCTGAGCTCCCATCCACCAGGGCCAAGTCCTTTTGAGCATCTCTTGCCTTCAATGGAGTAATGTCCACTCTGTCAGGCACCCAGGGACCTCTACCTTGCTCAAGGTGAGCAACTATCTAGGTGTGGCGTTAGCCAAGCTAGGGGAAAGACAGGGAAAGGGAGGGTGTCAACAGCATGTACACAGAGCAATAAACCCAGGACATGCTGTATTCTAAAGTTACCAGAACTTCTAGTGGAGAGTCCTGCAGAAATAAGCCCACAGTCCTCACAAGCAGTGACGAGGTAGGTCCCTGAAATTCCTGACACAGGGTATCCCTATGTCAGCAAGAAGAATGGAGAAAGCCTTGCACAGAGAAAGTGTCATGCATTTGGACAGAGTAAACTAACCAGGGACAGGCAAGGTCATTAGGATATTCTTGAGAAACCTGAGGACTTCTGACTTTTGAGCCTTATAAGGCTTCAGAGTGACAAGAGCTAAGCTTCTTAAGGAAAATTGATACAGATCACACAGCCCAGCTGTAGCTGCCACAACACATATGCCAGGAAACCAGGAGAGGATGCAGCATCCATGACCTGGTGTGAGACGGAGATGCCAAGGAAAAAAGTGAAAAAACATTGCCCAGCACAAGACACTGACGTAGGTGTCAGGGCCTTACCTACTGAGGACAAAAGTGCAAAGTTCTCCAGCATCACATCGCTGTGCAGGTGTCTCTGAACGTCATTAAGAATTCCCCACTCCTCCTGGGAGAAATGTATGGCCACGTCCTCAAAAACCATATAATCCTGCCAAAATTATAACAGTTTAGTCTGTGAGCAACTTTTTTTTTCTTTCTTTTTTTTTTTTTTTTTGAGATGGAGTCTCGCTCTGTTGCCAGGCTGGAGTGCAGTGGTGTGATCTCGGCTCACTGCAAGCTCCGCCTCCCGGATTCAAGTGATTCTCCTGCCTCAGCCTCCTGAGTAGCTGGGATTACAGGCGCGTGCCACCATGACTGGCTAATTTTTGTATTTTTAGTAGAGATGGGGTTTCACCATGTTGTTCAGGCTGGTCTAGAACTCCTGACCTCGTGAACTGCCTGCCTTGGCCTCCCAAATTGCTGGGATTACAGGCATGAGCCACCACGCCCGGCCCATGAGCAACTTCTTATTCTGTTTCCTTAGATCTGTATTTATCTACTTGAAATCTAAGAATTAGAGGACCAAAATAACAACCAGCATTTTAACATTTCTCTTATAATCCAGATCCCATAGACTGAACTGCCTCCTATCTAACAATCACACATGATTCTTTCTCCTGCCCTAAATCAACACAAGGCTTGTACCACAAAAGGAGGGATAGTCCCTATACCCCAAGGCTGCCAAAATCATGCAAACTACCCAGTCTTAAGCTCTTCACTCTCCCCTGCATGCCTTTCCAGCCAAAACCCCAATAAAGCCACTGATATATGCTCTCCCTTCAACTGTGCATCTGCCACCTGACCAAATCCGCTATTTCCTCTGTGGCTTTATGTGATGTGGCATGCTCCCTGCACTCAGGAAATGAAAGGAATAAAAATCATTTCATCCAGGTATGATTTCTCACCAATTGAAAAAAAAAATTATTTCAATGTCATTGGCTTTTCTGTAATCACTCACTCTTGTTCACAGATTGAAATCCTGTGGGTACAATCACTGATACACTTCCCTCTCCAGGACCTTCAGTGCTCCTCACCACACCCACACACATCCACACCCTGCTAGCCTCCACCCACTTCTGAAGGAGGAAGAGACACTAGGTCTTCATGGCACCTGTACCTGCTCTCCCCTCATTGCCACTGATCACTGACTCCAGTATAGAACAAAGATGGGTGGGGGAAAGAGACTGAAAAGCGCCATCAAAACCTGGCACATGGCCGGGCATGGTGGCTCATGCCTCTAATCCCAGCACTTTGGGAGGCTGAGGCAGGTAGATCACAAGGTTAGGAGTTCAAGACCTGCCTGGCCAAGATAGTAAAACCCCATCTCTACTAAAAATACAAAAATTAGCCGGGCATGGTGGCAGGCACCTGTAATCCCAGCTACTCGGGAGGCTGAGGCAGAGTACTGCTTGAACCTGGGAGGCAGAGGTTGCAGTGAGCCGAGATCGCGCCACTGCACTCCATCCTGGGCAACAGAGCTAGACTCCATCTCAAAAAACAAAACAAAACAAAAAAAACACCTGGCACATGGGGGCCTACCTTTCTTTTGTCACTCAATTTCCCTAGAGTCACCCAGATCTTGCCTCTCAGATAACCAAACTTGGACTCACCCTCCTCCCTTAAGTGCCCAGTGCCAGAGGTGGAACCATCTATTCATGCTCCTCCACTCAGGCTTTGGATGGCACCTCCCTCATGTATCCAACACCTCCACTCTTGGCAACACTAACAACCACCACAGCCCAACTGGGAGTATTTCCATGGCGTGTTACCATGCCACTCTGCACATGAAATCCTGCAGTGCATGACAAATGCAACCAGAATCGTATTTGCCCCTAGAATGACCAGAATGCAATGTTTAGGAAACATTGCTTTGAACGTCTCCCAACCCAATCCTGTTTCTTTCTTTGACCTCAGCTTTCCAAACCCACATATTCTTGCACACCTCCTTTGAGTTCCAGATCTTGGCTGTCTCCCCCTTCTACATGTATATGTTGTCCCATAAGCAGTCACGACTTTCTCTATCCCCCAACTCTAATCCAAAGCCCAGATACACTGACCTCCCCAACACCATCCCCACCCCAGGACTAGCAATGCTTCTAGATGATCCCATCTTCTGCCAAAATAGTCTCAGAGTTCGCGTGAAACTACCCAGGTACAACCAATATTTGCCACAAAACCCTGTTGAGTCCATAATAGGGTACTAAGCCCCTCCCAGACCTCACTATCATCTCACCTCTTTTGTGGAGATGCCTCACCATCCAACTTTTATGTGCACTCTCCCCCTCAAAAGCCTTTATTTTCCAAAGGCCATCTCCAACATAAACACACAAATACACACACACATATCCTCAGTCCATCCACTCCCTCATCTGTCTTTGTGATGCCCAGCAACCCCATCCAGGTGCCCAACAGAAAGATCCAGTCCTCAGCCCCTTCCTTCCCCTTCCTTCTCCCTAACAGCATTGCCTCCAGAATCTAAAGATGTCTATTCCTAAATCTGACCCACAGATTTACCATGGTGTACACGCTGGCTATCATATAGTAGATGTCTCCATCCTGAACACCTCCATTGAACTCCATTCCTGTGTGTTCAACTGCCAGTCTGGCACCTCTACTCGAGTCTCTGGAACATTTTTGACTTAGCCCAAACCTCGTTCTTCATATGCTCTATTAAACTCCCCCTACTACAAAATTTACCACATCTTAGTTGCTGGAACATCCAACCTTCTCAACAAGGCCAAAACAATGGGGCCATTCCTGACTCCCTCTTGCATCCTACCTCCCGAGCTTCCTCGCTCTGTACATCAAAAAATGTGAGCAGCTCTAGATCAAAACCTACAGAAGCCACCCACCCCTCCCACCTCCACAGCCGCCACTCGTGTCCAGCCACCACCAACCTCCACTGGACTGTGGCAGGAATTATCACCCAGGTATCCTTGGTTCTTCCCTAACTCTCACTCTGTCCTCCATTCTGCAGGCAGAGGAAGCCTCTTAGAATCTAGGTCAAATCTGGCTGGGTGCAGTGGCTCAGGCCTGTAATTCCAGCACTTTGGGAGGCTGAGGCGGGCAGATCATGAGGTCAGGAGATCGAGACCATCCTAACACGGTGAAACCCTGGCTCTACTAAAAAATACAAAAAAAAGTTAGCCGGGCATGATGGCAGGTGCCTGTAATCCCAGCTACTTGGGAGGCTGAGGCAGGAGAATGGCGTGAACCCAGGAAGCGAAGCTTGCAGTGAGCCGAGTTCACGCCACTGCACTCTGGCCTGGGCGACAGAGGGAGACTCCGTCTCAAAAAAAAAAAAAAAGAATCTAGGTCAAATCACCTCTTTTTTCTTTCTCAAACCTTCCCTAGCTACTACCCCCCTCAGATTAAAGACCTAGAACCACTGGGCACGGTGGCTCATACCTGTAATCCCAGCACTTTGGGAGGCTGAGGCAGGCAGATCACTTGAGGCCAGGAGTTCGAGACCAGCCTGGCCAACATGGTGAAATCCTGTCTCTACTAAAAATACAAAAATTAGCTGGGTGTGTTGGTTCATGCCTGTAATCCCAGCTACTTGGAAGGCTGAGGCAGGAGAATTGCTTGAACCTGGGAGACAGAGGTCGCAATGATCCGAGATCACATCAATGCACTCCCGCCTGGGCGACAGAGTTAGCCTCTGTCTGGAAAAAAAAAAAAAAACAAGGCCAGGTGTGGTGGCTCAAGCCTGTAATCCCAGCACCTTGGGAGGGCCGAGGCAGGCAGATCACGAGGTCAAGAGATTGAGAACATCCTGGCCAACATGGTGAAACCCCATCTCTACTAAAAAATACAAAAATTAGCCGGGCATGGTGGCGGGTGCCTATAATCCCAGCTACTCGGGAGGCCGGGGCAGGAGAATCGCTTGAACCAGGAAGGCGGAGGTTGTAGTGAGCTGAGATCGCGCCACTGCACTCCAGCCTGGAGACAGAGCAAGATTCTGTCTCAAAAACAAAACAAAACAAAAACAAAAACCTAGACAACCTCAGGCTGCCATTCCATGCCTGATCCCTGCATGCCCCGACCTCCTGCCCTGCTGCTGTGCTCCTTATCCTTGCCAGCTAGAACATTAAGCTACAGTTCTCTAAGCATCCCATCTAAGTCTCACCACCAAGCATTTGAACATTCTAGATCCTGTGTTTGAGATGCCTTGCCAAATCTCAAACCATCAGTTGTGAGAACTAGAACCACTCTATATAACCAGGCACTGAGTTTGGAACCCAGGTCTGGTGGAACTACAGGCTCTCCTTGGACCCAAGGGAGAGAGAAGAAAAGGTGAACAGTCTCAGGATAACACCATTCCCTATATCAGCATGCTGAAACCATCTGGGATGGGTGAAAGCTGGAAACACTCTCCACTCACCTGTCCAGCATCCATAAGCATTGCTGCCACTGCTATGAACCCTGTGGGAAGAGGCAGGCCATGAGGATTAAGACAGCATTGCAGCATCCTACAGGCTGACTGTACAACCACCTCTGGCCCTGCAACTAGAGCAAAGTTATCTGAGGGTACACAGTAAGTCCTCAGGGTTCAGTGTCTTGATGAGGACTGAACTTCCTTAAGTCTCGGTGCCCTTATGTGTAAAATAGAGATTAAAAGGATTGCCAACTAATAGGGCTTATATGGGCATCAAATATAAGTAGTACACACTATGTATCAGCAATTTCTTTCTACTGGATTAAATATTTTTTACATGTTTTCGGTACAAATGACATGGAAGGGTTTTGAAATTTTGGGTGTGTATTTTTCCCACTTCTTACGGTGTTAAGGAAATGTGATACATAAAACTTTCCATTGCAAGCAAATAGAAAAATTAACATTCAGCCGGGCATGGTGGCTCAAGCCTCTAATCCCAGCACTTTGGGAGGCCGAGGTGGGCGGATCACGAGGTGCAGAGATCAAGACCATCCTGGCCAACCATGGTGAAACCCTGTCTCTATCAAAAATACAAAAATTAGATGGGCATGGTGGCGCATGTCTGTAATCCCAGCTACTCGGGAGGCTGAGGTAGGAGAATCGCTTGAACCCGGGAGGCAGAGGTTGCAGTGAGCCGAGACCACGCCACTGCACTCCAGCCTGGCGACAGAGCGAGACTCCGTCTCAAAAAAAAAAAGAAAAAAGAAAAATCAACATTCAACAATTATTAAGTGAATAAATTTAACTATTGGTTACATTCATTTCTAACTGCCGACCTATGTGTACATATTTAGAAGGATACTGGTTCATTAGTGGTTAAATAAATGTTTTATACATTCGGCCGGGCGCGGTGGCTCATGCCTGTAATCCCAGCACTTTGGGAGGCTGAGGCGTGCAGATCATGAGGTCAGGAGATAGAGACCATACTAGCTAACACGGTGAAACCCCGTCTCTACTAAAAATGCAAAAAATTAGCCTGGCGTGGTGGCGGGCACTTGTAGTCCCAGCTACTCGGGAGGCTGAGGCAGGAGAATTGCTTGAACTCGGGAGGCGGAGCTTGCAGTGAGCCGAGATCGCGCCACTGCACTCCAACCTGGGCGATGGAGCGAGACTCTGTCTCAAAAAAAAAAAAAATGTTTTACACATTCATAAATAAATAAGTTGCAGGGAGGGGATAAGCAAGCAGGTCAGTTACTGGTCCCATCAGCAACCAGGCCTGCCTGCTACAAATTCAGTTGCTGGAAGCTTGCTGGAGGCCCTTGACTAGATGTGAGAAAGCCCTACCCCCGTCTGGACCCAATGTCCCCACTAGTCTGGATGACCTTCCTATTGTTCCACAGAGTGGGCCTGGGGGGCTGCTGGGTCTGCAGGTGCAGAAATCTAAACCACCTCACACCTCAGTCTCCAGCCTAGGCCAGTTCCTTAACCCATTCAGAACTCCGTTTTTGCAGATATGAGCCAGAATCCCTCCTATGACAGGTCTGCGCCTTTCTAAAGGTAGCGTCAGGCTTATGGACCCACCCATGATCTGCCCTCCAAAACTCAGCCCTCCAAAATGCAACTCATAATCCTCTCTGAAACCTGCTCCCTAAGCTGACTTCTCCAACTCCATTCTTTCAGATTTTCAGGCCAAAACAAAATCCATGGAATAGACCCTTCACTACCCTCACTGCTACATTTGATGCAGCAGGAAATCCTGTCGACTCTATCTCTGAGATCCATCCAGAATCTCATCACACTTCCCCTCTACTGCAACCCCTCTGGCCCATCCCTACCATAACTCAAGGGGTCTCCTCAGCGGTCCCCTTGTCCTGGTTTAACATCCTGTTTTTCCCAACTTTAAACGTCTACCTCTGGGCATAACCCTTCCTGCACAGCCTTCTACGGCTTTCAGCAGCTCCGCTGCCCTCCCAGGCGAGACTCCGCCTCACCCTCAGCTCCGTGGAGACAAAGACGCTCGGGCTCCCCAGTGCCGCCCGCTCTGCAGCACCTCTAAGCCTCGCACGTGCAGGTCCCTGACAGGAGCTCCCCCGCCTCACAGCACCGCGGACACCGGTACCCCACACAAGAACGCTCCTCTCTTTGGGACACAGGGGCCTGACCTGCAGGGCCCCTCCTCGGGGCTTCGGCACTCGGAGGAGGGATCGGGCGGGGCGCCCTGGGACGCGGCACCCACCTCAGTCAGGTTCATCGGCGCAGCCTCCGCCAGCACAGCCAGGGAAGAGCGGGGCGGGAGCGGCAGTGACCTGGACGCTGACAGAGGCACCAACGCCTGCAACCGATTCAACCGAGCCTCACTCTAGCCTCTGTACAACGGGGAAACCTTTTCTCGCGTTTTTCCGCTTTTTCACCTCAGTCTCGACTCAGCCTGAAGGTGAACAGATCCCAACGCAGCCATATTGACAACCCCAGGAGGCGTTGCAGGAAGTCCCGCCCACACGCATTGCGAACCCCCGTAGACGCCGCTCTGCTAGGCCTTCATTGGCTACACTCGCTGCTTGTGTCCGCCGCTGTGTCTTTTGGGTAATGTAGTTCCCAGGCCACTGCCTGCCCCGCTTCTGAACTTAAGTTAACTCGCGTTCAGGATGAAAGCCAGGAGGATCCTCCTGAGGCTTTGAGAAATGCAGTTGCGGGGCTCCAAGGACGTGGAGGGGCTTCATTGGCTTTTAAACGGCAAGCATCCAGATTTTCCCGGAAGGCAGTCTAGAACAAGTCAGAGAAATGTTTCAGAGACCTGTCCTTTCAGATTCTGTAAAGCACAGCAAGTTCCCAAAAGACGAACATCCGAAGGAACATGGCCAACCATAAAGAACTGGTCTTCCACGCATAGCGGTCAGCTCTTTTGTGCTTGCCAAATACACACAGAACGAAGCTCTGGAGACTGTTTTATGATCTTCAATGTGCTCTGCTGGGCACATTGAAAAGACCCAGACATGGCATGATGGGGAGTTTGAGGAGTAATATCTTTCCTTTCTGAATAATCAGTTATTGTCTTTCAGCCTACCCAGCAACACTTTATTCACATGATACTTATTACTTTATATCTGAGATATTTTCCACTTATTTTAAGAGACTGAAACCTAACTGAAAAGGAAAAGCGACTTATCTACCATTATCTGCCAGAATAGTGTGGCCTTCCACCAGTCAAAGCCCTTGTGCAAAGAAAGCATCTTACTCCTGAGATAAAGGTTTGGGAATGCATGATCTCATCTCATTAGTGGAAAGTGATTTATCATTTCGCCTGAAATTGTATCAACAGTGTCTGCACAGGGAGTTGAAATTGTCTCTGAATAACTCTTGTGAAATGGCTATTACTGAAACTATTAATGACGATTATGTAGATATCCAAAGAAAGTGGCAAAAATAGTTATAGAGAAACATATTTGTGATAGGAGGAAAAAAGCTAAGGTTGTCCTGGAACCTTGGACACACTCAAGTTTGGTGTCCAAAATCTGATTCTTTTTCAAACTTGAAAACATTGTGCATTAACAGCTTGAAGGGAGAGGTAAAGACTATATATTAAAAGAGTTACCAGAAAAGTAAAGCTGAATAGGGAAACTGTGCTGTCGTATTTATTACTCTAACATATTTGATGAACACTCATTCGATGCCAGGTACAATACTAAGTGCATGGGACACATTAGGAGTAGGGTTGCTAGCTGTCTGTGGTCCTCTAAGACACGTAAGACGTATTTAATGAATTAGTCCTCAGTCCTGTATTGACCTTGTCAGGTCACTTTAAATGTCCTGTATTCCGCTTTTTACAATAAATTACAAAACCTCAGAAGTTAGAGCTATTTTTCTACCACTATAATTGTAAATTAAATCACTTAGCAGCTATGTTAGCTGAAAATCATACCCCCACAAATAAAGATATGGACATAGTCTTGTGATCTCTCCTGCAGAATTGGTGAGGGAAAAATAAAATGGAGCACTGAGATATTCAGTAAAGGAGAAGACTGTTTTTTGGCCAAAGTCTTGAAATTTGGTTTATCAAATTACAAAAAGAAGGAAGGAAGGAGAGAGAAAGAAGGAAACGAAAGGAAAAGAAAAAACCACCCAACTGAAGGTCTGGAAGAGTTAAAGCTGTTCAGTAGTGCCAGCTACATGGAAGTTAAGACGGGAGGATTACTTGAGTTCATAAGTTCAAAACCAGTTTGGGCAATATAGTGAGATCCCCGTCTCTGAAAAAACTGAAAATTAAAAACATGTTAATCATTTACCAACAATACATCCCTACCATCCTACAATTCTATTTCTAGATATTTACCAACAGAAACTAAACAAACTTTTTTTTTCTTTTTTTGAGATAGAGTCTCTCTCTGTCGCCCAGGCTGGAGTGCAATGGCACGATCTCGGCTCACGGCAACCTCTGCCTCCCAGGTTCAGGCGATTCTCCTGCCTCAGCCTCCTGAGTAGCTGGGATTACAGGCATGGCCACCACGCCTGGCTGATTTTTGTACTTTTAGTAGAGACGGGGTTTCACCATGTTGGCCAGGCTGGTCTTGAACTCCTGGCCTCAGGTGATCCACCCGCCTCAGCCTCCCAAAGTGCTGGGATTACAGGCATGAGCCACCTCGCCTGGCCCAAACATCCATCTAACACTTGGTGACAGGCCACATATCTTTGTGTATGTGTATGTATATATATATATATATATGGAGAGAGGGAGAGAGAGAGAGTCTCGCTCTGTTGCCCAGGCTGGAGTGCAGTCACACGATCTCAGCTCACTGCAACCTCTGCCTCCTGGGTTCAAGCAATTCTCCTGCCTCAGCTCCCGAGTAGCTGGGACTACAGGTGTGCACCACCACACCTGGCTAATTTTTGTATTTTTAGTAGAGACAGGGTTTCACCATGTTGGCCAGGCTGGTCTTGAACTCCTGACCTCATGATCCACCCGGCTTGGCCTCCCAAAGTGCTGGGATTACAGGCATGAGCCACCATGCCCAGCCCTTTCAACATATTTTATTAGGTGTTTCGCTACCTTTTGAAATTCCACTTTCATGTAATGAGCGGCTGTATGGTGACAATGGCCCAGGAGGCTCTGGACAGTGAGTGGACATTCTCTCCTTATGTCCCCACAAGGACCTCGTCTTGTTCAATGTTCCGACGTGTTTCCACTCATTCCTGTTCCTCACACTTCATCACCCCACCACTTGTAGACAACAATTCTAAAGGTCTGTTGTGTGTTTTTGTATTTACATGTGTTTTAGAAAGAGGAGCACTGTTACTTTTTGTGTAGTTTAATTGTACTGTACTATAGACTTCTTTCTCCCTTTGTTGGTACTCAAAATGTGTGTTTAATATGTATATATACTCCTGTGTCAAAGTCTACTTAAATGCTAGTAACTGCCCTGTTGTACTTTAGTGTGGACATTCAGTCTTCTACTTCACTCATAGATGTCTTTGGTCCTCCTCTTACACTTAATGCTACAACATATTGTCTCCATGTCCCTGCTGCCTTGAACAGTATTGTGAGAAAACTTCTCTCACATAAGAATTTATGGACTTGACTGAGAGATATACCAGAAACAGGCTTTCTGTGTCACATGATATTCTAGAAAATCATTTTTTTTACAGTACCTGTGCAGATTGCTTTATGAAACTGCTACAGTCTTTGACTCTTCCATGAAATATACATGATTGCAGCTACATCACCCCATATTTCTTTCCATAGTATAGTAATTTATAGAACTTAAAGTAACATGCAATAATATCTAATTTGCATTTCTCTGACACCGAGTTTGAATATCCATTCATATTCTTGATAACCATCTGATTTTTCTCTCTTGTTTATTGTATGCTCGTGCTTTAGTTCATTTCTAAGATCTCTGACTTTATTCCTTTAAGAAGAATCTGAAACTTTGGCTGGGCACAGTGGCTCATGCCTGTAATCCCAGTACTTTGAAAGGTGGAGGTGGAAGGATCATTTGAGTCTAGGAGTTCGAGACCAGCCTGGGCAGTATAGTGAGATCCCCGTCTCTACCAAAAAAGTTAAAAATTAGCCAAGCATGGTAGTGCGCACTTGTAGTCCCAGCTACTGGGGAGGCTGAATGGGAGGATTGCTTGAACCTGAGAGGTGGAGGCTACTGTGAGTGAAGATCACGCCACTACACTCCATCCTAGGTGAAAGAGACCCTGTCTCAATAAAAAAGCAAAAAAATCTAAAACTCGCATGCCTAAAACCGTAAAACTGGGCACATTTAGATATTTTAAATGTCTTCTCTGAGTCCCTGAACTCACTCAGTTTTGACTCATAATCTTTATGAAATAGAAAGCTTGAAATTTAGATGTAATTATATTAATTTGTTTTTTCATGTAACATTTTGTGCACTCTGGGATCAAAGAAAGACTTATCAGAGGGTAAATTCTGAGATCATTTTGTAGGTCTCACTCCAAAATTGTTTCCTTTCCATTTTCTATTTCTTACTCCCTGTTGACCTTTGTTAATTTTAATTTTTTCTGACATGAGTAGCTTAGTTGGAGGATAATATGAGATGGTGCTTATGAATGCTCCTAACTCCGGGCATGTCACATCATAGGTATTAAATATAAATAAAGTTTTTCCCTCTGTTCTTTCTGTATTATTGTATCTTCATTTCTTTTTCTTCTCTCTCCTTTTCTTTAAACTCCTAGTTTTGCCTGTTTTTTTCCCCATACTCTACCTTTAATCAGTAGGAGACAAAAATTCTAAACATCCCATTCTCAATTGCAAAATAAACTTTTAAAATCCCCCAGAGATTGCACAACCTAGTCCACCAAGTGAAACACCTGAGCACTCCTAGGGCGCTGAGGTTAGGCCTAAATACCCTACTGCACCCACTTCAGCCATCTCCTGCCTACAAGCGCCATCTGCTGGTCTAGTGGCTGGCCCACAGAGCCCGCTGCAACCACTGCTAATGAGCACAGCAAGTGCGACCCAGAAGAGTTTCGCACCACTGCCACCACCATCACGGATGCCACACCAGCAGCCCAGGGGCTCAAGAGTGCACTCACATGCTTGGTACACTGCTATCACAACCAGCATCTAAGAAAGCCAACCAGAGGCCCAAGAATCGGCCTGCCTAGAACTGCCAACACAGGTACCAACATTCAGCACCGCAAAGTACAAGGATAAACATACATAGCTCACCACCAGTACTGCTGAAGCCTGAAGACAAGCTCATCTGGCATTCTGTTCCCAGCACAACTTTACCAAAACCTCCACTAATAACTAACAGTGTGCACCCTAACACACTTGAGAAAACCACTTGAACTGTTTAAAGCCAAGGAAATCATAAAAAAAAAACTTTACTGCTGCATGCACTCAGAAGTAAAGCTAAAGTGCCCTACTCAACCAAAATCATTGATACATCTTCAAAACCCCCACAAACAACAGTAAATTAAAAAATAGAGAGATAAACTATTTTTTAAATTTGTTTAAGATGGAGTGGCCAGGCACAGTGGTTCATGCCTGTAATCCCAGCACTTTGGGAGGCCGAGGCGGGCAGATCATGAGGTCAGGAGATCGAGACCATCCTGGTTAACACGGTGAAACCCCGTCTCTACTAAAAATACAAAAACTTAGCTGGGCGTCGTGGCGGACACCTGTAGTCCCAGCTACTCGGGAGGCTGAGGCAGGAGAATGGTGTGAACCTGGGAGGCAGAGCTTGCAGTGAGCTGAGATCACACCACTGCACTCCAGCCTGGGTGACAGTGCAAGACTCTGTGTCAAAAAAAAAAAAAAAAAAAAAAAAGATGGAGTTTCACTCTTGTTGCCCAGGCTGTAGTGCAATGGCGCAATCTCGGCTCGCCACAATCTCCAACTCCTGGGCTCAAGTGATTCTCCTGCCTCAGCCTCCTGAGTAGCTGGGATTACAGGTGCCTGCCACCACGCCCAGCTAATTTTTGTATTTTTAGTAGAGACGGGGTTTCACTGTGTTAGCCAGGATGGTCTCGATCTCCTGACATCGTGATCCGCCTGCCTCGGCCTCCCAAAGTGCTGGGATTACAGGCGTGAGCCACCGCGCCTGGCCCAAGACTGAGTAATTTTTAAAGTAAAAAGGTTTAATTAACTCTGTTAGTTAAACGCAACCTATATACAACCCTCTTGTTTCACAGTGGAAGAACCCTGTCAGTTGCAGAGGACAGATTTATTAATTCACCAGGCATGACATGACACACTTCAACAGAATAAAAAAGCACTCATGTAGCTTGAAACAAGGAAGATGTTCCGACACACAGGTGATGGGGCAGCACGGGCTATGTAGGCTTTTTATCTTTAGGGAAGGCTCAAGGCCCATCACTATGTAGATGATGCAACTATGGTTTGAAATTTATAGTCCAGGGAGGCTACAGGAATTCATAAAATCATTGATTTAGTTGTTCTGACATTGACCTTGGCTACAGGAGGTACACAGCTCCTTAGGTCTTTGGAATTCCTGTAATACCCCACCCCACACAGCCATAGCTACCAGGGCATTTGTGAGTGCTCCTTTAGAGGGGACTCATCCACTCTACTGCAGTCTCTCCCATGTCCTATTAATCCAACCACTATTTATTATAGAATATGGCTTCTGGCCAGGTGCAGTGGCTCACTCCTGTAATCCTGGCACTTTGGGAGGCTGAGGTGGGCGGATCACGAGGTCAGGAGTTTGAGACTAGCCTGGCCAATATAATATGGTGAAACCCCATCTCTAATAAAAATACAAAAATTAGCCGGGTGTGGTGGCGTGCACCTATAGTCCCAGCTACTCGGAAGGCTGAGGCAGGATAATTGTTTGAACCCAGGAAGCGAGGTTGCAGTGAGCTGAGATCATCCCACTGCACTCCAGCCTGGGCAACAGAGCGAGACTACGTCTCAAGAAAAAAAAAAAAAAAAAAGAATATGGCTTCCATCTAGCCCTAAAGGTCAACAGCCAGGAACATATACCTAGATAGTGTTTTACTTCAGGACCCATAGCTTCCAGCAGGTCACAAGAAACAGCTATCCCTCATCAATGCAGGGGAAATATGGGAAATATGGGTAGGGATACCCAATGCATACTGTTGCCCAATGCCTTAAACATCAAGGCAACTGTTTTCTCCTCAAATTGTACTTTTCTGAATACAAATAATCTTTGTACTCAGGGCTTGAAATTTTGTGCAGAAGTCCTTCAGACTTTCCCAGGAGGCTTCTCATGGCAATGCAAATTGGCCCAAATCTGCATACGAGCTGATCTTTTGCTTCCTACTAGTCCCTCTGGAGCTCACAAAGTAAAGGTCCCACAAAAAACCATTCATGCTTTTATTCTAGCAGAGACCAATTCTGTTCAAAACCCACTGCATACGGTGACTAGATTTCCAAGAGTTAAGGTAGCTTAAACAATGTGACCTTTATTATCACAAAACCAACCAGGGTATGTGTGTGCATTAGGGGTGAGAAGGAGTTCACAGTGTGGGTGACTGGCAGGTTGGAAAATTCCATCCCAAGTGTCATGATGACACAAGATACTTTCAGTGCCACTTCACCAGGCAGAAACCTCCATGGCTGAAGCACTTCTGCCCAGACATCACTTGGCCTGCTGGACTCACTCAACTAACTCAGTCCGACAGGCTGTGCTTGGCTCATGTTACCAGCCGGATCCTGTGCCCACCATGGCTCTGTGCTTGGCCTACAGCTGGTCCAGGCGTGCTGCGACCGGCTTCTGCCTTGGAAGCTGGTATCTGGACAAGGGGGACATGGCAGCGCCCAAAAACTCAGAGACGCCAGCAACCACAGAGCCCCAAGGGGTGTTACAGCTTTTGCTCAGGGAATCCCAAGGTCTGAGCCCCAAGGAAGCATTACAGCTCATTTGTGTTACAGCTTGTCTGTTCCCACCATCCACACACTTCAGTGAATGGGGGTGTGTCACAGCTTGTTTGGTCCTGCCACCCTGCTCCAGCCCATGGCTCATGGGCTGGCCTGGCCCTGCTGCCGCTGCTTCCTGTCACATGGGGTGGCTGCCTGGGGCTGGTGGAAGGCAGGAGGGCTACAGTGTTACAGCTCCTTTCACACCCGCCATTTGGCAGTTTCCGAGTTCTTGTCCCATGACCAAGAAGAATGATGTTATGTGGACACCAGAGAGTGAGCAAGGCAGGGAACTTTATTGAGTGGCAGAAAAGCTCTCAACAAGAGGGGACCTGAAAGTGGGTAGCCCAATGTGTAGCTGGGCCCAGGGTTTTTATGGGCTCAGAATGGAGACTGCATACTGATTGGTCCATGGGTGGGCCTGGAAAAAGCACCATTTGATTGGCTAAAAGGCATTGAGGAAGTTCTCACTCCAGTCATGGACTCTACTTGGAACTGGCAGCTCAATTTTCAGGCTTTAAACTGTCGTTGGCTTGAAGTTTGGGTTTCACCAGGGACCCGTCCTTAGTCTGCCTAGCAATGTATCTGCCTCCTACCACTATCAATGAGATAACCAATACTTTCCCCTGGAGAAAGGAAATTTCTGCAATCTGCCTGCCAAAGCCAGTCCATGTCTTCTGTCCAAGGCTGATGTCTATGCCCTAATCAATCATAGGAGGGGGGTGAGGACTCCAAAGTGTTCAAGTGACTAGTGAATTCTTCAGATAGAGAACACAGCATGCTGCCATAACTGCATTTTAATGTGACTAAAATGCTACACACCATGGCTCTTTGCCAGTTGGTAGAAAAGAGATGACATTTTTAAATAGGCACTGGCAGGGGCATAACTCTGGGAAAGGCCCCAGTCAAGTTGAAAACTGCAACACAGTTCACAAAATCTTCCCATATATCTGGCAGTACAGACAATATCCCTAGTGTGGATGTTCAGATGCAGGAGGCTCAACTGCTGGCTCTCTCCCTAAAAAGCTAATCTCCAAAGCATTGCTCTACTGAGTTATCATGTTAACAAGGAAAGATGACATTGCCTTCACTTCTACTTTTCTCTAGGGTGAACATGCTGGCACGAAATGAGGTTATGCTAATGGCTAAAGATTTTCCAACATTCACTAGATTCATAATACTTTTCTGGGTTCTTCTGATAGCAAGAAACAACCCAATGTCACTTGGATACACAAAATCAGAACAATTTATTACCTATAGCTAAGAATGAGAGAACTTGGGTAGGGTCCCACAGAGGGTTGCATCTGAAACACAGTAACAGCAACCTGAGGCTGCAGGGGACAACTTAGGTAAGGCAAGCGGATTGCATTAGCTACGTTTTCCATGTTCCCCATGGATTGGCTAATTTGAGTAATTTGGGCTGGAATACAGCAGTCTGGAGTGTGAAAGCCCACTAGCCTTGTCCTCAACACTGAGTCTCACACACACACACCTAAAATGTGTGGTACTGACATAAAGACAGACATATGACCAATAAAATAGAGAATCCACATATAAACCATGGCATATATGGACAAATGATTTTGACAAGTGTGCCAAGACTACTCAACAGAGGAAAGATGCTCTTTTCAAAAAATGGTGCTTGGAAAACTGGATAGCCACATAAAGTGGACTTTTGCCTTAAACCATATGCAAAAATGAACCCCAAGTAGATTAAAGATCTAAATGTAGCCAGGCACAGTGCATTACAACTCCTGCCTGTAATCTCAGCAATTTGGGAGGCCGAGGCAGGGGGATCACTTAAGGCCAGAAGTTTAAGACCAGCCTGGCCAACATGGCAAAACCCCATCTCTACTAAAAATACAAAAATTAGCCAGGTGTGGTGGTGTACACTTGTAATCCAAGCTACTTGGGAGGCTGAGGTGGGGTGATGGCTCGAACCCAGGAGGCGGAGGTTGTAGTGAGCTGAGATTCCACTACTGCACTCCAGGCTGGGTGACAGAGCAAGACTCTGCCTCCAAAAGAAAAAAAAAAAAAAGACCTAAATGTAAGACCTTCAAATATAAAATTCTTAGAATAAAGCATAGGGAAAATGCTTGGCATTGGATTTGATACTAATTTTTTTTAATATATAACATCAAAAGCCCAGGTAACAGAAGTAAAAATAGATAAAATGCACTACAGTCATCCCTTGGTGTCTGTGGGGGACTGATTCCAGGACCCCTTGTGGATACCAAAATCATCTGATGCTCAAGAGGTCCCTCACATAAAAAGGCATAGTGTTTGAATATAACCTACACACATCTTCCTATATAGATTATCATTAGGTTATTTATAACTTCTAATACAATGTAAATGCTATGTAAATATTTATTATACTATATAGTTTAGGGAATAATGACAAGAAAAAATGTCTGTTCATGTTTAGTACAGATGCAACTACCCTTTTTGTTTTCCAAATATTTTTGATTAATGATCACTGCAATCCATGGATGCTCCAAATACTTTTGATCCATGGTTGCTTCGATCCATGAATACAGAACCCACAGACAGAAAGAGTCAACAGTACATCAAAACTTAAAATTTCATCAAAGGACACAATCAACAGAGCGAAAAAGCAACCTATGGACTGGGAGGTAATATGTAAAAAGCATATATTTGGTAAGGAGTTAATATCCAGAATGTATAAAGAACTACAACTCAACAACAAAAAGCAAATAGTCCCATTAAAAATGGAAAAAAAAGACTTGAATATTTTTCCAGATACACAAATGCCTAACAAGCACATGAAAAGATCCTCAACATCATCAATCATTCACAAAATAAAAATGAAAGACACTATAGATTCCACCTCACATCCAACAAGATAGCTGCTATCCAAAACAAAAGGCACTACAAAAAACCCCAAAAACAGAAATAGAAAATGAACAATGTTGGTGAGGATGTATATAGATTGCAATCCTTGTGCACTGCTGGTGGGAATGTAAAATGGCACAGGTACTATGGAAAAATTTTCCCAAAAATATTAAAAATAGAAATCCTGGCCAGGCGCGGTGGCTCACGCCCGTAATCCCAGCACTTTGAGAGGCCAAGGCAGGCAGATCACAAGGTCAGGAGATCAGGACCATCCTGGCTAACACGGTGAAACCCCGTCTCTACTAAAAATACAAAAAAATTAGCCAGGCGTGGTGGCAGGCACCTGTAGTCCCAGCTACTCGGGAGGGTGAGGCAGGAGAATGGCATGAACCTGGGAGGCGGAGCTTGCAGTGAGCCAAGATCACAGCACTGCACTCCAGCCTGGGTGACAGAGCAAGACTCTGTCTCAAAAACAAACAAAAAAAAAAAATAGAAATCCTATATGATCCAGCACCACCATTTCTGAGTATATACCCTATAAGAATTGAAAGTAGAATCTTGAATAGACACTTGTACACTCATCTTCATAGCAGCATTATTTCAATAGGCAAAAGGTGGAAGTAGCCCAAGTATCCACTAACAGATGAATGGATAAATAAATGTGGTATATAAATACCATAGAATATTATTTCACCTAAAAAGGAAGGATATTCTGACACATTATACAACATGGGTGAACCGTGAAGACCTTATCCTAAGTGAAATAAGCCAGTCTCAAAAGATAAATACTGTAGAATCCACTTATATGAGGTACAAATATATATCAAATTCATAGATATCTATTGGTACCTCATATAAGTACCATAGAGTATAGAAATATAGTTGAGACATTTCTGGGGAAGTAGGGAAGGGGAATGAGTTGTTGTTAATGGGTACAGCATTTTACTTCTTGGTAAGAGGAAAAATGTTCTGGAGATTAGTTGCATAAAAATGTGGAATTTATATAACATTACTACCCAATTACAATAGTCAATGGTAAACTTTCTCCATTGTGAAATCTCTGATGTTTAATGAGGTTGGAGTTTTAGCTAAAGAATTCCCCACATTCATGGAGCACACAAGCCTCTCTTCACTGTGGATTTTCTGGTGATGAACCAGGTGAGACTTTCTAATAAAGGCCTTCTGGCATTCGCTGCACTCATAAGGTCTTTCTCCACTGTGGATTTTCTGGTGCTCAACAAGTATATGCTTGTGGCTAAAGGCTTTCCCACACTCTCTGCACTCGTAAGGCCTTTCTCCAGTGTGATTTCTCCAATGTTTAATGAGGTTGGAGTTGTAACGAAAGAATTTCCCGCATTCGCTGCACTCATAAGGCCTTTCTCCCGTGTGGACTCTCTGGTGTCTAATGAGCCTGCAGTGGTACCTAAATGATTTCCCACATTCACTGCATTTATAAGGCCTTTCTCCAGTGTGATTTCTCCAATGTTTAACAAGGCTGGAGTTGTACCTAAACAATTCCCCACATACACTGCACTCATAAGGCCTTTCTCCAGTGTGAATTCTCTGATGTCTAATGAGTGTGGAGATATACCTAAAAAATTTCCCACAATCATTGCACTTATAAGGTCTTTCTCCGGTGTGAACTCTCTGATGTTTAATGAGTGTGGAGCTGTCCATAAAGAATTTCCCACATTCCCTGCACTCATACGGCCTTTCTCCGGTGTGAACTCTCTGATGTCTAACAAATGTGGAGCTGTACCGAAAGAATTTCCCACATGTGTTGCACTCATAAGGCCTTTCTCCAGTGTGAACTCGCTTATGTCTCATGAGTCGGTAGTTGTACATAAAGGATTTTCCACATTCTCTGCACTCATAAGTCCTTTCACTAGTGTGAACTGTCTGATGTTTCATGAAATTGGCACTGTACTTAAAGAATTTCCCACATTTGTTACATTCATAAGACCTTTCTCCTGTGTGGATTTTCTGGTGCTCAACAAATGAATAGCTGCAGGTGAAGGTTTTCCCACATTCACTACATTTGTAATCATTTTGTCCAGTCTGAAAGGCTTCTCTGTCCTCTGTGTCCCTGTATGGCTTCCACTCGCTTTGAGGGCCCTGGTGCTGGAGAAGGCATGAGGTGGCTGGTAAGTCCTTCCAGCCCTCCATGCATGTGAAGATCTCCTCTGCCATGTGAACTCTGTGGTTCTTCCCAAATGAAGGTATCCAATCATCCCCTCTGGAAAGATTTTCTCCAATTTGCTGCTTTGGGTGCTGAAAAAGCTCTGCCTCACAAATATATATGTGTTGCTCAGGATGAATTCCATTGTGCTCAACCAGGCACAGAATGTCTTTCAAGGGTGGGCCACATGTCTCACTAGGGTGGACCTTCTGGCTGGACAGACAGGGCTTTGAAGCTGTAACCTCTGACACTCCTACAGAAAAACCTTGCTGTGAAGGTGCCTCCTCATCCTCAGCTCCATGCCAAGAACCTGTCAGAACAGAAATGCTGGAGAAGTGCATGTTGACTCTGGTGGGAGGAAGCAGCTCCATCACAAATGTGTGTCAGGCACACACACAAATAAGGCCATGGGATTGGGGACATCATGGACATTAAGGCCAGTGAGAGGAGGGTCCACTATGCAGGGCTGGGCCTGGCAAGGCCCCATAATGGGAGAGCCCTGATGATGGTAAGCATACAAGGGAGGGGTATGGTACAGAGAGAGAAGGCAGGGTCTCCAACTCACTCCTCTGAAAACAGCCATCAACAGGCCATGGTTGCTGGAGACTGGCAAGCAGTGTGTAGAAGGTTCTCTCCAAACCCAGAGAGATCAGACTGTGACAGAGGAGCTTGTGTTCAGGGATACATGCAGACCTCACACCATGTTAAATACAGGCCACGTGTTGGCAGGCATTCAAAGGGAGCAGTGGAAAAGAATGGTTGAAGGGTGGTGGCCCCAGAAGTACAGACTGTGGGGCATTGGAGGTGCAGGGGCCAGGAGTCATACTAGAAATGATAATGGGGAAGAAAAGGTAGAAATCTGTGGCCAGTGGCCCTGGCAACAAACAATGGTGAACACAGGACAGGTTCCCAGGGTGATTTGACCCCAGCTGTGACATCAACCCTTTTCCCAATTCCCAGGCACCAGGGCCATGTCCCTGAGCCTCTAATGCCATTGTTGAAGTAATATCCACCCTCTCAGGTGCCTGGGGCCCTCTCTAGGGGAAAGAAAGAGAAAAAGAGTAAAGAGCACATGCCCAGAGAGATCAAGCCCATGGCATCCCACATTCTATAATCGTAAGAACTTCACAGAAGAGTCCTGCGTCCTGCATAGTCAACTCAGCAGTCCCCAAAATCAGTGACCAGGGCAGTGCCTGAAATTCCAAGCACAGGAAGGCACCAAGAAATATCAGTGAGAGAAAGGGGACAACAGAACACAGGTCTCATGTGTTTGGACAGAGTAACCTGACCAGGGACAGACAAGGCTGGTGGGGTCTCTATGCCAAATTCAACATTTCTGGCTCTTGAGCCCTTTCTTGTAAGCCTCAGAGCAGCAGGGATGGGGATGCTAGGAAAAAGGGGGTATAAAACACACGGCCCAGCCCTGCCTCCCACAGCATATATGCCAAGAAACAGGGAAAAGAAGCAGCACCCACGGTCTCACTGTGGGAAACGCAGAGCTGCCTTTGGGTAAAAAGGGGTAACACAGCCTAACCCAGGACACTGGGCAAGTGTGAGGGCCTTACCTAGTGAGGACAAAAGGGCCAAATTCTCCAGCATCACATCACGGTACAGCAATCTCTGAGCCTCATCAAGGTGCCCCCACTCCTCCTGGGAGAAATATATGGCCACGTCCTCAAAGACCACACGGCCCTGCCAAATTGGGAAAGATGAATACATAAGCAGCTTCTTTTCAAGCTGTATTTACTTAAGTTCTCTATTTTCTACTTATATTTACCACCCATTAAACACAGGGCCAAACTAACAGCCAAATGTGTTTCCATCTCCCCTACCACCCTGGGCCCATATTCTCAAACCAAGCCAATATTTCCCGTACTCTAAATCAACCCAGGGCCAGGTACTGCAAAACTAGGGACAGTCCCAATAGCCCAGGTGTCCTGGAATTATTTAAACTAGCCAAACTATCCTGACGCCCAGCCCTGCATTGCTTTCCCTTGGAAACCCCAATAGCGTCCGTGGACTAAACTAAACTTTCCCCTCACTCCAATTTTCCTCCTGACCAAATCTGGTGCCTCACCATGTGGCCCTGTGTTATGTGGTATGTACCCCCCTTGGGGAAATGCAAGGAATAAATATCTTCTTTCAGTCATTGGCCTGTCCCCAGCATCAATCACTCACATCCATAAATTAAAACCCAATAGGTAAAATGACTGCTACATTTCTCTCTCCAGGATCTCATCGCTGTCCCCTACGCCTCCATTCCTTGCTCAATCTCTTCCACACCCTCCCAATGTGGAAGAGAAACCACATCCAGGTGGCATGAGTGACTTTTCTCTCCATATTGACATTGGCCACCGTGTCCAGCACACAGAGGAAACAGATGGAAGATAAGGTAGAAAAGGAATGTGGGCCTCCCGTGGGGGGATCCATCCTCTCCTGCCAGCCAGTTGCCATGGAGTCACCCAGATCTTGCCTCCCAAGACAACCAAACTCAGACTCATCCTCCTCCCTTGAGCTACCAGGGCCAGGGCCTGAGGCCCTCCATTCACACTCCTCCTGCCTGCACATCACTCTTTGGACAGCACTCCAATCCCATCTCTCACACCTCCACTCCAGTCAATTCCACAGACAACTCCCAGCCCACACCACAGGCATTTCCTTCACCTCCTAACAGGCCACTCTGCACACGGAAACCAGGTGGTGCACGGCAAATACGCTCAGCATCCAATTCATTCCCAGTCCTGCCCCAGAACACCAAAGTCCCCTAGCACCGGGGGCAGCCCTAAGCCCTGGGTTGAAGGTTCCCTACACGGCCCTGTTTCTCACTTCACTGTCAGCTGCCCAAACCATGTGAGGACTTCCCATACTCTCAGCTGTGTCCTGCCTCATGGTACACTCTGTCCCATAAACAGTCAGGAAAATTGCTCTCCACCAAAACCTCATTCCAAGCCCAGCTGCACTGACCTCCATATTTCCACTCCTGATATGGTTTGGCTCTGTGTCCCCACCCAAATCTCATGTCAAATTGTAATCCCCACGTGTCAGGGGAGGGACCTGGTGGGATGTGACTGGATCATGAGGGCATATTTTCCCCTTGCCTTTCTCATAATAGTAAGTTCTCACGAGATCTGGTTGTTTAAAAGTGTTTGGCTCTTCCCCCTTCATTCTCTCCCTCTCTCCTGCTCCATCATGGGAAGATGTGCCTCGCTTCCCCTTCACCTTCCGCCAGGATTGTGTTTCCTGAGGCCTCCCAGTTATGCTTCCTGTTAAGCCTGAAGAACTGTGAGTTGGTTAAACCTCTTTTCTTCATAAATTACCCAGTCTCAGGTAGTTCTTTACAGCAGTATGGAAACGGATTAATACAACTCCCATCCTCACCTCCTCCCAACTGATAGTTAGCAACTCTCCGACCTCACCCTATTATCCCCCCTCAGCAACCCCATCATGTCCACTCTCCTTCAGAAGTCTTTCTCACTCCTATACCCCACCATCTCACATACACTCATCCCCACAAACACTCCATTCCCTCATTTGTCTAGTGACTCCTCCACCACTGCACAGCTACCCAGTAAGAGACCCAGTTCTCATGCCCCATTCCAATTCTCTGTCTTCGAACAGCACTGCCACCATAACCTAGAGATGCTGTCACCTAAACTGAATCCATGGCTTCATCCTGGTCCATACGACAGCCACCATAGTGTGGACATCTCCAACCTGAACTCCTCCATCAGGAGTCTCTGAGACATCTGTGGCTTGAACAAACACTGACTCCTCACACTCACTCTGAAAATTCCTAATACTGCTGACTTCTCCCATCTTAGCTGATGGAGCATCTATGCTTCCAAACAAAAACCATGGGGCCACTCCTGATTCCCCTTCTATCCCACCTCCCCAGCTGCCTCACTCTCTGTATCATAAAATGTGGGCAGCTCTAGTTAAAACTGAAGCTATGACCACTCTTGACAAGCCACCACCAACATCCACCTAGACTGCTGCAGGAACATCCTCTCAGATCTCCCTTCCATTACCCTCACCTCCACAGTCTGTCCTCCACTCAGAAGCCAAAGAAAGTCTCTTAAACTGGGGTCCTATCACTACCTATTTTGCTTCAAATCTTCCCCGTCTCCCACTTCCCTTAGATTACAGACCCAGGACCTAGGCTGTCATTCCAGGCCTGATGTTTGTGTGCCTCTAGCCACCTCCCATTCTGCTCCGTATTCCTACCAGATGTAACAGACATTTGCAGTTCCCTAAAAACCTAGCTCAGTCTCTCCTCCAAACATTGAAACATTCTGAATCCTGTGCCCAAGAGGCCCAAACATATCTTATCAGATCAATTCTCAAAAACGGGGACCAGTCTATGTAACCCAGCAGCCAACTTGTAATACTGAAACTAACTGGTGAAACCACTCACCCTTCAGACATAAGAGAAAGACAGGAAAAGAGGTTTTGTCACCTGCCAAAACCATCTGGGAGATAACCAGGGTGGGTGAATAGTAGGAAACACTCTACTCACCTGTGTAGGGTCCATTTCTGCCATCGCCAGGGGACCCTGAGGGAAGAGAAAGGCCGTGAGAAATTGACAGCCATGGAAGGATCCTTCAGGCTGAGATGGACCACCACCTCGTCTGCCCTGCCTGGGAGCAAACTGATCTCAATTCATTGAATAAAGTTCCTCAGGCCTCAGTGCTGCAGCTCTGTGACCATGGAAAAGAACCAAACCCACCTGAGCTTCAGTGTCTCCATCTGTAAATAGATTGCAAGAATAGCTGCCCCCTCACAGGGCTCATATTAGTATCAAACATCAGTAGCATGTACTATATATATCAGCGGCTATGGTCCAAGATTAATGGTTTTGTACATGAGTTCAATGCAAATGAAAGAGTGGGGTTTTGAAATTTTCATGTATGTTTTTAGCTTAAGATTTTAGAGGATGCGATATTAACTTTTTCCAAGGAAAGCAAACGAGATAAATTAACATCAAACCAATTATGAACCACTTTCTCCCCTCCCCTCCCCTGCCCTCCCCCCTCCCCTCCTCTGCCCTCCCCTCCCCTCCCCTCTCCTCTCCTCTATTGTGAGACAGAGTTTTGCTCTTCTTGCCCAGGCTGGAGTGCAATGGCGTGGTCTTGGCTCACTGCAACCTCCGCCTCCTGTTTTCAAGCAATTCGCCTGCCTCAGCCTCCTGAGAAGCTGGGATTACAGGCATGCGCCACCACACCCGGCTAATTTTGTATTTTTAGTAGAGACAGGGTTTCTCCATGTTGGTCAGGCTGGTCTCGAACTCCCGACCACAGGTGATCCACCCACCTCGGCCTCCCAAAGTGCTGGGATTACAGGTGTGAGCCACCACACCCGGCTCACTTTTAGAAATTTAACATAATGACTTCACTATTAACTGCCTATCTGTTTGCACACACTTAGAAAGATACTGTCTAATTGGGGTTTAAATCAATAAGTGTTTCATACATTATTAAGTTAATGAGTTATAGAGAAGGGAAGAGTAGGCAGGTCAGGTACTGGTCCTTTCTGCAACCAGGTCTACCTGCTACATAATCTTCTAAAGTGAGCTTGCCAGGAGACCTTGGCTGGAGCAGTAGATCATCCCCTGTAGCCCTGACATGTAGAGAAGGGGAAAAAGCAGTGCTCTGATCTGGAACCCAGCTACTCCACCAGCCTCAATAACATTTCTCTTGTTCAACAGAGAGTGGCCCTGAGGGTCAACCAAGCCTGCAGGTGCAGGATCGAAACCACCTCACACTTCAGCCTCCATCCCAGGCCATATGCTTACCCAGTCCAGGCCTCCCTTTTTACAGATGCAATCCAGAATCCCTGTTATGCCAGGTCTGCACCGTTCTGGACAGAGTATGATGTCTGTGGAGCCACCAATGGTCTGGCCCCCAAGTCTCAGCCCCCTGTTCTCTCAACACAGAGCCCACCTGAAATGACAACCTCAAGATTTCCCTCAAATTAAGTCCATCTGACTTCAAATTATACTACAAGTTGTTAGTAACCAAAACAGCATGGTAATGGATAGAAATAGACACATAAGGTGTACAGCTCAGTGGTAAAGCATTTGACTGCAGAAATAGACACATAGATCAATGGAACAGAACAAAGTTCCTAGAAATAAAGCCACATATCTATAGCCAACTGATCTTTGAGAAAGGCAACAAATATGCACACTACGGAAAGGACACACTTTTCAATAAAATGTGCTGGGAAAACTGGATTGCCATATGAAAAAGAATGAATCTGGACCAATTTCTCTTGCCATATACAAAAATCAACTCAAGATGAATTAAAGATTTAAATGTAAGACCTGAACGAAGAATACTAAAGGAAAACTCAGGGAAACCCCTTCTGGACATTGGTCTAGGCAAAAAAATTCATGAATAAGACTTCAAAAGCATAAACAACATAAACAAAAGTAGACAGGACCTAATTAAACTAAACAGCTTCTGTATAGCAAAAGGACTAATCAACCAAGTAAATGTACAACCTGAAAAATGGGATGAAATATTTGCAAACTATGCATCTGACAGGGTACTAATATCCAGAATTTACAAAGAACTCAACAACAAACAAACAAAACATAACAAAAAAACAACAACAAAAAATCTCATTAACAGTAAGCACAGGGCTGGGCGCGGTGGCTCACACCTGTAATCCCAGCACTTTGGGAGGCCGAGGCAGGTGGATCACCTGAGGTCAGGAGTTCAAGACCAGCCTGGCCAACATGGTGAAACCCCGTCTCTACTAAAAATACAAAAAATTAGCTGGGCGTGGTGGTGGGCACCTGTAATCCCAGCTACTTGGGAGGCTGAGGCAGCAGAATTGCTTGAACTAACCTGGGAGGTGGAGGTTGCAGTGAGCCGAGATCGCGCCACTGCACTCCAGCCTGGGCGACGGAGCGAGACTCCATTTCAAAAAAAAAAAAAAAAAAAAAACAGTAAGCACAGGGCAGACATTTTTCAAAAAGAAGACACATAAATCGCAAGCAGGCATATAAAAAAATGCTCAACATCATTAATCATCAGACAAATTCAAATTAAAACCACAGTATCTCCTTACACCAGTCAGAATGGCTATCATTTAAATGTCAAAAAACAACTGATGTTGCCCAGGATATGGAGAAGAGAAAAAGGTTACACACTGTTGGTGAGAATGTAAATAAGTACAACCTCAATGGAAAACAGTATGAAGATTTTTCAAATAACTGAAAATAGAACTGCCATTAAATCCACCAATTCCACTACTGGGCATCTACCCAAAGGAAAATAAATCATTACATTAAAAAAAACATGTATTTTTATCACAGCACTATTCACAATAGCAAAGATAGGGAATTAACCAATTATCCATCAATGTATGACTGGGTAAAGAAAATGTGGCATATATATACACAAGGTAATACCACTAGGCCACAAAAAAAAAAAAAAGCATGAAACTATGTCTTTTACAGCAATGTGGATGGAACTGGAGGCCATTATTAAATGAAACAACTCAGAAACAGAAAGTCAAATACCAAATGTTCTCACTTACAAGTGGAAGCTGAATAATGTGTACACATGGACAAAGAGTGTGGAATGACAAACATTGGAGACTCCAAACAGGTAGAAGGATGAGACGAAGATGAGTGATGAAAAATTACTTAATGGATACAATGTACATTATTCAGGCGATGGATACATTAAAAGCCCAGACTTGACCACTATGCAAATATATCCATATAACAAAACTGCACTTGACTCCTTAAATTTATGCAAACAAACAAACAAAAAAAACCCGAGACCGACCTACTCAATCTGATCCTCAGACCATTCTCTGGCCCAGTCCAAGCCCTCCATCCGTCTGGTATCGCCAACCCAATCCCCTTCCTCAGACTCCACACCTTTATGTCCACCTGTCTGTGTGACATATCCATCTTGAGACATTTGAGAATCACCATGTCCAAAATCCAACCTGTGATCTTCTCCCGGAAATCTGCTCTTTATGCTGACTTCCCCAACTCCATTCTTCCAAACGTTCAAACAGAAAACAAAAAACAAAACAAACACTTGAAACGGTTCTTCACTGCCTTTGTTCAGACATAACTGAAGCACCAGGAAAACCTACGGGCCCTATCTTTCAGGCCTATGAAGAATCTCATCACATCTCCCTCTACTGTCACTGGTCCAGCCCCAACCATAATTCTCCTGGGTCTACTGCAGTGGCCTCAGGGCCTTTTCGCGTCTCCCTGTGTCCATTCCTAACCTGGTTTTCCTAACTTGAAACTTCGAACTCTGGACCTGCCCCCTCCAACTGTCCCTCCCTTGACAACCTTCCATGGTTACTGGCTGCTCAGGTTGCCATTCCAAGCGAGAATTCACAAAACCCTCTCTTTCCCGCAGAAACAACACACACCCCTGACGCCCCAACACAGCCCACTCGGCAGCGCCTCCATGCTCTGAACCTGAGGTCCCTAACGGGAGCTCTGAGGCTGCATCAAATCGGCTGATACGGGGACCCCACACAGGAACGCCCCTCTCTTCGGGACAAGGGGCCTGACCTGCAGGGCCCCTTCAGGGGGCTTCAGCACTGGGAGGACCGGTCGGGCGGGGGAGCCTGGGACGGGACACCCACCTCAGTCAGGTTCATCAGCAAGGCCTCCGCCAGCCCAGCCAGGGAAGAGCGGGGCGGGAGCGACAAAGGCAAGACAAGGACGCCACTGTCCCCAGCGCTTGTCAGTTGACTCACTCCCGCCTCTCCGTGGTGGGAACCGAGCCGCTTCTCGCGCTTTTCCGTTCCGTCACTTCGGTGACGTCAGACAGAGCCATAGGCCGAAGTTGGTGAAACACCACACAGAACCAAAACGACCACCACCAGGAGGACGGCGGAAGTCCCGCCCTCCGACGGTGCGCACGCACGCAAACGTCCCCTTCTAAGCCTTTATTGGGTAAGTCGTGCCGCCGAGAGCTGCAGTGTCTTCTGGGTTATGAAGTTTCGACACCGCTTCCGGACTTGTCTTAGAGCGTTGATCAGTCCTTATATGGCAGATAAAGGCCCAGTGGCACTGTCAGGGGAGCTGGGAAACGGAGTCCCCGACTCCAAAGACAGGAGGGGGCTTGGCTTGCTCTTAAAGGCAACATACGGTATTTTTTTGGATTGTAGTATAGGATATTTACAGAAATGTTAGCAACTTATTACTTAAGACTCTATTAAGCACAGCTAATTCCCAATAACTACAGGTCCAAAGAGACACCCCATACCATAAAGGCAGTCTGCCTCTACTCATGCCTGCCAGCCATATTATTGCTTTTCAAATACACATACAGTTACGCTTTGGCGTCTGTTTAGTAAGCTTCAATATGTTTGGTCCAGAAGAAGAAAGAAAGACTACGCAGTTAGGGCTATGGACTGGAATTTGTAGGAAGGATGACAGGAGACGCTGAAGTAGGTTGAAAGGGTGAAGCTATGCCTCTGGATCAAAGAGAATACATCTTACCTGACTGTAGAGTCAGCGATTGTGTTCCTACGAAGGGTGCAACGCTTTTATTCTAATAATACTTACTACTTCATATCTGAGATATTTTCCATTTATTTTAAGAATCACAATCCTATCTGAAAATGAGAGTGACGACCAAAATGAGTGATTGAGGCATAAGTCACAAATCATGGAGGATTACTGGACCAGCCTAAGGGCACATCCAGAAAAATGTAAGTCACAGAAGCATCTGTGGCTGGTTTTTCCAAAGAGGTTCTTAGGAGGTTTAGTATTTATTATACATTTTCCTTAAAAAGGAAGAGGGGTTGGCAGTGAGACAAATGATTACAGACATGTGAAACTTTAGTTAGTGCCCAGTAAATCTACATTTTACATAAGATAGAGTAAACACGTGAGGGGAAAAGGGAATAAAGAAGATGTCTCAGAGAAGGATGAAGGAATGAATAATCTCATCTTCTCTCTGTTCTGTACCTTGGAAGATAAGCTAGTAGTCTTCTGAAAAGGTTGATTTCTATTTAGCCCTTAGGGAAGAAAACCTAATGATTGTAGTGTGGTAGGGGATATAATGAGGTGTGTCTGATTTCCCGTTCCTCTATAGTGGTGAATTCAGCTTCCAAAGTTATTCTAGGGTTCTCATGGTCAAGAGGGCATCCATTCAGTCAGTTAGGGGGTGCTTAGAATTTTATTTTTATTTCTCAAGAGCAGCTGATACATGCCATTTCTGGACAACATTGTCTACCGTTTTCATAGTTGAAGCATATGCACATCTTATCCTCAAAAAAGGTGTGGAATTCCATGATGTTATCTTCTTCCTCAGAAGTGATTTAAAATTTCACCTGTGTTTACAACTGTATTTGCACAGGGAGTCGAAATGTGAAAAACACTTGTGAAATAAAAAAATTACCGAAATCTATTAGTAATTATGTAGGTTATTCCAAAAGAAAAAAAACCAGAAGCCCTAGAGAAATCGATCTGTAATGTGAGAAAAAGATAAGATCTCAATGTTTGAGTGAGAGACAGCAAATTCTGAGAAGTCAGAGAATGAAGTTGAACCTGTGGCTCTGCTGGACACTTGGACACACTATGCTTTTGTTTCCAAAATGTAATTTTTTTACACACTTGAAAACATTGCTCATTAACTGCTTAGAGGGGTAAGTACAGATGATAAACTGAAAGACTTGCCACAGATAAAAATGAATAGAGAAGCTGTGTGATAATGTGTATTTACTTCTCTAGTAAATGTTCAATGAGCACATATGTATTGGGTTTCAGATCAATGATAGGTGCATGGGACACACTGGGAATAGGTTTCCCAGCTGCTATGTGTATACAGGACTGTTCTATGTTTTCTTAGATTCTGTATTTGTCTGTTTGATATTCATTAATCACAGGGTCAAACTAATAGAACCAAAGTTGTTTACTTTTTTTCTTGCAAGCCACTTACTCAAGTGCATGAAACTCATATAAAACCCCCCAACCACAAACACTAAAATGTGTTTTTCCTTCCTGCCCATCGACGGTATCTCTACCTCATCATTCTCTGCCACTTTAGTTATAAAGACATACTTCCAGTTACTCTGTTTTCTCTTTCTGCTTTCCAGTCTCTGTATGTAATAAGGTTTCTTGTGGCCTGTGTGGTGTTCAGTGCCTCTTATTTCCAGGGAACTGTAACATTAATCTTTTCTTTTGATGGCAGTGTCCCCTCTGTGTCATTGCTAATTATTAATTAAGACCTGGGCACAGTTTAAGAATATGACCTATATATAACGATTTTTCCTGAATCCTGTATTGACTTATCAGAATGGCCTACATATCCTACATATCAGCTGGTTGTAATATATTACAAAGAATCACCAGTGGGAGACACATTTTTCTCAGACTGTAACTGGCCGTTAAATTACTCATTGGCAACATGAGTTGAAAATCATATCCTCACAAACAAATATCTAGATAATACTTATGATGTCTTAGTCCAGTTAGCGTTGCTATAAATGAATACCTGAAGCTGGTAATTTATAAAGAAAAAAATGTTTATTTGGCTCAAAATGTTGATGTGTGGAAAGTTTAAAATTGGGCATCTGCATCTGGTGAGGGTCTTCGGCGGGTTCTATTCATGGTGGAAAACGAAAGAGAGCTATAATGCGAAGGAATCATATTGCAAGAGAGGAGGACAGTGGGTGGGGAGTGTATCAGGCTCTTTTCAACAACCAGCTTTCTTGGGAACTAATAGAGTGAGAATTTACACATCTTCAAGTGGGGGTATTCAGGTAGGATCTACCCTCATGACCAGAACACCTCCTATTAGGCCCCACCTCAAACATTGGAAATTAAATTTCAACATGAGCTTTGGAAGAGACAAACATCCAAACCATAGCATATGATTTCTTACAAATTCTGGCTGTTGGGAAACCAAAAATGGGGAATGAGAATTAAGTTGCTGGCTTATGTTCAAGTAAGGAAAAAATTTATCTCTGCCCCAAATCCATAATCATAAACAAGAAACCACCATTAATTAGAGATAACTTGGGATGTGTACCTATGCTTTAAAAGTCAGCTAGTCAGCAAAAGCTTCACCCCAGTAATTAACCAGAAACTTAGCAAATCATTGTTAGGCCAAGATTCTAAAATTTTTCCAATGGGGGTAAGGCCCAGTACTAAAGATGGTCAATCAGTGGCAGCCCCAGGCTGCTGGCAACAACTAATCCACAAGTGCCTCCTGTCAGTAATCCTGTTTATGAAAGCCAGTTGGTAAATGGTTGCATTTACACTAACATACCTGAAAGTCCATCAGTCTTTCAACTCTGCTGCTTCTGAAAGTCCTCAGTCCCTGAAGGCCAGCCTTCCTAAAAGCTCATATAATAGCAGTTTTGGCTTTGTTTGAGGAGACTGCCTGACCACTACAGCTCTGCCCTGCAGACAAATAGGAATATCACTTTTTTTCCCTTGAGATATCAAAATCTATTTATTCTTTTTTTTTTTTTTGAGACGGAGTCTCACTCTGTCGCTGGGCTGGAGTGCAGTGGTGTGATCTCGGCTCACTGCAACCTCCGCCTCTCCGGTTCAAGTGATTCTCCTGCCTCAGACTCTCAAGTAGCTGGAACTACATATGCACGCCACCACGCCCAGTTAATTTTTTTGTATTTTTAGTAGAGACGGGATTTCACCATGTTGGCCAGGATGGTCTCGATCTCTTGACCTCATGATCCGCCTGCCTCGGCCTCCCAAAGTGCTGGGATTACAGGCATGAGCCACCACGCCTGGCCCCATTTATTCTTAATTGAATATAAATTATTACTTATATTTTAATTATATGAATATAATTTAAAAGTTTGCAAGCTTTCAATGGTTCCATCTGTTTGTAATTAGTTATGAGTTTGGATATGAAATGGTAGACTAACTGACCCAGACATACATTGTAAAATCCAACGTTTTCTCCAGTGTTTTCTTTTTTCTTTCTTTTCTTTTTTTTTTTTAAGATACAGTTTCACTCTGTCACCCAGCTGGAGTGCAGTGGCGCAATCTCGGCTCACTGCAACCTCTGGCTCCCAGGTTCAAGTGATTCTCATGCCTCAGCCTCCCAAGTAGCTGGGATTACAGGCGCGTGGCACCATGCCTGGCTAATTTTTTGTATTTCTATTAGAGATGGGGTTTCGCCATGTTGGCCATACTGGTCTCGAACTCCTGACCTCAAGTGATCTGTCCGCCTAGGCCTCCCAAAGTGCTGCGATTACAGGCATGAGCCACTGTACCCACAATGTTTTTCAACTCTTGTAGAAGTTGCTATTGTCTATATTTTGAGTATATTGAATGCAAAAAATGTCAAAATGCAAGTTTATAATTTATGATGAACTGAGGAGTATTTAAAATTCCCTTTGAAGGTCTTCGACTCTATGTAATTGCCCATTGACTAATGAAAATGGTGGACAGTCAAATATATATTAACTTTGGAAGGTGCATGATTTTCTCAACTAGTTCCAAAGAAAGAGACAAAATAACTTTTTTGTTAAAATCAGATGGAGATGGTAGAATAATTATAATAGAGTTTGTAATGTTTTCTACACTGTTTATCATCATGAGTCTTTAGGCTCAGAATGCTACTGTTGAGTGTGTTTCTCATTAATGAATGTCCAATAGATAAAGGAATGAAATAAGTTGAATATGACAAATGACGAAGGTTTGTCACAACATAAATGGCATCAAGACTGTAACTGCAGGAATTCTGTAAGCAAATTATATAAAACAAGGAATTGTTAAGTAGAAGCAAATTATCAGGGAAAGAGTTATGTCATTAGAACTGTGATCCCCAAGCTTTTTAGTACCAGGGACCGGTTTTGTGGAAGACAATTTTTCCATGGATAAGGGAGAGGGGTTTGGGGGCAGATGGTTTCAGAGGCATTAGATTCTCATAAGGAGCATACAACCTAGATCCCTCTCTTGTGCAGTTCACAGTAGGGTTTGCACCCCTATGAGAATCTAATGCTGCTGCCGATCTGACAGGAGGCGGAGATCAGGCAGCAATGCTCACTCATCTGCCACTCACCCTCTGCTATATGGCCCCATTCCTAACAGGCCATAGTACTCATCTGTGGCCCCAGGGGTTGGGGACCCCTGATTTAGAATGTATTTCAGATAAACAACAAATAATTTTATGATGAGTATGTCACATACAATATTTATCTTTTATCTCACTGCACATATACATAGGGAATTAGAAATAATTCAAATTTAACCAGGTCAAGTATCAGTTACAAAATTTGACAATTCTTTTCATCGTAATTTTTTTCTGAACCTATGCATTATATTGAGCATCCTCATTTTTGAACCTAGTAACTCATTCACAGAATTTCTGCTACCCTTCTTCTTTTTTCTTTTTTTCTTTTTTTTTTTTTGAGACAGAATCTTGCTCTGTCACCCAGGCTGGAGTGCATTGGCGCGATCTCAGCTCACTGCAACCTCTGCCTCCCGGCTTCAAGCGATTCTTCTGCCTCAGCCTCCTGAATAGCTGAGATTATAGGCGCCCGCCACCATGCCCGGCTAATTTTTTTTTTTGCCCTGTCGCCCAGGCTGGAGTGCAATGGCATGATCTCAGCCCACTGCAACCCCCTCTTCCCGGGTTAAAGCAATTCTCCTGCCTCAGCCTCCCGAGTAGCTGTGATTACAGGCACGCACCACCACGCACAGCTAATTTTTTGTATCTTTAGTAGAGATAGGGTTTCACCATGTTGGCCAGGCTGGTCTCGAACTCCTGACCTTATGATCTGCCTGCCTCGGCCTCCCAAAGTGCTGGGATTACAGGCTTGAGCCACTGTGTCTGGCCACTTCTTCTTAATTGTAAATTCTGCTGGTTGGGGGCCCTTTGTTCCAAGGAAGGAGAGGTTCCACCAGAAGTAAATATTATTACATTTAATTGAAGGGTGATACAGCTACTTGTTCATCTGGGGATCCTTGTGTCACTTAAGCAAGAAGGGATTGCTTTTTTGCTTTGGATGAGTTAGGCTGAGTTGCTGCCATGGAATGGGAAGCATAGAGAGTTATGTCTGAGACCAGGGGATTTCTGGGGGATGTTTTGGTAAGTTCATGTTCAGAAATAAAACTAGCAACTCATCGAAGGGAGGACTTCTAAGAATCAGAAGTTTAGGTTTTGATATTTGGGGACATCCTCCAGGTTAAAAAACAAACAAAACCAAAATGCTACCCAGCTGAAGATCCGGCAGAGGCAGAAGAATGGGATGGTGGGGGGAGGGGGGAGCGGGGAGGAGAATGAAAAATCAATTTTCAACCTAAGACCAGTTAAGAAAACAAGAAATCTCAATATTATAGCTATCTTCCTTGTTTACATGTAAGAAATTGACTATAGAAATCAACAATGGCCAAGCCAAATATAAAACAGAACTCTAACCCACTACTGCACTGACCAGCTCAGGAAGCCAACCTGCTATCTACACTAACCAGATGAGGAAATCTCTCTCCCTCTCTCTCTCTCTCTCTCTCTCTCTCTCACTCAAGAGTTTTAAGAGGACAGATTTATCTCAGGTCTAAAATTCTGCCTTCTTTTGTAGTGCATTACCTGATATCATTGGTTTTGGGGGGTACCAGAGATTACTTTGTCCTGTGAAAGAACTTGACGTTTTTGTGCGTAATGGCTGTCACAAGCAAGAGCTGCAGTGTCAGAAGCAGCTGGTGGCAGTTGTTTACAGTAAATGGTTATTACGACAGGAGGCTACTCATTTCTTTGCATGTTTAGATATAAAAGGCATGCTCTAAACACTTACAAAAATGTCTTTACATCAACGTGCTCTATCAAAGTATTGTGCAGCCCAGTGCCATGATGTTTACTATGTGTTTTTTGTGAAGAAGCTTATATTTAAAAAATGAAGATGTGGTTTTTGCTAAAGAAAAAGTAATTCTGGGCCGGGCGTGGTGGCTCACGCCTGTAATCCCAGCACTTTGGGAGGCCAAGGCAGGCAGATCATCTGAGGTCAGGAGTTCGAGACCAGCCTGGCCAACTTGGTGAAAACCCGTCTCTACTAAAAAAAAATACAAAAATTAGCCAGGCGTGATGGTAGGTGCCTTAATCCCAGTTACCTGGGAGACAGAGGCAGGAGAATTGTTTGAACCCGGGAGGCAGAGGTTACAGTGAGCCAAGATCGGGCCATTGCACTCAAGCCTGAGGAACAAGAGTGAGACTTCTCTCAAAAAAAAAAAAAAAAAAGAAAGAAAGAAAAAAAAAGGAATTCTGTCTAGTTTAGGGGTTATGTAAAGGTCGTTTCAAAATGAAAGGAAAATAATGTAGATAAAAGTAAATAGATCTAGGACTGGGCGTAGTGGCTCAAGCCTATAATTTCAGAACTTTGGGAGGCTGAGGTGGGTGAATCACTTGAGGCCAGGAGTTTGAAACCAGCCTGGCCAACATGGAGAAACCTCATCTCTACTAATACAAAAATTAGCCGGACATGGTGGTGTGTGCCTGTAATCCCAGCTATGTGGGGGGCTGAGGCACGAGAATCACTTGAACCTGGGAGGTGGAGGTTGCAGTGAGCCAAGATCAAACCACTGCACTCCAGTATGGGTGACAGAGTGAGATTCTGTCTCAAACAAAGGTAAATAGATCTAAAAATTGGGGAAAGAGAAAAATAGAAAAAAATTTGTAAGAAGGTATAAAAGGTTTACGGAAAAATCTTACCTTGTGTGGTCAAAACCTGATTAAAATTGGATGGATTTGTTTATAAGACTTTATTCAAATTAGCTTTAGTATTGACAATACACAAATATAAAAATAGAATTTCGGCTGGGCGCAGTGGCTCATGCCTGTAATCCTGGCACTTTGGGATGCTAAGGCGGGCAGATCACAAGGTCAGGAGATTGAGACAATCATGGCTAATATGGTGAAACCCCATATCTACTAAAATATAAAAAATTAGCCGGGCGTGGTTGTGCGCACCTGTAGTCCCAGCTACTCAGGAGGCTGAGGCAGGGGAATTGCTTGAACCCAGGAGGCTGAGGTTGCAGTGAGCCGAGATCACATCACTGCACTCCAGCCTGGGCAACAGAGCAAGACTCTGTCTCAAAAAAAAAAAAAAAAAAAAGCTGGGTGCGGTGGCTCCACCTCTAATCCAAGCACTTTGGGAGGTGGAGGCAGAGGCGGGCGGATCACGAGGTCAGGAGTTTGAGACCAGTCTGGCCAACATGGTGAAACCCCGTCTCTACTAAAAATACAAAAATTAGCCAGGCAAGGTGGTGCACACCTGTAATCCCAGCAACTCAGGGGGCTGTGGCAGGAGAACCACTTGAACCCGGGAGGCAGAGGTTGAAGTGAGCCAAGATCGCACCATTGCACTCTGGCCTGGGCAACAGAGTGAGACTCCATCTCAAAAAAAAAAAAAAAAAAAGTAGAAGTTCATTTTCTATTTTGAACACAATTTACATATATTAATAAGAGATAATAAAGTTTTTTCTTTAACTTTTGAATAATCCTCAATTTAAAAATGGGTGGAGGATGAAAAACCTTTGATTCCTTAGTGGCCAAATGGCCATACATGGTATGGAACTGTGGCTGTCTGTGCTCAGTTACTAAAGGTAAGAGTTACCATGGAAATTTAGAGATGGATCCAGCTCCCAGGGAGTTGGTACACTGGATGCATAAGAAAATGCAAACTAATATGCAAAAAGCAAAATATTCAATCTCTGGTTCACTGGATGCATAAGAAAATGCAAGCTAATAAGCAAAAAGCAAATTACTCAATCCTTTGTTATCTATAACAGCTAAAAAAAAAAAAATTAGAGAGTGCTGGGTCCAAACTTGATGCTAGATCAAGCTTAGATTTCAGTCCATCTGAACGAAAGCCACCAGCCAGCCTAAAAGCCACCTCCCACCAAGGGCAGAATCATTTAGGGACAACAGAAAATGCCTCTGAGACCTACGGCTACCAAGAAGGTAGTCATTGTGGGGAAGAACAAAACCAAGTAACTATTCAAACCAGAGAGTATAATGTGAAGAACTTGTTTTACTTTATAGATTGAAGTAGTCAGTTTCCTGAGGAACCATTACTAAAATGGATTGTGAGAGTTAACTAATTAAGGGACAGCATCTTTGGTTTTAAATGCTGCTGGATGGAAGAGCACGTTTCAGTTGATGCAGAACCTGAAACCACCTTTGCAGAACTATGAATAATGACAGAAATCTAACATGACTGTCTTGCTTCTGACCTCACAGGCTAAATTTTTTTTTTTCTTATTTTAGCTCAGATTCACATAAGGAACACAACTTGATCCCTCGTATGCACAGTTCACAATAGCACCTTTGCTGTTTATGTGGCTCTATTACATGACACAGAACCTGGCTTACTCTAGAAAAATTAGATGGAATAACTTTGACAATAGACTAGTCAAAGAGAGAACCCAAATAAAATTCCCCAAATCCCATTTAACAGCAATCCCCAACCCCTAAACCACAGACCGTACCAGTCCGTGGCCTGTCAGGAACTAGGCCACACAGTGCCGCACAGCAGGAGCGAGCATTCCTGCCTGATCTCCACCTCCTGATCAGCGGCGGCATTAGACATCATAGGAGCACAAACCCTACTGTGAACTGTTACATGCGAGGGACCTAGGTGCACTCCTTATGTGAATCTAACTAATGCCTGATGATCTGAGGTGGAAGAGTTTCATTCCGAAACCATCCAGCCCCCTGCACTGCCATCCACAGAAAAACTGTCTCGCATGAAACCAGTTCCTGGTGCCAAAAAGGTTGGGGGACTGCTGTCATACAAGATCATTTAGAATTTGGCATAATTTTCAAAATGACACAACCCCTGATAGGTTCTGTGGCTTTGGCACCTAAGCTATTCTATCTGTTGCCTAGAACCCATTAAGAGGAATGCTCAATGGCATGCACACCCCATGATAGGTACACACCTGGAAAGCAGCAGTAAGAGCACAGAGGAATGGTCAGTGGCATGCACACCCCATGATAGGTACACACCTGGAAAGCAGCAGTAAGAGCACAGTCATTGGGACTGGATGGCCTGGGTAGAGGGCAGGTCCACAGGTAAATTGCTGTATTTTGTGACCTGACTTAAAGTCCTTTAAAATGTATTCTTACCATGATGTATTCTCATACAACATTATACACCACTAAATATCTACATAGATTGGGGGAGAAAATGATCCAAGGGCTACAGAATGCAATTGGTATTTTGCAAAGATTTCTGTTTTGTATCAAAGATGACAAGCTATTTCCTGGTTGTAAACACTGGGAAAAATTAACAAAATGAAAAGGCTCACAGGATAGAACATAGAAACAAGGGGTATTTACAGAGAAGCTCTGCATTGTTATAAAAATGGGATAGGACAGTTCTCAAAATGTAGTCCCTACATCAGCAACAACAAAATCACCTAGAAACCTGTTAGAAATGTTGCCTTCTATGGATTAGAATGAGGACAAATCACAACTTTTGTGGAATGTTAGGAATGTAAAACGGTGCAAGTTTTATGGAAAAGTTTCTCAGTTCATCAAAGAATTAAAGTTAGAAGTACCATGTGATCCAGCAGTTCCACTTTTTGGGGTACCCAATAAGAATTGAAAGCAGGGTCTCAAAGAGATATTTGTGCCCTTATGCTTGTAGTAGCAATATTCACAATAGCCAGAGGTAGAAGTAACCCAAGTGTCCATGAATAGATGTCAGAAATAAAGGAAATGTGGTAAATGCAAACAATGAAATATTGCTCAGCCTTAAAATTTCTGACACATGCTAAAAAATGAATGAACTTTGAGGATATTATCCTAAGTGAAAAAAAATAATGAAAAACACTCTAAGATTCTTCTTCTGAGAAGTACCAAGAATAGTCAGAGTCATAATGACTTAAAAATATGGTGGTCGCCAGGGACTGAAGAATGTGGGAATGAGTTGTTTTTTTAATGGTGGTTATAGAGTTTCATTTTACAAGATAAAGAGTTCAGGATATTCTTTGCTCAACAATGTTAATGTACTTCAAGTATTAAACAAGACATTACAATAGTTAAGATGGCAAATTTTATGTGGCATGTACTTCACCATTGTTTTTTAAAAACCATATAATACTAGTTCTCAGTGCTAAATCACAGATTTCTGGGTGTTGTTCGTCATTTTGGCTACATTCAAGGCACATACGTGGCCTTTTTCCAGTGTGAACTACATGATGTCTAAGTAGTGTGGAGTAGTAGCAAAATAATGTCACACATTTGCTGTACTCAGAAGACTTTCACTAGTGTGGATATTCTGAAGCCCAATAAGTACAATCTTGCATGTTGAATCTTTACCACTTTCTACTTTATTGAAAAGACTCTTCTTCAGTGTAAACTCTCCAATGTCTAATGAGATGAGAGTCAAACCAAAATAATGTCCCGAGTTTGCTGAACACACATTTCTGCAGTGTGAATTCTCTGATACATAGCGACTGGAGAGCTGTACCTACATAATTACCCACGTTCACGGCATTCAGTCTTTCTCCAGTGTGTACTGCCTGCTGTCCAGCCACAATATGTTGGTGACTGAAGGCTTTCCCATATCCACTGCATTCATAAGGGCCTTATCCAGTGTGGACTTTCTGATGTCTGAGAAGTGTAGAGTTATACCTAAAGAATTTCCCACATTCACTGCACTGCTTTGCTGCAGTGTGAACTGTCTGATGACAAATGAGGTGGGACTTTGTAAGGAAGGCCTTCCCACACTCACTGCATTCATAAGGCCGTTCTCCAGTGTGAACTCTTTGGTGTTGAATGAGGACGGATTTCAAGCTGAAGAATTTCCCACATTCATTGCACTCATAAGGCCTTTCTCCAGTGTGAACTCTCTGATGTCTACTGAGTGTAGACCTTTCCATAAAGAATTTCCCACATTCACTGCAACCATAAGACCTTTTTCCTGTATGAATTCTGTAATGCCTAAAGAGGTTTGAGTTGCACTTAAAGAACTTCCCACATTCACTGCAACCATAAGGCCTCTTTCCAGTGTGAACCCTCTGATGTGTAATGAGTGTGGAACTCCACATAAACAATTTCCCACATTCACTGCACTCATAAGGCCTTTCTCCAGAGTGGATTGTCTGGTGACGAACAAGGTGAGACTTACAAAGAAAGGCTTTCCCACATTCATTGCACTCATAAGGCCTTTCTCCAGTGTGAGTTCTCTGATGTCTATTGAGTGTGGACCTTTCCATAAACAATATCCCACATTTGCTGCACTTATAAGTTCTTTCTCCAGTGTGGATTTTCTGATGGTCAGAAAGTTTATGTTTGTGGCTAAAGGCTTTCCCACATTCACTGCACAAGAAGGTCTTCCCTGCCATGTGAACTCTGTGGTTCTTCACAAATGTCGGTCTTCCTCCATCCCCTCTAGAAAGTTTCTCTCTAATCTGCTCCTTTTGGTGCTGGTGAAGATGTGCTGGACACGTGTACAGTCCCTGCTCGGGGTGTGTTCCGTCATGCTCAGCCAGACGCAGAATGTCCTTCAGAAGTGAGCTACATGTCTCACAGGGCTGGGTATTCTGGGTAGATAGACAGGGCTTTGGAGCCATGACCTGTGACACTCCTACAGAAACACCTGGCTCTAAAGGTGCCTCCTCATCCTCAGCTCCATGGCAACAACCTGTAAGAATAAAAATGCTGGTGAGGTGCATGTTGACTGTGATGAGCGGAGGCAACCCCATCACAAATGTCAGTCAGACACCCCATGAAAATGATCATGGAATTGGTGACAGGCATGAACCCTGGTACTGTGGCAGGCCAGGTCTCACTAACAGCTGAGCAGGCAGGCTTCCATGACAACGGTTTCAGCACTGACTGAGTGGTTAAGTTGATTAAAAGCTGATAGAGCCAGTGCCCTCATGTACAGGCTGGAATGTAACAAAAGCCCACCAAGAGTTTTGCCTAGGCCTTTCCTGGGCCTTAAAGGATGAAAAGATAATGAAGGAATTCTTAACAGGACTCGTTTAGGATTAAATACATTTTATTGGGGGTCTGAAGAAACTCCCCAGGCCTCCACGAATAAGTTTATTGGGGTTCTAAGGAAACTCCCCAAACCTCCATGATTTAAAAGGAGACAAGATAAGGGTAATCACCCCAGCACCTGGACCCATTTAGATTAAGTAAATTTACTGAGGCTCCAGAGGAAGGTCTTCAGGACTCAGATCTTGGTTACAGAGAAGTTAATCACTTATATCTTTAGATGAATGCAAACCCACATGTAGACAAATAGCTTAGAAGGTATATAAGCTCTGCAAAACTTTGTAATTTTGAGTTGGTTTGGCAATAATTTCCAGGCCTTCTCCCTGTAACCGGTTACAGAAATAAAAACTCTCTTTTTCCCCAGTTCATCTGCATCTCATTATTGGGCTGCAAGAATAAGCAGCCCCACCCTCGGTTTGGTCTGGAAACAATATGGTTAGGCTCTGCGTCCCCACCCAGATCTCATCTTGAATTGTAATCTCCATAATCCCCACGTGTCAAGGGTGGGACCAGGTGAAGGTAACCGAATCATGGGGACGGTTGCCCCATGCTGTTCTCATGATCATGAGTTCTCCTGAGATCTCATGGGTTTTATTTATTTATTTTGAGACTGAGTCTTGCTCTGCCGCCCAGGCTGGAGTGCAGTGGCACGATCTCTGCTAACTGCAACATCTGCATCCTGGGTTCAAGTGATTATCCTGCCTCAGCTTCCTGAGTAGCTGGGATTACAGGCACGTGCCACCACGCCTGGCTAATTATTGTATTTTTAGTAGAGATGGGGTTTCACCATGTTTGCCAGGCTGGTCTCAAACTCCTGACCTCAGGTGATCCGCCCTCCTCGGCCTCCCAAAGTGCTGGGATTACAGGTGTGAGCCACTGCACCCGGCCAATCTAATGGTTTTATAAGCATCTTGCATTTCCCCTGCTTGCACTCACTCCATCCTGCTGTCCTGTGAAGAAGATGCCTGCTTCTCCTTTGCCTTCTACCATGATGGTAAGTTTCCTGAGACCTCCCAACCATGCGGAACTGTGAGTCAATTCAACCTCTTTCCTTTATAAATTATCCAGTCTCGGGTATGTCTTTTTTTTTTTTTTTTTTTTTTTTTTGAGACAAACTCTCATTCTTTCCCCGAGCCTGGAGTGCAGTGGCTTGATCTCAGCTCACCGCAACCTCCGCTTCCTGGGTTCAAGCAATTCTCCTGCCTCAGCCTCCCAAGTAGCTGGGATAACAGGTATGAGCCACCATGCCCGGCTAATTTTTGTTGTTGTTGTTATTCTTAGTAGAGACGGGGTTTCGCCATGTTGGCCAGTCTGGTCTCAAACTCCTGATCTCAAGTGACCCGTCCACCTCAGCCCCCCCAAGGTGCTGGGATTACCGGAGTGGGCCACCAAGCCTGGCCAAGTATCGCGTATCTCTTTGAGACAGAGTTTTGCTCTGTCACCCAGGCTGGAGTGCAGTGGCACGATCTCAGCTCATTGCAACTTCCACCCCCTGGGTGCAAGTGATTCTCTTGCTTCAGCCTCCCGAGTAGCTAGGATTACAGGCACCTGCCACCATACCCGGCTAATTTTTGTATTTTTAGTAGAGATGGGGTTTCACCATATTGGCCAGGCTGGTCTCAAACTCCTACCTCAGATGATCCACCTGCCCCAGCCTCCCAAAGTGCTGGGATTACAGGAGTGAGCCACTGTGCCCAGCCAGGGTATTTCTTAATAGCAGTGTGAGAACGGACAAATATAGTAAACTGGTACTGAGGTAGTGAAATACTGCTGTAAGGATACCCGAAAATGTGGAAGTGACTTTGGAACTGGGTAACAGGCAGAGGCTGGAACAGTTTGGAGGGCTCAGCAGAAGACAGGAAATGTGGGAAAGTTTGGAACTTCCTAGAGACTTGATGAATGGTTTTGATCAAAATGCTGATTTAGCAATATGGGCCATGAAGCCCAGGCTGTGGTGGTCTTAGATGGAGATGAGGAACTTGTTGGGGACTGGAGTAAAGGTGACTCTTGCTATGCTTTAGCAAAGAGAATGGCAGCTTCTTGCCCCTGCCCTACATATCTGTGGAACTTTGAACTTGAGAGAGATGATTTAGGGTATCTGGCAGAAGAAATGTCTAAGTGCTAAAGTGTTCAAGAGGAAGCAAGGCAGAAAAGTTTGGAAAATTTGCAGCCTGGCTATGCAATAGAAAAGAAAAACCCGTTTTCTGGGGAGAAATTCAAGGCTGCTGCAGAAATTTGCATAAGTAACGAGGAGTGGAATGTTAACCACGAAGGTGATGGGGAAAATGTCTCCAGTGCCTGTCAGAGACCTTCCCGGCAGCCCCTCCCATCACAGGCCCAGAGGCCTAGGAGGGAAAAATGGTTTTGTGGGCCTGGCCCAGGCTGTTCAGTGCAGCCTCAGGACATGGAGCCCTGCATCCCAGCTGCTGGCCCTGGGTCCCCCTGCTCTATGCAGCCTCGGGACATGGCGCCCTGCATCCCAGCTGCTTCAACTCCAGCCATGGCTAAAAGGGGCAAGGTACAGCTCCAGCCATTGCTTCAGAGTTTAAGCCCCAAGCCTTGGTGGCTTGCACATGGTGTTGGGCCTGTGGGTGCAAAGAAGTCATGAACTGATATTTGGGAGGGAACCTCCACCTAGATTTCAGAGGAGGTATGGAAATGCCTGATGTCCAGGCAGAGGTTTGCTGCAGGGGTGGAACTCACGGAGAACCTCTGCTAGGGCACTGCAGGAAGGGAAATGTGGGGTCGGAGCCCCCACACAGACTCCCTACTGGGGTACTACCTAGTGGAGCTATGAGAAGAAGGCCACGTCCTCCAGTCCCCAGAATGGTAGATCCACCAACAGCTTGCAACGTGTGCCTGAAAAAGCCAGAGACACTCAATGCCAGCCCATGAAAGCAGCTGAGGGGGGGTCTGTACCCTGCAAAGCCACAGGGGCAGAGTTGCCCAAGACAGTGGGAGCCCACCTATTGCATCACTGTGCCCTGGATGTGAGAGATGGAGTCAGAGGATATCATTTCAGAGCATTAAGATTTAATGACTGCCTCGCTGGGTTTTGGACTTGCATGGGGCCTGTAGGCTTTGTTTTGGCCCATTTCTTCCATTAGGAATAGGTACATTTATCCAGTGCCTCTATCCCCATTATATCTTAGAAGTAACTAACTTGCTTTTGATTTTACAGGCTCATAGGCAGAAGGGACTTGCCTCATCTCAGATGAGACTTTGGACTTGGACTTTTGGGTTAATGCTAGAGTGAATTAAGAGTTTGGAGGACTGTTAGGAAGGCATGATTGGTGTTGAAATGTGGAAGGGACATAAAATTGGGTGGGGGGGGCCGGGGTGGAATAATATGGTTAGGCTCTCTGTCCCCACCCAAATCTCATCTTGAATTGTAATCCCCATAATCCCCACGTGTCAAGGGTGGGACCAGGTGGACAGAACTGAATCATGGGAACAGTTTCCCCCATGCCGTTCTCATGAAACTGAGTAAATTCTCATGAAATTTGCTGGTTTTATGTGTCTGGCATTTTCCCTGCTTGGACTCATTTGTCTTGCCGCCCTGTGAAGAAGATGCCTAGTTCTCCTTTGCCTTCCGCCATGACTGTAAGTTTCCTGAGGCCTCCCCAGCAATGGGGACCTGTGAGTCAATTAACCTCTTTCCTTTAGAAATTACCCAGTCTTGGGTATTTCCTAATAGCAGAGTGAGAATGAAGTAATACAAACACTAAGGCCAATGAGAAGAAGGCCTGCTGTGCAGAGTTGGACCTGGCAAATACCCATAATGGGAGAGCCCTGATGATGGGTAAGAACACAAGAGAGGGGTACAGTGCAGAGAGGAGGAGGGTCTCCAAGTCACTTCTCTGCAAATGGCTTTCCACAGGCCATGGCTGCTGGTGACTAGTGAGCAGTGTGTAGAAGGCTGTGTCTAAACCCAGAGAGATCTGATTGTGACAGAGGAGATGGTGTTCAGGGACTACTGACAAATACATGCAGACCTCACCTTAAGTACAGGTCATGCAGTGGATGGCACTGCAGAGGGAGCAGTTGAAGAAAATAGGTAACGGCTGGAAGCCAGGGATTAGAAGTCAGAGTAAAAATGACAACGGGGGAAGGAAAAGAAGAGTGAGTTGTGGCAACCAGTCTTCAACTAAACAACAGGGGTCACCAGACAGATTCCTAGTAATATGACCCCAGCTGTGATATTACACCTTTTCCCAACTCCCAGGAACCAGGATCATGTCCCTCTGAGTCTCTACAGCCCTTCAGGGAGTAATATCCACCCTCTTGGGTACCAGGGCCCTCCCCATTGCTTAAGGTGACAGTCTGTGAGACCTGAAAGAGACCAGTCCTAGGGGAAAGACACAGAAAGAGACAAGACAGCACATTCCCAGAGAGATCACCTGATGATATCTCACATTCGATAATCACCAGAACTTCACAGAAGATTTCTACATCCTACACAATCAAGCCAGTGGTTCACCAAATTAGTGATCAGGTCAGTGCCAGAAATTCCAGGAACAAGAAGGGACCAAGAAATATTGGCAAGAGCAAGGGAACAACAGAGCACAGAGGTCTCATGCATTTGAATAGAACACAGGGCCAGTGGGTCTCTATGTCACCTTCAACATTTCTGGATCCTGAGCCCTTTCTTGCAAGCCTCAGAACAGCAGAGGATGGGGCTGCCAGGAAAAAGGAAGCACACAGCACATATTGCAGTCCTGACTCTCATGGAACATATGTCAGGAAACAAGGAAAAGAAGCAGCACCCATGGTCTCACTGTGGGAAACGCAGAGCTGCCTTCAGGTAAAAGGAGACAACACAGCCCAACCCAGGACACTGGGCAAGTGTGAGGGCCTTACCTAGTGAGGACAAAAGGGCCAAATTCTCCAGCATCACATCACGGTACAGCAATCTCTGAGCCTCATCGAGATGCCCCCACTCCTCCTGGGAGAAATATATGGCCACGTCTTCAAAAACCACATGACCCTGCCAAATTGGGAAAGATGAATACATGAGCAGCTTTTCAAACTGTATTTACTTAAGTTCTCTATTTATTTTCTACTTATATTTACCACCCATTAAACACAGGGACAAACTAACAGCTAAATGTGTTTCCATCTCCCCTACCATCCTGGGCACATATTCTTAACCATCTCCATCTCTAACTTTCTCAAACCAAGTCAGTATTTCCCATGCTCTAAATCAACCCAGGGACAGGTACTGCACAACTAGGGACAGTCCCAATAGCCCAGGTGTCCTGGAATTACTAAAACTAGCCAAACTATCCTGACAGCCAGCCCTGCCTTGTTTCCCTTGGAAACCCCAACAGCATCTGTGGACTAAACTAAACTCACTCCAATTTTCCTCCTGATCAAATCTGGTGTTTCACCGTGTGGCCCTGTGTTATGTGGTATGTAACCTCCTTAGGGAAACGTAAGGAATAAATATCTTCTTTCAGTGTCATTGGCCTGTCCCTGGCATCACTCACTCACATCCATAAATTAAAACTCCATGGGGGCCAGGCACAGTGGCTCATGCCTATAATCCCAGCACTTTGGGAGGCTGAGGCGGGCAGATCACCTGAGGTCAGGAGTTCAAGACCAGCCTGGCCAACACAGTGAAATCCCATCTCTACTAAAAATACAAAAATTAGGTGGGCATGGCGGCACATGCCTGTAGTCCTAGCTACTTGGGAGATTGAGGCAGAACTGCTTGAATCCAGGAGGTGCAGGTTGCAGTGAGCCAAGATCATGCCACTGCACTCCAGCCTGGGTGACAACACAGCAAGACTCCATCTAAAAAAAAAAAAACAAAAAACCCCAATGGGTACAATCACTGCTACTTTTCTCTCTCCAGGAACTCATCCCTCTCCCCTACACCTCCTTTCCTTCCTCAATCTCTACACCCTCCCAATGTGGAAGAGAAACCACATCCAGGTGGCATGAGTGACTTTTCTCTCCATATTGACATTGGCCACCGTGTCCAGCACACAGAGGAAACAGATGGAAGATAAGGTAGAAAAGGAATGTGGGCCTCCCGTGGGGGGATCCATCCTCTCCTGCCAGCCAGTTTCCATGGAGTCACCCAGATCTTGCCTCCCAAGACAACCAAACTCAGACTCATCCTCCTCCCTTGAGCTACCAGGGCCAGGGCCTGAGGCCCTCCATTCACACTCCTCCTGCCTGCACATCACTCTTTGGACAGCACTCCAATCCCATCTCTCACACCTCCACTCCAGTCAATTCCACAGACACCTCCCAGCCCACACCACAGGCATTTCCTTCACCTCCTAACAGGCCACTCTGCACACAGAAACCAGGTGGTGCACGGCAAATACGCTCAGCATCCAATTCACTCCCAGTCCTGCCCCAGAACACCAAAGTTCCCTAGCACCGGGGGCAGCCCTAAGCCCTGGGTTGAAGGTTCCCTACATGGCCCTGTTTCTCACTTCACTGTCAGGTGCCCAAACCATGTGAGGACTTCACATACTCTCAGCTGTGTCCTGCCTCATGGACACAGGATTGTAAGTTTCCTGAGGCCTCCGAGTTATGCTTCCTGTTAAGCCTGAAGAACTATGGGCTGGGTGCGGTGGCTCACGCCTGTAATCCCAACACTTTGGGAGGCTGAGGAGGATGGATCACGAGGTCAGGAGATCAAGACCATCCTGGCCAACATGGTGAAAGCCCATCTCTACTAAAAATACAAAAATTAGCTGGGCGTAGTGGGGTGAGTCTGTCGTCCCAGCTATTCAGGAGGCTGAGGCAGAAGAATCGCTTGAACCTGGCAGGGAGAGATTGCAGTGAGCCGAGATTGTGCCACTGCACTCCAGCCTGGGCCACATCTCAAAAAAAAAAAAAAAAAAAAAAAAGAACTGTGAGTCAATTAAACTTCTTTTCTTCATAAAGTACCCAGTCTCAGGTAGTTCTTTGTAGCAATATGAAAACAGACTAATAGAATTCCCATCCTCATCTCATTCCAACTGATGCTTAGCAACTCTCCGACCTCACCCTATTACCCTCCTCAGCAACCCCATCATGTCCACTCTCCTTCAGAAGTCTTTCTCACTCCTATACCCCACCATCTCACATACACTCATCCCCACAAACACTCCATTCCCTCATTTGTCTAGTGACTCCTCCACCACTGCACAGCTACCCAGTAAGAGACCCAGTTCTCATGCCCCATTCCAATTCTCTGTCTTCGAACAGCACTGCCACCATAACCTAGAGATGCTGTCACCTAAACTGAATCCATGGCTTCATCCTGGTCCATACGACAGCCACCATAGTGTGGACGTCTCCAACCTGAACTCCTCCACCAGGAGTCTCTGAGACATCTGTGGCTTGAACAAACACTGACTCCTCACACTCACTCTGAAAATTCCTAATACTGCTGACTTCTCCCATCTTAGCTGATGGAGCATCTATGCTTCCAAACAAAAACCATGGGGCCACTCCTGATTCCCCTTCTATCCCACCCCCCCAGCTGCCTCACTCTCTACATCATAAAATGTGGGCAGCTCCAGTTCAAAACACATCCTGAAGCCACCGCTACTCTTGACAAGTCACCACCAACATCCACCTAGACTGCTGCAGGAACATCCTCTCAGATCTCCCTGCCATTACCCTCACCTCCACAGTCTGTCCTCCACTCAGACGCCAAAGAAAGTTCCTTAAGCTAGGGTCCTATCACTGCCCTCTTCTGCTTCAAATCTTCCCCATCTACCACCTCCCTTAGATTAGAGACCCAGGACCTAGGCTGTCATTCCAGGCCTGATGTTTGTGTGTCTCTAGCCACCTCCCACTCTGCTCCCTATTCCTATCCGATATAACAGACACTTGCAGTTCCCTAAAAATCCAGTTCAGTCTCTCCTCTAAACACTGAAACATTCTTAATCTTGTGCCCATGACACTCTGACAGATGTTACCACGTCAACTGTCAAAAATGGGAGCCACTCCACATAATCCAGGGCCATCCAGGTAAGGTGTCACAGTAAACTTAAAACAATCAAACAAAAATCCCAGACCTAATTTAAGATACTAGAACTGGTGGAATCACTCACTTTTCAGACATAAGAGAGGGAGAAAGACAGAAAGAGAGTCTCTGGACACCACTTTTCTTTACATGGAGGTGCCAAAACCATCTATGAGATAACTGGTAGGTGAAAGGTAGAAAACACTCCACTCACCTGTGCAGGGTTCATTTCTGCCATCGCCAGGGGACCCTGAAGGAAGAGGGAAACCGTGAGAAATGGGCAACGATGGGAAGATCTTACAGGCAGAGTTGGACCACCATCTCTTCTTCCTTACCCTAAAGCAAACTGATCTCAAGTTGATTGTATAAACTCAGCTCCTCCGACTTCACTGTTGGCTCTTAGCAGCACTGTGACTCTAGAAAAGAACTGAACCTGCTGGAGCTTCAGTGCTCTCATCTGTAAATAGGTTGTAAGAATGGCTCCCACCTCATAGGACTCTTACCGGTGTCAAACACTCGTTGCTCATCATATATATCAGCTATTACTGTTCTTGGATTAATGGTTTACTATATGTTTTCAGTATAAATGATGTAGTAGAATTTCAAAAACTGAGGTGTATATTTTTAGCTTTTAAAATTTTAGAGGATACTAAAATTTTCCATGGTATGTTGATAATTATAGGCAAATTTGGGTCAAATCAATTATGTAGTGTTTGCAGGAATTTAACTCAATGAATAGCTTCACTTCTAACTGCCTATGTGTACACATTTAGAAGGACACTGGTTAGTGCTTATACCAATAAGTGTTTCATATATTCTTAATGAGTTGTAGGGAAGGGCTGAGCAGGTAGGTCAGCTACTGGTCCTCTGCAACCAGGCCTGCCTGTTACATAAGGCTCTGAGGGGAGCTTGCTGGCAGACCTTGACTGGGGCAGTAGATCATCCAATCTTGCCTTGATATGTGGAGAAGGGGAAAAAGCAGTGCCCTAGTTTAGAACCCAGCTGCTCCACTAGCCTGGATAACTTTTTTCTTTTCCCACAAAGAGTGGCCCTGAGGGTCAGCCAAGCCTGTAGGTGCAGAATATAAACCATCTCAAACCTTAGTCTCCATCCCAAGCCCATTCCTTATCCCACCCACGCCTCCCTTTTTCTAGGCAGAGGACAAAATCCTTCCTATGGCAGGTCTGCGCCTTTCTAAAGTAAGCATCTGGCTTATGGCTCCACCTATGGTGTGAACCCCAAGTATCAGCTCTCTCCTCCCTCACCACATAGCTTGCAGGCAATGACCTTTAGACTTCCCTACCAAATTGGATCCTCAGGACCCGGTCCAATCTACACCCTCTATTCTTTTTTTTTTTTTTTTTTTTCTTGAACAAACCATTTAAGAAATCAAATAGGGTAAAAATGAAGGTAGCAATTTTACACAAGGATATAAGACAAAGCTTAGAATTACTTGCTGAAAAGTTATTCAGAATGGAACAAAATTGTTCAAGTGCTCCCAGTTAGCACAGGTTGTGTTACTTGCTTTTCAATGGACATTTACTATTTTACAGTAAGATCTACTTATCATAGGAACAAACAGACAATTCCCAGCCCCCTCTGGTGTATTGCCTAAAAGGCTGAGTACAAATGTTAATGTAATCCAAGCTTTTCTTTGACAACAACCCTAAAAATTGCCTTACAACTTTTCACAAGTACAGGCATCAACAGTTGATTGTCTGAGGGAAAGGAAATATAAGAATATAAAGTGACAGAAGCAACACACTTCACTGTGGCCTGGAACTGCTCCCAGCCTCCTATTTTACAAACATGATTCAGGTTCTCACATTATAGCAAGATCACTATTCCTAGCCTCTGGCAGAAGCAGACATGTGACACTTAGCACTGCACAAGTGTTTCTTTGGCTTCTTGAGTAGTGCTATGTATACTGCCAATACATTTTTATAACATCTCTAAATGCATAACGTCCACGTATGTGCTATGACATTTCACTTCCAATGGCAGAATATTTTAGTTTTAAATCTATCTACCAAATCTTGACTATGACATTTGTTTCTGGATTGTTATAAGATCAACCTATCTGGGCCGGGTATGGTGGCTCACACCTGTAATCCCAGCACTTTGGGAGGCTGAGGCAGGAGAATCGCTTGAAGTCAGGAGGCAGAGGTTGCAGTGAGCCAAGCGCCACTGCACTCCAGCCTGGACGACAGAGCAAAACTCCACGTCAAAAAAAAAAAAAAAAAAAACAATTTATCTGAATTGGGCAAGTCGAAAGCTTATTCCCAGCCAGGCGCAGTGGCTCACACCTGTAATCCCAGCACTCCGGGAGGCCGAGGCAGGCAGATAACCTGAGGTCAGGAGTTCAAGACCAGCCTGGCCAAAATGGCGAAACCCTGTCTCTACTAAAAATACAAAAATTAGCCAGGCGTATGCCTGTAATCCCAGCTACTCTGGAGGCGGAAGGAGAACTGCTTGAACCCGGGAGGCAGAGGCTGCAGTGAGCCAAGATCGTGCCACTGCACTCCAGCCTGCATGACAGGAGCAAGACTCCATCTCAAAAACAAAAAAACAAAAACATACACACACACACAAAAAAGCTTATTCCCAATTTTTAAGTAAAAAATATTTCATGGCCAGGCGCAGTGGCTCACACCTGTAATCCCAGCACTTTGGGAGGCCGAGGCGAGCGGATCACGAGGTCAGGAGTTCAAGACCAGCCTGACCAATATGGTGAAATCCCGTCTTTACTAAAAATACAAAAATTAGCCAGGCGTGGTGGTGCATGCCTGTAATCCTAGCTACTTGGGAGGCTGAAGAAGGAGAATTGCTTGAACCCGGGAGGTGGAGGTTGCAGTGAGCCAAGATCGTGCCACTGCACTCCAGCCCCTGCACAACAGGAGCCAGACTCCATCTCAAAAGAAAAAAAAAAAAGAAAGAAAGAAAGAAAAAGAAAGCTTATTCCCAATTTTTAAGTAAAAATATTTCATGGCCGGGAGTGGTGGCTCATGCCTGTAATCCCAGCACTTTGGGAGGCCGAGGCAGGCAGATCACGAGGTCAGGAGTTCAAGACCAGCCTGACCAACATGGCGAAACTCCGTCTCTACTAAAAATACAAAAAAAATTAGGCAGGCATGGTGGTGGGAGCCTGTAATCCCAGCTACTCGGGAGGCTGAGGCAGAATTGCTTGAACCTGGGAGGCGGAGGGTGCAGTGAGACGAGACTGTGCCACTGCACTCCAGCCTGGGCAACAAGAGCAAAACTCCGTCTCAAAAAAAAAAAAAAAAGAAAGAAATTAATTATTATTGATAATGAGTTCTTTATAAATAACATTGTTCACAAGGAAATACTAATTGATCTACTGATATGTGACATGAGACAGAATGTACTATTTTTAAATATAAAAGAAATTTCATTAAGTTTAGATAAGCTGAGAATACACAAAAGATTTCCAGGCTATTTAATCAAGTAATTTACAATGTACACATTCCTGAGTATACACCATTGTGGTGATATAATTTATTTTGGAATTTTCTCCATTCAGCTTAAAAGGTGTTTCTTCCCAAGAAACTGAACTTTTCTGTCAAATGCACTTGATCGAATAGGAGAATTGGGTTCATAAAATGGATTCATTGAAAATTTTATATATAAATCATAAACATCAGTAAAGAAGTTCTTTATTCCATCTTCTTGTCTTATGTCATGAAGCATAATAAACCTCATATGCCCCGCGGTGACAAATGCTGACACAAACCACTCGTTGAACTTGTCCACAGTTTTCAAGTACATGTTGTTCGACAGCCACATGTTCTCATCTACGAGGTCGAGAGCAGCATGAGCTATGAACTGGTTCAGATGACGATGGTCGTCTTTGGATTCTGCCTTCCCAGCTGGCAAAAACTCCATTTCAAAAACTGGATTATCATGGTGACCAACAATTACAAAGTAGAAGCTTCCAGACATGGTCTTCAATATATGGCTCCTGCAGCGGGAGGCCGACAACGGAAACGCAATGTCAGTTTCCGCGGAAGAGACCCGCGCTCCGCACCTTTTTTTGACACGGAATCTCGCTCTGTCGCCCAGGCTGGAGTGCAATGGCGCGATCTTGGCTCACTGCAATCTCCACCTCCTGGGTTCAGGCAATTCTCCTGCCTCAGCCTCCCGAATAGCTGGGATTACAGGCGCGCGTCACCACCCCCGGCTAATTTTTGTATTTTTACTAAAGACGGGGTTTCACCATGTTGGTCAGGCTGGTCTTGAACGCCTGACCTTGTGATCCGCTCGCCTTGGCCTCCCAAAGTGCTGGGATTACCGGCGTGAGCCACCACGCCCGGCCACCCTCTATTCTTTTGAAGAATCTACACCAGTTCTCCTCTGTAGACTCCACACCTTTCTGTCCCCCTACCCATGTGACATTTTCAACTTGAGACGCCTGAGAATCACACTGGCCAAACTCCAACCCATGATCTTCTCCATGAAACCTACTTCTCATGCTGCTGACTTCCCCAACTTCATTCTTTCAGATGTTCGGGCAAAAAAAAAAAAATGACCCTTCACTCCCTATTTTTGCTCACAGACATATCTGATACGGCAGGAAAACCTGTTGGCTCTATCTTCCAGGTCTATCCAGAATCCCATCACATTGTCCCTCTTATACCACGGCTCTGGTGCAGCCTCTGGGATCCACTGCAGTGGCCTCTTCTGGGTCTCTCTGTGTCAATTCCCCATCCTGCTCGTTCTAACTCTGGACCTGCCCCTCCCACTGGTCTTCCCTTGACAACCTTCCATGGTTATACCGGCTGCTCAGGCTGCCATTCCAAGAGAAAATTCACAAAACCCTCTCTTTCCCGCAGAAACAACCCACACTCCGGGCTCCCCGACGCGGCCCACTTGGCAGCACCTCCATGCTCTGAACCTGAGATCCCCGAAGGGAGCTCTGAGGCTGCATCAAACCAGCTGATACGGGGACCCCACACAGGAACGCCCCTCTCTTCGAGACAAGGGGCCTGACCTGCAGGGCCCCTTCTATGGGCTTCAGCACTGGAAGGAGGGGTCGGGCGGAGGTGGGGGGGGGCCTGGGACGGGGCACCCACCTCGGGTTCTTCGGCGGGGACTCCGCAAGTCCAGCCAGGGAAGAGAGGGGCGGGGGCGACAAAGGCAAGACAAGGACACCGCCGTCCCCAGTCCTTGTCAGCTGAGCTTCTGCCACTGTCAGTTGTGCCTGTGTCACTACCGCCTCTGCGTACAAGGAACCAAGCCGCTTCTCGCGCTTTTCCGCTCCGTCACTTCGGTGACGTCATAGAGCGCCAAAGGCCGGAACTAGTGAAAACACCAGAGAAAATCAAATCAACCACGGCAAGAGGACGCCGGAAGTCCCGCCCTCCTACGATGCGCGAGCACGAGGACGGACGCACGCACGCACGCACGCACGCAAAGGTTCCTTCCTGCACATTCATTGGGTCAGTCGCGCTGCCGAGAACCGCAGTGTCTTCTGGGTTATGAAGTTTCGACACCGCTTCTGGACTTGCCTTAGAGCGTTGGTCAGTCCTTATATGGCGGATAGAGGCTCAGTGGCACCGTCAGGGGAGCTGGTAAACAGAGTGCCGGACTCCACGGACAGGACGGGGCTTGGGTTGCTCTTAAAGGCGACATAACCAGATTTTCTTGAAGTAAGGTCTAGGATACTCACAGAAATGTGAGGGACCTATGATATCGGATTGTGAAGCACAGCAAGTTCTCAACGGCTACACCGCCAAAGGGACACACTATACCACAAAGGCACTCTGTCTCTACTCATGCCTCTCAGCCATATGTTGCTTTTCAAATACACATACAGTTAAACTTTGACTTCTATTTATTAAGCTTCAATATGGTTGGTCCAAGAGAACAAAGAAAGACTACATGGCTGGGAATTTGCACAAAAGAAGACAGGAGATACCGACGTAGATTGAAAGGGTGACGCTGTGCCTCTGGATCCAGAAGAAAACATCATTACTGTCTGTAGAGTCAGTGATTGTGTTCCTACCAAGAGTGCAATGCTTTTATTCTAATAATACTTATTACTTCATGTCTGAAATATTTTACATTTATTTTAAAAGTCTCAATCCTGTCTGAAAATGAGAGTGACTGATACATGCCATTTCCTGACAGGACATTTTGTGCCATTCCATAGTTGGAGTATATGTACACAGGGAACGTATTATCCCCAATAAAAACTGTGAACTTTCATGATCTTATCTCCTTCCTGAGAAGTGAGTTATCATTTTACAGGGAGTTGAAATTATCTGTGAAAATACTTGTGAAATGAAAATTACAGAAATCTATTAATAATAACTGTTAGGTTTTGAAGGGAAGGCGAGGGTTAAAGAAAGGCAGAGTTGGCAGCTCTACAGCAATGCAGGTTTTATGTCCAGCACGAGACCTGTGATGGGGAGAACTAGCTTAGTGCCAGAACCCCTCACTGCTTACAGGCTGGGGCAATTATAGGCCTGGATGAGAGGGGTCAGGGGTGGGGGGCAGGGGGCGCGGCGGGAGGGTATGACTTGCTGCCCAGGAGGATGGTGGGTTTTTTTTTGTTTTTGGAGGAGTCTCGCTCTTGTCGCCCAGCCTTGAGTGCAATGGCGTGATCTCGGCCCACTGCAACCTCCGCCTCCCGGAGTTCAAGCGATTCTTGAACTCCGCCTCCCGAGTAGTTGGCTTTACAGGCGCGTGCCACCACGCCCGGCTAATTTTTTTGTATTTTTAGTAGGGACAGGGTTTCACCATGTTGGTCAGGCCAGTCTGGAATTCCTGACCTCAGGTGATCCGCCCGCCTCGGCCTCCCAAATTGCTGGGATTACAGGCGTGAGCCACAGCACCCGGCCAAAGGATGTGCGTAAGATGTTCCTGAGGCAGTTTGGCCTTTTATCCGGCAGGATGTGATAGTGACCTTCCTTGGATCTTTTCCCAGAACGATGTGATAAGAAAGTCAGGCAGTTGGGCAGGATGTTTCTCAAGGCCCTCACTCCGTGGAATGCTTCACTCTGACCAAGGTCTGTGAGATGGCAGGGGGCTTACAGGATGGTGCAGTTTGGACTAACAGTGATTATGTTATTTCAAAACTAGTGGCAGAAATAGTCCTACAGAAATCTCTCTGTGACATGTGAAGGGGGGAAAAAGCAAGGTTACAGTAGAGTTTGAGCAAGAGTCTGAGAAGTCAAAGAATGAAGTTGAGACTGGCTGTGCTGGAACCTGGACACATTATGCTTCTGTCTCCTATATGTATTTCTTATTTCATACTTGAAAACATCGCTTATTAACTGTTTGGAGGGATAGAGATAACAAATGGAAACACTTGTCAAAAAATAAAAATGAAGGCCGGGTGCGGTGGCTCACGCCTGCAATCCCAGCAATTTGGGAGGCCGAGGTGGGCGGATCACGAGGTCAGGAGCTCAAGACCAGCCTGGCCAACATAGTGAAACCCTGTCTCTACTAAAAATACAAAAATTATCTGGGCATGGTGGCGGGTGCCTGTAATCCAAGCTACTTGGGAGGCTGAGGCAGGAGAATCGCTTGAACCCAGGAGGTGGAAGTTGCAGTGAGCAGAGATCGCGCCACTGCACTCCAGCCTGGGTGACAGTGCAAGACTCCGTCTCGAAAAATAAAAATAAAAATGAGTAGGCAATCTGTGTGATGATGTGTATTTACTGCTCTACAAAATGTTCAATGAGCACGTACAAACTGGGTTTCAGGTCAATGGTAGGTATATGGGACACACCGGGAATAGGGCTGCCAGCTGCTGTGTGTATACAGGACTGTTATGTGTTTCCTTAGATTCTGTATTTGTCTTTTTGGTATTCATAAATCACAGGTTCAAGCTAACAGCCAAAGTTGTTAACTTCTCTGTCTGCAAGCCACTTACTCAGAGGTGTGTGAAACTCACATAAAAAAACCCCAGCCAGGCTGGGCGCAGTGACTCACACCTGTAATCCCAGCACCTTGGGAGGCCGAGGCAGACAGATCACCTGAGGTCAGGAGTTCGAGACCAGCCTGGCCAACATGGCGAAACCCCATTTCTGCTAAAAATACAAAAATTAGCTGGGCATGGTGGCGGGTGCCTGTAGTCCCAGCTGCTTGGAAGGCTAAGGTGGGAGAATCGCTTGAACCCGGGAGGTGGAGGTTGCAGTGAGCCGAAATCATGCCACTGTACTCCAGCCTGGGCAACAGAGCAAGACTCCATTTCAAAACAAAACAAAACAACCCTGCCTTTAAAAAAGATACTTATTGTGTGTTATTAGGGAATTGCAAATAAAAGCAACAATGGCATACCACTACACACCTATTTGAATGGCATTTTAAAATCCAAAATACTGAAAATGCCAAATGCTGATTAGGATGAGATGCAAGAGGAATGTTCAATCATTGTTAGTTGGATGCAAAAATGGTACAGCCACAGCCCGTTGCAGTGGCTCACCCCCGTTATCCCAGCACTTTGGGAGGCCGAGGAGGGTGATCACTTGAGGTCAGGAGTTTGAGACCAGCCTGGCCAACATGGTAAAAACCCATGTCTACTAAAATAGGTGGAGGTTGCAGTGAACCAAGATCATACCACTGCACTCCAGCCTGGGTGACAGAGTGGAGACTCTGTCTCAAAAAATATATATAAATAAAATAAATGGTGCAGCCGCTTTGGAAGACAGCTTGGCAGTTTCTTACAAGACTAAACATGCTATATGACAGAGAAAATTGCACTCCTTGGCACATATCCAAATGAGTTGAAAACATCTCCACAGAAAAACTATACAAATATGTAGTAGGTTTATTCATAACTGCCAAAACTTGAAAGCAACCGTCCTTCAATAAGTAAATGGATAAAGAAACTGAGGTGTATTTATAGAATGGAATATCATTCAGCCATAATTTGCACACAAATCTTCAGAGGTTTATTTGTAATAGCCAAAAACTGAAAGTTACCCAAACATCCATAACAATTAAGTTGACAAAGAAGAAAAATTGTGGTATACAATGAAATACTGAAATACTACGCAGCAATACAAATGAGCAAACAATTGATTCATGCAACAAGATAATGGATTAACCTTAAAATAGTTATGTTTACTGAAAAAGCCAGAGCCCCACCCCCTAAAAAGTACACACCATATGGTTTCATTTATAAAATTATAGAAAATGCTTGCTGTTGCTTGTGAATTGTGGAAAACAAGATAAGGAAAAATTGAGGATTATAAAGGGACAATCTTTTGTTGTGTTGGATATCTTGACTGTGGTGGTTTCATAGGTGTACACACATGCTGAAACAGCACATTTTACACTTTACATATTTGCAGTTTATTGCATGTTAATCATACCTCCATAAAGCTATTAAATAAATGTTCCTCATTAAAATCTATATATACTGTTCCACTAGGAAAGTTAGATCTGTCAACTATTTTGGCTTTACCATATTCCTCTCCCTACAATTTAGGAGAGTGAGCCCTGCCTCAATGTTGGTAAAAATTGGTAAGCAATGATGTCCACATCCACCTCAGTCACTCGGAATGCTGGCTGGGTCAGAGAAGACCCATCCCTGGATCTCTCTTCTGTCACTGCTGAGGTTCCTGTCTGTGCAGGTCAACTGCCCAGGGAGACACAGGAATCCACAAACATTTAGATTATTTCCTCTGACAGTGGCCTTGGCCACAGGAGATACAGATGTCTGAAGGTCCTGAGAATTTCTATGCACTCCCATCCCACACCATCATAACTGCACCGAGACTTGTGGATGCCCCTCTAGAATGTTCGAATCTCCTTTTGTTTGCCACAGTCATCCCCACTCCATTATCTCAGTGCTTCTGTAGCAATCATGATTTTCACATTGCCCTACAGAGGTCTTACAGTCAATGTTACTTGCCTATGGGGTTCTGGATATCAGGGACTTGATCCTGTACAGGTACAGAAGACAGCAATCCCTCAACAGTGCTGGGGAGTACGTGACAGTTAAGGGACCCAACTTATGTTGCTTCCACAAGCACAGGAGATTTTCGCACCAACTATGCCCTCCTCACTGGGCTCACAGGAAATCCTGGCAGCCAGGCCACAAAGTTAGGCACAAAAATTTTTTCAGTCTTTCCTAGCAAGCCTAGGGCAATAGTGTAAATTAGGTCAAACTAGACTGAGAACAGTTTTCTGCCATCCTTTGGTCCCCTCTGAGGCACATAAAGGTGGTGCCCACAAAAGGTGCTACTCCCTTCATGACAGAACCCAATTCTTTTCTCAATCCACTCTACACAGTAACAAAATCCCCAAGAGTAAAGACTGCCACAATAGGCCCTTATCACTGTATAAATCAGAGCAGCATGGGACAAGCAGTTCCAAATTTGGGCGATTTGGCAGTAAGACAAGTAAGTCACAGCTATCACGTTTACAGTTAACATTGTCCATGAAGATGGAAAATCGTGTCAGGAAATCCCAGCAGACCCTAGCTCAGGTCCTTTTGGTGAGAGCTAGATCATGTTTGCTCAGAACCTAATCATGAGGGAAAAGATGAGGACCCTCAATGGTAGGGGGTGAAGTGGGGGGGGGGGGAAGTCCTTGAAAATATTCATGATTACCTGTAGGGAACAGGAAAGAAAGCACAGAAGTCTGCCTTCCCTGAGCAAAATGGAGTGATTGACACACACAGCTGGTAGCAATAAGATGGCTTCCGCCACAGGCACTGGCAGTGATATAATTCCATCAAGAGCTCTAGACAGTTACAAAGTGCAACACACCTCATGAAAGCCTCCCACATATGTGGTGCTTATCAGGAATCTCCCCAGGGTGGAATGAATATACGGTGCTCATCTGCTAGCTGATGGTTCCCTCACAAAGGGTACTCACAGAGCATTGCTCTGGTGTGAGTCCTATGAGGATGAACAAGATGACATATTTTCTGCATTCATAAGGCCTTTCTCTTGTGTGAATTTTCTGGTGTTAAACAAGTTTAAGAGATGCAGCTAAAGGGCCACCAAAACTGTTGCACTCGTGAGCTCTTTCTCCAGTGTGAGCTTTCTGGTGACGAACAAGATGGGAGCTTCTGCTATAGGCTTTCCCACATTCGCTGCATACGTAAGGCTTTTCTCCAGTGTGAACCCTCTGGTGCAGAATGAGGCCAGAGTTGCGGCTAAAGAATTTCCCACATTCACTGCACTCATAAGGTCTTGCTCCAGTGTGAACTTTCTTGTGTTGAACAAGGTGGGAGCTACTAATGTAAGCCTTCCCACATTCACTGCACACATAAGGCCTTGCTCCTGTGTGAACTCTCTGGTGCAAAATGAGGCTGGAGTTGTGGCTAAAGCATTTCCCACATTCATTGCACTCATAAGGCTTTGCTCCAGTGTGAATTCTCTGGTGTACAATAAGGTTGGAGCTATGGCTGAAGAATTTACCACATTCACCACACTCATAAGGCCTTTCTCCAGTGTGGATTTTTTGGTGTTGCACAAGTGTGTCTTTACGGCTGAAGGCCTTCCCACATTCACTGCACTCATAAGGCCTTGCTCCAGTGTGAATTATCTGGTGCTGAACAAGTGTGTCTTTGCAGCCAAAGGCCTTCCCACATTTGCTGCACACGTAGGATCTTGCTCCTGTGTGGACTCTCCGATGTTTAATGAGGCTAGAGTTATGGCTAAAGAATTTTCCACATTCTATGCATTCATAGGGCCTTGCCCCGGTATGAATTCTCCAGTGCTCAATAAGGTGGGAGCTTTGGCTAAAGAATTTTCCACATTCACTGCACTCATAAGGCCTTTCTCCAGTATGAAATCTCTGGTGCTGAACAAGTGTGTCTTTACGGCTAAAGGCTTTCCCACATTTGTTGCACTTATAAGGCCTTTCTCCTGTGTGAATTCTCTGGTGCTGAACAAGGTGGGAGCTTCTGCTGTAGGCTTTTCCACATTCACTGCAGTCATAAGATCTTTCTCCAGTGTGAACTCTCTGATGCTGAACAAGTGTGTCCTTGCGGCTGAAGGCCTTCCCACATTCACTGCATGTATAGTGTCTTTTTCCAGTGTGAAATTTCTGGTGCATTTTTAGGTGGTGCAAGTGAATGAAGGCTTTTCCACACTCCTTACACACATGAGATATTTCTCCACTGTGGATTTTTCTGTGATTAATAAGAGCTGATTTCTCCTTGAACACATTTCCACATGGTAGGCATCTGAAGGGTCTCACCTCAGCATGAGTCATCTGGCTGTCAAGAAGAGTAAAGGTGTCCAGGAAGGCTTTCCCTTCATCACCGCAACTGAAAAGCATCTGTCCATCATAGTCTCCTTGGTGTTGCCTGAGACTGGAGCTGTGTGGGAAAGACTCCATGCATTCAGTCCTTCTGCATGGACTCACCCTATTGTAAGTGGTCTGGTGCTGGAAAAGGCCAGAGCTATCTGGTAAGTCCATCCCTTCCTCCCTGCACGTAAAGGATCTCCCTAACATGTGGACTGTACAGCTCTTCACAAATGAGGCCCCTCCATCATCCCCTCTGAAGCAATTCTCTCCATTATGTTGCTTCTGGTGCTGGTAAAAGTTTGCACTGAACGAGAATCTTCTCCTACACAGCCCACGTGTGCACAGTTTCTGTGTAAGGTGTGATCCCTGGTGTTCAGCCAGGTGCAAAATGTCTTTCAAGAGTGGGTCACACATCTCACATGGGTGTGCTTTCTGGAAAAGACCTGACTCAGCAGTCCTGACCTGTGACACTCCTTCTACAGAAACGCTCTGCTCAGAAGGTGCCTCATGTTCTGCTTCACACCAAAAACCTGAAAGCAAAAAAGAGCTGGTGAAGTGCATGCTGACTTTGGTGGGAGGCAGCAGCCCCATCACAAATGTGTGTCTAACACCAGTGCGAGTCCACTGGCTTGTTGGCAGGACAAGAGGGCCAGGATCAGTGTAAAGAAGGGCTGGTTGTCAGTATAGGGCCTCACAGAATGGAGGAACCCTGACTATGAGGTAAAGACCTAAAAACAATGGCATAGAGTATAGGGAGTATAGGTGAAGCCTCTACCTGATTCCTCTGCAAGAGAGTTTCAGCAGGGCCTTGGCCGCTGGTGTCAGGTGAGCTCTGTGCAGATGGGTATGTCCATGCCCACGAAAATCTGACTCCAAATAAGTAGCTCATTCTCACGGACTATTTAATGTGCAGAACTCATGACACATTAAAGTAAGCTAGTGTTGAAGAGAGCAATTGAAACACGGAGGCCAGAAAAGTGGGAAAACACCCAAAGGATGGAAGACACGTGAGAAATGACAAATGGAAAAAGTGCCAAGAATGAGGAAAGTAAAGTAGATGTGAAGAATCACTATGGGCCTTGGCAACAAAACACTGACAAACACAAAACAAGTTGAAGGTTCGATTTGAACCCAACCATAACAGATACCCTCTTCCAGCTCCCATTCAGCAGGGCCATGCCCTCTGTAGGTCTCCTTTACTGTGGCTGCAGTGATGTCTGCCCTGTCAGGCACCCAAGGTTTTCTGCCCCCTCCAACTGCGCAACTGCATGGGACTGGGAAAATGAAAGCTGTAACGCAAACAAAGGGCAGGTGAGTGGCGCAGGTAGACCCACTCCACAGAGAAAATAGAATGTTTAGAAAAAATACTCTCCAAGGCGGATGTACCAGGACAGCCCTGTAATCACCACAAGAAGTGACTGTGTCAGCCCCTGAAATTCCTGGCACAGTCAGGCCCCAGGAAATGTCAGCCAGAGGATGAGGGCAGAATCTAGGACAAAGAGGTGCAAAGATCATGACACGGACTCAGGCAGTGGGCACCTGAGCTGTGTAGAATCTGCTTAGCAGACTGAAAAACTCCCGAATCCTAACCTTTTCCTGCAAAGCTCTAGGGCAACAGATGTTCAGATTACCCAGTGAAGGCAGAAACACTGAACACAGCCAGCCCTAGAACCCACAGCACCTACTCTGGGAAACAAAGAAGGGAAGGAGAAGAGTCATGGATCTGGATGGACAGAAAGAGTGGCCCATGGGGAAGAGAAGAAGACTCAAACCCCACCAAGGACACCGGAGTGGGTGTAAAGGCCTGTGGAACACAGCCTCTGAGATGGTCCCAGTGATCCCTACCTCTTGGTACTCTTGCCCCTGTGTAAGCCTCCTCACTTGATTGTAAGCTGGATGGACTTACTTATTTCCAAGGAATAGAATATGGCAAAAATAATGAAATGACACTTTCAAGATTAGGTTACAATCCTGGGCTTCCATCTTGAACATTCTTTTGGTCACTTGCTCAAAGAGAAGTTAGCTTCTGTGTCATAAGGTACAATACAGACAGGCCACCTGAGGGAGGACTTTGGCCAACAGCCAGCAAGGAACAGTGCTCACAGTCCAACAAGCCACAAGAAACTAAATCTTGCAAAAAGCAATGTGAGTGAGCTTGTAAGTGGATTCTTCTCAGGTAAGACCACAACACTGGCTGAGAGCTTGATTAAAACTTCATGAGAGCCAAAAGCACCTGCATAAGAAGGTGTGATCAGGCTGGGCACACTGGCTCAAGCCTGTAATCCCAGCACTTTGGGAGGCCAAGGAGGAAGGATCGCTTGAGGTCAGGAGCTCTAGACCAGCCTGGGCAACGTAGCAAGACCTTATCTCTACAAAAAGTAAAATAGCCGGGCGTGGTGGCATGCACCTATAGTCCCAGCTACTCAGGAGGGTGAGGTGGGGGGGATCACTTGAGCCCAAGAATTTGAGGCTGCAGTGAACCATGATCACAACACTGCACTGTAGCCTGGGTGACAGAGTAAGACTCTCTGAAAAAACAAAAAACAAAAAACAAAAAAAAAACCCTCAAAATAATAAACAACAAAAAATGCTCTAACCAGATTACCAATGCACTGAAACTGGAGAGATAATTGATTTTTATTGTTTGCAGTTACTAAGCTTTGGGATAATTTGCCATGTAGCATTAGATAACTAAAACACAGACTTACCTAGTGTAGCCACAAGTGCAAAGTTCTCCAGCATCACATCACGGTACAGGAATCTCTGTGCCTCCTCAAGGAGTTCCCACTCCTCCCGAGAGAAGTACACGAACACATCCTCGAAGGTCACACAACTCTGCCATGATAAGTACAGCTGAGTCCACAGTCAGCATCTCTCCCCAGAACCCCCTCCTCCCCAGTCTACACACTCACACACCCACTCTCTAGTCCCTCGCCTCCCCAGCCTCCCAACTAAGAGGAGATAACAGACCTTGGCACCACTAGTGTCTGCTCTCTCCTCATGTCCCTCTCACCACTGTGTCCAGCCCAGAGCAGAACCAGGCAAGTGTGCAGACAGATGCTGTCTCAACTCTGGGTCTGGCATGAAGGGTCCCAAATACTCGCCTACCAACCAGTTCTCCTGGTGTTGTCCAGACGATGCCTCTAAACACAACCAAACTTCAGCTCCATCTTCTCCCATGAGCTGCCAATACTAGAGTCTTAAGGGCATCAGTTCACACTCCTCCCAACGTGCTCATTACTCTTTGGACTACACCTTCCTCACATCTGAGATCCCCACCGCCACTGGCCCATGCCATATGCACCTCCATGACATCCCTCATCCCCCATGCCACTCTGCAAGCAGTGTCCAGGAAGCGCTCGCGTCTTCACACTATCCACCACTGCCGTCCAGGTGCCTAAGCAACAGACCCAGTTTTCTCTCAGTGTCCAGTTTCAACTTTCTTACTGAATAACAGCATTACCACCATGATTTGAAGATACCCCATCCCACTCCACACACTGGCCACCATTTTTTTCAACTTCTTCAACAGAACCCTTCCCCAGAACTAAAAACCTGTGTGTTTTCCTGAGGCCTCAACTAAGATGACAACTGAGACCTCTTAACCTAAACATGACCAAAGCCTAACTCCTGATATAACCACTAAAAATCATACCTGCTGCCAACTTCTCTATCTCAGTTGATGGCATTTTCATAATTTTACCAGCTACAGCAAAAACAAACCAACCTTAGGGTCATCCACGACTCTCCTCTCTTTCACCTTTCGCATCAAAAAATCCAATCACCCTACTTTAAAAAACAGAAAATTTACCAACTTCTCTCACCTCCACAGCCACACCTCTAGACCAGACACCATCAACACTACTGCAGTAGCTGCTCCCTCATGCTCACAGTCTGTTCTCAACCTGAAAGCCAGAGAGAGCATGTTAAAATCTGAGTCAGATCATCTCCCTCCTCTGCTCCAAATCTCCCACGACTTTTACCACACTCAAGACACCTCGGCCAGCCATTCCTGCCTAACTCCTTCCTCTGATACCTGTTTCCAACAAAGGTAATTAAGACCTGAGATTCCCTGAGCGCTCCAAACTCAATCCTACAAGCATTTGAGCGTACCTGTTCCTAGGTCTGATATACTTTTGCAGTACTCATCCCATTGGTCGCCAGGTGGGGACTTCTCCACATAACTCCATACAACTCATGGCCTGGATTCAGGACACTAAACTAGAAATGACCTCCATTCACTGCCCCCTGTCTCAAGTGAAGACAGTCATGTGAAGAATCCCAGGATATCATCACTATGTCTCATCAGAGAATCTGGTCAGCCTTCCTTATAAAATACATACAAAACCCAAAACCCATACATTCTCTAACCTCTGCTGCCACCACTCTGGCCCAGACCATCAACGCTCACCTGGACTATTTCAGTAGACTTCATCTTGATCTCCCCGTCTACCCTATAATCCCTAGTCTACCCACTCTGCAGCCAGAGGGAGCCTTTTAAGAACTGCGTCAGAGGACCTCCCTTCTCTGTACCAAACCTTGCATGACTCCCAGCACCCTCAGAAGAGAGGACCAGCTCCTCGGGCGGCCATTCCAGGCCTACCTCTGACCCCCTAGTCCCTGTTCTCACCAGGCACAGAGAGTTCCCGGAACTCCCCAAACTCATTCTCCTCTCCATGCATGCATTTGTACGAACTGCCCCTGCGCCTTCGAGTCCGTTCCACACCTTATGCCACTGATGAGGGGAGCGGAACCCCTCCACATAATGCGACGGAGTGAGCACCCTGAAGTGCGCGATGAGAGCGAACATCCCAGGACACACCAACCAGGCCGGGGTGCGCTTGAGGGATGCCCCCACTCACCTGAACCCGGTCCATCAGCACCGCCGCTGCCATGAGAAGCGGATGAACAGTCTGTGCCCTGTGGGCTCAGCCGAAACCCCACGCCTCCACCGCGCTGGACGCCCTCGGGCTGAGTGTAGCACTCCAAGTCTCAATCTACCCGGTGTAAAAACGCTCACAAGACTAAGGCGGCTGCTTCTGGGGGAGACAAGGACAAGAGGACGTGTGTGGAGGCCTCGGTAAGAGCCCAGCCCCGGCAGACACCTCCGCGAGAGGCCGCCCGTCCCACGACAGGGGTCATGGATTGTAACAAAAGCGCGAAGGAAGGTCCTGCAGTCTTCACTGTCTTTCTTTGCTAGGTTCCACGAGAGCCGCGTAGAAAGCCGACCCGATCTCTAGAACTCAGCCTTCACAACCAGAATGCACGGACCGGGCATAGGAAAAATACGTCACGACGGCGACGCCAGAAGTCTCGCCCCTGCAGCCCAGAGCAGCAGGAAACGCCCAGTTTCTGGGCTGTCATTGGCTGCACGCCGGCTAACAATGAGCTGGGCACAGATTTCTGGGTAACGTAGTTTGTACCCTGCATCCAACCAGGCAACGAGCGCCTTTCGGGTTCTCCCGGATGTCTGCCAAGAGGCGTCGTGCAGGGAGGGGGAGAAAAGACTGGGAAAACGATATCTCGGAGGCCACAGCTGCTTTTAAAGGGTATGCACCCTGATTTCCATGGCCACCTGGGACAATGCCACGCCACTGAAGTCGCCAGCAAGGGACCCATTCTTCAATCCTGCTTCTGAGGCCCTGGGAAACCTGCTTCACCTCTCTCAGATTTGGGGATTGAAACGTATTAATAAATTGAACGTTGTCTGTATTTCGTTTGTGGGCCTTTTTGTAAAACATTGAATGTCCTTCTAATTTTTCTAACATATAAAGAAAAGAGATGTAATTAGCTACCTTTCTGCTGGCTGTACAGGAAGCATGGTGCCCGTATCTGCTTCTGGTGAGGCCACAGGGAACTTTTATTCATGGCGAAAAGTGAAGGAGGAACTTACATGTAACATGACGAAAACATGAGCCTCTTCTAATTCATTGCTTCCCAATTTGATATGTAGTTTTACAGCATCAGCTTCACTATGAACTTAAAAAACCTGTGAATTCTTGGACCCAACCTATACCTTCTGATAAACTCTGGGGATGGGACCCTAGCTGAAGTTCAAGAACTGGAGGTCTTTTAAAGTCATTAGCCAAAAACAAAACAAAACAAAAACAAACAAAAAAAAATCAGTAAGATGAAAAACACTACAACCAACCTCATTAGGAATATGGGAAGTGAGGTAAAAAGTACTTAACACCAGGCCTGGCACATCGTGCTAAATACATACAAGCTGTTATCAGTCTTCCTCAACACAAGGTTCTCACATACACTGCTTTAGGAAGATAAATCAAAGATCCACCTTTTCAGGATCAGTGTGATTTTGAAAAAAAAAGAAAAAAGTACAATTATTCCCTCACTCATCAAATAGCATCATAGATAATAGTTATAATTTTTTTTTGAGACAGAGTTTCACTCTTGTTGCCCAGGCTTAAGTGCAATGGCACGATCTCAGCTCACTGCAACCTCTCCCTCCCAGGTTCAAGCGATTCTCCTGCCTCGGCCTCCCGAGTAGCTGGGATTACAAGCATCCGCCACCATGCCCGGCTAATTTTGTATTTTTAGTAGAGATGGGGTTTCTCCGTGTTGGTCAGGCTGGTCTCGAACTCCTGACCTCAGGTGATCCAACTGCCTCAGTCTTCCAAAGTGCTGGGATTACAGGTGGGAGCCCCTAATGGTTATAATTTTTGCACAAAAGCACACCAATATATCAATAGACTCATTTAATTGAAAAAAATCACATGCAAGAGGGTTTCATAAACTACAGGTAGGTCTATCGTCCAGAAGACACATTCTTATAGGCTGTATGATTCAAAACACAGAACTATCAAGACTAATTGCTCTTCATAATTTTTAACTCCACTGTCCACTTAAGAGTCACTGTAGTTAAAATTTTATAACCTGGTTTATTTTATGAGATGACATAGAAATAATTCATATCTTTGAGAAAAAATATATATACACACATACACACAGCATTTATATATATATACACATGTAGTTTATATACACACATACATAATTATATATATGTATAATATAAATTATCTGTCTCCACTCAAAGCCAATATAAATTTAGGTGTCAGGAACACATGGAATAACATACGGAGTCAGTTACAGATATAACTGCCAGCAGATTTCTATGCACGACAAATGCACTGGCTAAGAAAAACTGAAATAAGACTATTTGAAGCCCAAAATGAGAAATTTAATGGATAAAAATAACTGGCATAAAATAACACTTTTAAGATCCTTCTTAAGGTTGAAGGAAAGTGATCCCAGGTGATGGTCTGTGATGATAGAAGAAATGAGGATCTGAGAGAGGAGTGCATCTATGGATTAATGAGACCACTCATTATCTGTATAAAATATTAATACTGTTGGGCGCGGTGGCTCACGCCTGTAATCTCAGCACTTTGGGAGGCCAAGGCAGGCGGATCACGAGCTCAGGAGTTCGAGACCAGCCTGTCCAACATGGTGAAACCCTGTTTCTACTAAAAATACAAAAATTAGCCAGGCGTGGTGGTGGGCGCCTGTAATCCCAGCTACTCAGAAGGCTGAGGCAGGAGAATCACTTGAACCCGGGAAGCGGAGGTTGCAGTGAGCCAAGACTGTGCCACTGCACTCCAGCCTAGGCAACAGAGTGAGACTGCATCTCAAAATAAATAAATAAATAAAAATTAAAATAAAAAATAAAATAAAATATTAATACTTCTGGAAACAGAATGGTGGAATTACCATGCATATCCTCAATAGTATATAAACTCATATGGGCAAATTAACTAACATATAAGTTTCTTATATTTCTTGAGGAGAGCAAATACATTAACTCTATAATGTATTAAATAACTGTTTTAAAGCTTAAACATTAACTGAATCAGAGTATATATCTTACAAATTTAAAGAAAATGTAAATGTAAAGAAAACATTACAAAAAATAAAGTACACACAATAAGTAAGGCAAAGAAAAGCACACACACAACCAGAGGATGTATATAAACCCAAATATATCAGCTATCTCATGAAATGAGTATGGAATAAATTCTTAAATTAGCACTTAGTAAGTTTTGATGTGTTAAAAATTTCCAAAAGGCCAGGCACAGAGGCTCATGCCTATAATTCCTGCAATGTGGGAGGCTGAAGCAAGAGAACTGCTTGAGGTCAGGAATTCTATTAATAGATCAGCCTGAGCCACGTAACAAGGCCCCATCTCTACCAAAAAAAAAAAAAAAAAAAAAAAAAAAGTAATAGCAGGGTGTGGTGGCACAAGCCTGTAATCCCAGCTACTCAGGAGGCTGAGCCAGGATGATGACTTGAGCCAAGGCTGCACAGAGTTCTGATGGTGTCACAGCACTCCGGCCTGGGAGAGACAGTAAGACCGTCTCTCATAAAGAACAAAAACAAAAAACAGTAGTATGGGTACAAGAAACACTTGTAGAGTATAATATTAGAAAACTATATGAAACAGCTTTGGGAAAAATATATTTAATACAACAAAGAATTAACACATGAAAATGAAAATTTATATCAGAAAATATCAGTATTAAAGAAACGATCACTGGCCAAGTGCAGTGGCTCATGCCTGTAATCCCAGCACTTTGGCAGGTCAAGGCAGGTGAATCAGGAGTTCAAGACCAGCCTGGCCAACATGGTGAAACCCCGTCTCTACTAAAAATACAAAATTAGCTGGGCGTGGTGGCGGGCACCTGTAGTCCCAGCTACTCAGGAGGCTGAGGTGAGAGAATCGCTTGAACCCGGCAGGCGGAGGTTGCAGTGAGCCGAGAGATCACGCCATAGCACTCCAGCCTGGGCGACAAGAGCTAAACTCCATCTCAAAAACAAAAAAAAAAAGAAAGAAAGAAAGAAAGAAAACAAAAAAAGAAAGAAATGATCACCAAGAAATTATATTTTGAACTCTATGTAATGTATAATGCTGACTTGTATTACATAAAGCAACAATTTGTAAAAGGATAAAGACATAAATCTATGAATATGCTGAGCATTTTTATGTCCATTATCTCAGCAATTAGTAGAAACAATATAAAATTGTTAAAGTTCTAGTGAATTCTCATGCCAAGATTGATAATTCTGGTCTAATAAATACAAATATGGGGTGCTTATATTTAGTACAACTGAATATTTACAGAACTATCAATATAGATGACTGAAAACTATCTTCAATTCACATAGAGTGAAATAAGACACATGATGCTATCAAGATATGAATCAATAAAAGAGATACATGGAAAATATGAAAAGAAGTAAATATACTCTGTGGGAGGCTAAGCCTCAGCAGGATCTTTGGCATTTATCAAAACATAAAATACAATAACACCCTAACTCAGCAGCTAGCCTCATAGGTATGATTAAAGATTTTACATGAAAGCACACATTTGGGTTATTTCTTCAACAGTTCAGAAAAAGTGTGCCTAAAACCATAGGTAGGCATGCTGCTCAAGAGACTCGTTATTACAGGCCACAAGATTCAAATTTTTGGACTGTAGTCCCAGTTATTCGGGAGGCTGAGACAGGAGAATGGCTTGAGTCTAGGAGTTCAAAGCTGCTATGTGCTATGATCCCGCCACTGTACTCTAGCCCGAGCAACAGAGCGAGACCCTGTCTCTAAAACTAAAATTTTAAAAAGAAGATTCTAATTTTGGAAATAGCAGGACTAATTGCTCTCAGACCTAAGTGGAGAGTAGAATTCATCCCGTTTCAAGTTTGTGACTTTAGAGGACACTTCCTTATTCATCTTTCATTCACAGTAACCGAAACCTGCCTCTCTACCTCTCGTTCTCCCTTCTGGCACTCAAGGCAGGTAGATCCAATCACAAACTTGATTATGAGAGGGTCCTGCCTGAAACTAAGAGACATAAGTCAGGTCCTGTCCTCATCAAAACATCACCAGCTGGGCGTGGCGGCTCACGCCTGTAATCCCAGCACTTTGGGAGGCCGAGGCGGGCAGATCACCTGAGGTTGGGAGTTCAAGACCAGCCTGACCAACATGGAGAAACCCCGTGTCTAGAAATACAAAATTAGCCAGGCCTGGTGGCATATGCCTGTAACCCAAGCTAGTCGGGAAGCTGAGGCGGGAGAATTGCTTGGACCCGGGAGGCGGAGGTTTCGTTGAGCGGAGATCGCACCATTGCACTCCAGCCTGGGCAATAAGAACGAAACTCCATCTCCAAAAACAAAAACAAAACACAAAAAAACCACCATCACCGCTGAGTACAGTGGCTCATGCCTGTAATCCCAGCACTTTGAGAGGCCGAGGTGGGTGGATCACTTGAGGTCAGGAGTTCAAGACCAGCCTGGCCAACATGGTGAAACCCCGTCTCTACTAAAAATACAAAAATTAGCAGGGCATGGTGTTGGGTGCCTGTAATCCCAGCTACTTGGGAGGCTGAGGCAGGAGAATCGCTTGAACCTGGGAGGTGGAAGTTGCAGTGAGCCGAGATTCTGCCATTGCATTCCAGCCTGGGCGACAAGAGCAAAACTCTGTCTCAAAAGCAAAACAAAAGCAAAAACAAAAACAAAACAAAACAAAACACCACCGCCATCAAATTTTGTTTCTGTAGCACAGGAAGACTATAGTCACAATATAAATTGTCTCCACTCACATCCAGTATATAGTGACTCATGGATGTAGTGGAAGGATACAGTGAAGTTACTGAAGAAATAAGTGCAAACCTAGATTTCTATTCACAACAATAGTGTTTTTCAAGAAGCAGTATAAAATAAGACCATATGAGGTAAAAAATGAAAATTTTAGTTAAAAAGGTAACCCAAAAGGTTATATTTAAGGCAAAAAAAAAGTGATTCCAGGTGAGAGATCTGCGTGATATAAGGAATGCATCTGCGGATCAATACAATTATTCATTATCTGTATAAAACATGAACAATATCCCCTTGTTGAGTAGAACAATAGAATTAACGATGCCTCAATACCACTACATGATAACATGCCTTATATTATCCAAGAGGAGGGTAAAGGTATTAATAACTCTATACCCTGATGTGTTAAATACATGTGTTATAATTTTCAGCTTAAAGACTAACAAAATGAGTATATACATTCCAAACTAAAAGGAAAATTAAGAATATTAATAATCTATACATGTTTTTAAAAGAAAGCACAAGAAACAAAACTGAAGAAAAGATAAGCACAAAATAAGAAGATGCATTTAAGCCCAAATATATTAGCTATCACAAGAAAAGAACATGGAATAAATTATTGAATAAGTAGGCAGTAATTTTTGATGAGTTAAAAATATCCAGTAATAATTAGTTCATAGCTTACACATCTAAGGTATAATGTCATAGAAATATATTAAATCGAGGTCTAGAAAATACATACCTGTAATTATTAAACACAAACACACACAAAAAAATGCACATTTGTATCGGACAAATAGAAATAAGGGAGAAAATATCAACAGGAAAACATACTTTACAATTTTAAACATGAATTCAAATTACATAAAACAATTTTAGTATAATGAGAATAAAGGGTTAAATCTCTAAACAAACCAGTCTGCTTTGATATTCGTTATCTCAGTAATAATATCAAAAAGGCAGGCATAACATTGGTACAGTTCTGTTGGATTCACATACCATGATGAACACATTTGGCCTGATAAATCCATATAACATAACAGACACCAATTGCAGCATGTTTTAGCACAGAGTACAAACAAAACTGAGAATAGCTAGGACAATTAAAAATCTCTTTAAACTTGTGTAAAATGAAATAAAATAATTCAATCAGGGTACAGATCAAAAATAGAAGATAACTGGAAATTTTTTAAGCTGTGGTTGCATATCAAGTCACAAAACGCTAAGTAACCCATGCATAAAGAAAACAAAGATAATCAAAATTTGAGAATATTTTATTTGCAAGATGGCATCTCCAACACCAATTTCATAGGTCTTTTAAAAGCAGTATAATTTACAGTATTCTGACAAGTTAGGAAAAATAGATGGGGTCGGCCTTTATCTTAGAGTGTGGGCTTCGGCTAGTCACCTGACTTCTCTGTACCTCTGTATTCTCACCATTACATTAAAGGAGTCTCTATGGTCCCTTAAAGTGCTCAAGCTCTATTATTAATAGTATAATTTTGTGGTTTTAAATTATCATAGGATATTCAACCTGAAGTTTTGCTTTACAATGTACCAAAACTAATGTCATTTCTACATATTCTCATGAGATTCAATGAATTTTAAAGCAATCCCATTTAATGTACATGTTATCAACAAAGGATGATAATTAGAAAGATATACATTCATTTCAAACATCTTTAAAAATAACAGAAAAATATATCCCGGTAATATGAAAAAACATCTCTACAAGCATGATTCCATTAATATAAATTTCAAAATCAGGCCATAATATAATAGCTATCATTATTGACACATATTTAAAGTGTCAAACTATGAAGAAATCTTGATAATAGCATCCTCTGAAGCGTTGGATGGAATTTGCAATCTGGCAGACTCATGCTGGGCATGCTGAGATTTTGTTCCATATTTTCATTGGAGGGTGTGGAGATTCACTGTATTGGTTTTAATGTATTACATTTATTCTTTTTTCCCATTTCTCATACATGTATAAACCTATAGATTAAGTAAACAAATCTTAAATTTATAGCTTGAAGACTACCTACATGTGTTTCCCATGTAATTCCTAGAACTGCAAATGAAGAGAACATTTCCTCCCTCTCAGGCACAAATTTGCCTTCTCTCAGTTAATGCTGCAAAAATGTGAACATTATTCTGTTTTTTTAAAAAATCACCATTTATGAGGTTTGTCTGGTTAAAAAAGTATCAATAAAATTCTACTGTATTTGCTACTGTGTGTTTGGCGTGTCACTGCCACTCGAGATTTTCTGAGGTGGAGGAGACTATATTTTTTATCATTAGTAGTTAATCCACTTCCATAACTACCATAAAACCCAGGCTAACAGTAGTGAGTTCTGGAGGTAATTACACCCACTCTAGATTTTCTGATTATAATCACTACCTTTTCTCTTAACCTCAAATGAAAACCCAGACTCATGAGGTCTCCAACCCTGACCTTTCATTCCTGGCAAATACCACGGCCAACTATATTACAGAAAGGTTTTTCATAGGAGAACACAATTTTGTGTTCCCCAAATCCAAACCCTTCACTTTGCTCTGTGAGGCAGATGGCAACCCCAAACTACAAACAGGTTGGGGCTTCCACAAGCCCCAACTCAAGTATTCCTTCCTGGAAAATTCATTCATCTTGTTGGACAAAAGTAACAGTTTTAATCTGTGTGTTTTCTTCCACTTTATGACTGTTTCACAATTTACTTAAATATCTTACAGATGACTGTCATTTGAATTATTTATAGTTGTTGATTATTGTGAAATTGTTATAAATCTTTGTGTACATGTATTTTGGTGTAAGAAAGCCCTCATTCCTAATGGTTATGTCCCCAGAGTGATTTGTTGGGTTATAAAACACATTTAATTTAATGTGAAACCCTTACCTCAGATCATATATAAACGTTAACTCAGGCCGGGCTCAGTGGCTCACGCCTGTAATCCCAGCACTTTGGGAGGCCGAGGTGGGTGGATCACCTTGAGGTCAGGAGTTGGAGACCAGCCTCACCAATAAGACAAAACCCCATCTCTACTAAAAATACGAAAATTAGCTGGGCATAGTGGCATGTGCCTGTAGTCCCAGCTACTTAGGAGGCTGAGGTACGAGAATCGCTTGAACCTGGGAGGCAGAGGTTGCAGTGAGCCAAGATTGTATCATTTTGCACTCCAGTCTGTGTGGCAGAGCGAGATTCCGTTAAAAAAAAAAAAAAAAAAGGGTCTCAGACCACATAAAAGATCTAAAAATATAAAATGCCTAGAAGAAAACATAAGTCAAAGCTTTGCAACATTGCAGTAGGCAAAGTCTAATTAGACAGGACACACACAAAAAAACATAAAGACAAAATATTTTTATTACATCAGAATTTAAGACATCTACTCTTCCAAAAACACTGCTAAGAAAATTAAAAGGCAAGTCAAAGACTGAAAAAAAAAACAATTTGCAAAACATATAACTGAGAAATGACTATAATATAGAACATTTAAAAAGGAGAAAATTAAAGCAAAGTTATGTAATTTCGTGTTAAGAAGAAAAAAGCAATTAAAAATTGAAAAAAGATTTGGACCAGCTGGGCGTGGTGGTGCGTGCCTGTAATCCGAGCTACTCAAGAGGCCGAGGCATGAGAATCAGTTGAACTTGGGAGACAGAGGTTTCAGTGAGCTAAGATTGCACCATTGCACTCTAGCCTGGGAGATAGAGCAAGATTCTGTCTCAAAAAAAAAAAAAAAAAAAAAAGATTTGGACAAATAACTAAAGATATACAAATCAACAATGAACACATGAAAAGATATTCAATATCATGAGTCATTTTAGCAATGCAACTTAAAACCCAAATAAAATACTGCAACACACCTGCTGAAATTAGTAAAATGTTTCAAAGTGACAATAAATACCAAGTGATGACAAAGATGCAGCACTGGACTCTCATACATTTTTGATGAGAATGCAAAATGATAGTCATTTTGGAAAACAACTTGACAGCTTCCTATATAGGTAAATATAAACATACCATATGATATACCAATTCTACTCTTAGTTATTTACAAAAGACAAGTTAAAATGTTTCCATCCAAATATCTGTAGCAAATATTCATGAACGTCCTATTCACGACAGCCAAAAACTTGGAAAATTGTTCACGAACAGGTGAACAGATGAACAAATTGTAGCATATCCACAAAATAAACTACTCTATATAAGAAACAATATGAAATAAAATGAATAAATCCCAAAATCATATGCCAAGTGAAAATATCTGAAAACCACATATTATATGATTCCATTCACTTCACATTCTAAAAAAGGCAAAAAGAGAAAAACCTAAATGAATGGGCCTTATAGCTGGAGTTTGGGAGACAGTTTGACTATATCAAGGAATATTTTCTTGTGATGGAAATATTTCACAGCTTTAATGGTGGTTTGTGATCACAAAATCATGTATTCATCAAAATTCACCAAAAATATTCTTAACAGGAGATTACTGAATGCAAAGTTTACTTCATTATCTTTTTTAAGAAAAATTAATAGGACTGAACATGATGGCTCATGCTTGCAATCCTAGCACTTAGGAGGGCAGAGGCAGGAGGATAGAATGAGCCTAGGAGTTCAAGACCTGCCTGGGCAACATAACAAGACCTCATTCTCCACAAAAATAAAAAAAGGCAAAAAAATTAATAGAAGAATATTTAAACTTAGAGATAATTCAAGACTACACCTTAGATATTCCCCTAGACCTGTCCAAAAAAAAAAAAAAAAGGAATGATATATAAAGAAAACATGCAAGAAAACAATGCAAAATTTGAACTTCCTTTAGAGTAAGTGAAAACATAGGGATGGCTGTATAGATTTAGGAAAGACAACCATACATCTGGCATATCATTTTATATACTAAAAATATTAATTTTGCAAAGAGAAAGTTGTACAGAGCCATGTGGGGGTTTGCACGCAACTCATGGGGAGACACTGGCTGCCACAATTTAGGAAGACTAACAGAAAACTTCATCTGACATTCCTTTAATTGGTGTGGATAAGTGATTTCCCCCAAAAATGGCAATGGCAAGGCCAGAAAAATACTGGGCATCTGAGAAACTGGATCCTCCAGAGATTTTAGTTCACTGAGGGATGGGAAGAGGTCTGTGGGGTGGTGGAAATGGGGGTTAAGGTTTTTCCCAGAACTTCCAAACAGCCTGGGTCAGCTCAGAAAACGTTGGACTAATGTTCAATCTAGGTTTAGAGCTTTGCATGGTTGAGTCCCACAGAATGGGGCAAAAAGAGGAAGACATTTCAGAAAATGAGTATGAAGTAACGATCTACAGAAGTGAGAGGGGAAAGAATGTGAAAATTGGGTGTTCATTAATAGAAAGAATGTGAAAACAGAACTTCTTACTTTTGATATTCTATGGCAGTAAACTGTGAGATGATTACTGGAGTACAGGGAGTTTATCTGAGATATGAACTCAGGATGCACAGGAATGAAAATGAGGCAGTGAGACGGAAGAGGGGGCGCAATAAAACTTTATTAGTGGCCAGGCACAGTGGCTCACACCTGTAATCCCAGCACTTTGGGAGGCTGAAGAGGGTGGATCAATTGAGGTCAAGGGTTCGAGACCAGCCTGGCCAACATGGTGAAACCCTGTCTCTACCAAAAATACAAAAATTAGCCGGGTGTGGTGGTGGACACCTGTAATCTCAGCTACTAAGAAGGCTGAGGCATGAGAATCACTTGAACCCAGGAGGCGAAGGCTGCAGTGAGCCGAGATCACACCACTGCACTCCTACCCTACAGCCTGGGGGACAGAGCCAGACTCTGTCTCAAAAAACAAAACAAAACAAAAACTTTATTAGTGAGCAGGCTGACATCCTCCCAGAGGTCATTTGATAAGACTTGTAGGAAGATGGGTTGTACAGAACAAGACATCAACAGCGTTAGCTACAAACCCTAATCCATTTGTGTCTACATTGTGATTGGATCTTTAAGGTAATGACCAGCCAGTGTTGGTATATGAAGAAGTCAATACACTCCCTTATAATGGTTTCAGCAAAGGCTCTGTTGGCAGGGAAGTTAATGTCATATCCAGAAAAAGCAGCAATGCCATTAAATAAGAATCAATGCACTGTCTGGGAGGAAAAAGGTCTGACGTAAACATGTCACCAAGGGGCAGGCTGTTCTCTTGTAGGGATTACACCATATACTGTCTTAGTGTTGGTCTTCGTAAATAGTAGGTAAGGAGCGGAGCTATTTTAGTTGTGGTCAGCAGGATGCCATGTTGTTGGGCCCTTTTAAAACCTCCATTCCTGGCTGGCTGCAGTGGCTCACGCCTGTAATCCCAGCATTTTGGGAGGCTGAGGTGGGTGGATCATGAGGTCAAGAGATCGAGACCATCCTGGCCAACATGGTGAAACCCCGTCTCTACTAAAAATACAAAAATTAGCTGGGCATGGTTGCAAGCGCCTATAATCCCAGCTACTCAGGAGGCTGAGGCAGGAGAATTGCTTGAACTCGGGAGGTGGAGGTTGTAGTGAGCTGAGATCGTGCCACTGCACTCCAGCCTGGTGACAGAGTGAGACTCCGTCTCAAAACAAACAAACAAACAAAAAACAATAACAAACAAAAAAAACCCTCCGTCCCCTAACACCTTGGTGACTATATTTTATATCCCTAGAGTGCAAGGACTGGGATGGCTGAGGACTGAGCCTGGTTAACCTTAACTACTAGGTTCCCCTCCCCTCTTCTGCAGTGGGTTTCTTTTTATAGGCACTGACGTGGGACATAAATATCCACTCACTTTGCCCACTCCAGTAATTTCATGCCCTTGTTCTATATATACTTGTCACTGATCTGCAGCACTTCTGAACAACGAGACAAACCATTTCCCACAAAAGCACACATGTATCTTTACCTCAGGGCACTTCTCCCAGCACAAAGGTAACGCCCACTTGTACTGGTCCAGCTTCAGGCCATGGAGAGGATTTCTCTACATCCCTGGCCACATCACAGCCACTCAAGGCAGGATGTGATGTATCAATCTATTTTTAGCTTACTCCAAACATCAAGATAATCCATCTATAAATAAGGCTGGGTTTGTTTTTTTTCCTATTTTTCAGCCAACCAAAAGTATGACAGTCTGATTCCATTTTTGTTTTATGGGTTTTTTTTTTTGTTGTTGTTTTTTAGACAGAGTCTCACTCTGTTGCCCCGGCTGGAGTGCAGTGGCACATTCTTGGCTCTCTGCAACCTCCGCCTCCAGGGTTCAAGCGATTCTTGTGCTTCAGCCTCCTGAGTAGCTGGAATTACAGGCATGCGCCACCATGACCGGCTAATTTTTTGTATTTTTAGTAGAGACACGGTTTCGCTATGTTGGCCACGCTTGTCTTGAACTCCTGGCCTGAGGCAATCCTCCCTGCTCGGCCTCCCAAAGTGCTGGGATTACAGGCGTGAGCCACCGTGCCTGGCCTCTGACTCCATTTTTGATATGTGACATTTGATTGTTGCCAGTTTAAAAGCCCCACCTCCCCTTTGGCCCACTTTTAAGCAACCTGATTTAAAAAGTCTACATGCTCCTTCCCTTTGCACAGCAGGAGAGCCAAACTCCCACCCCTAGCCAGTAGCAAGGCAGAAGGAGGCAGTCCAAGGCAATGCTAGTTGGCATTATACTTTCACTTCCAGGATAGCGCCATCTCAAGGCAAGCAGTGAGAGTCGTCAGCACTCCACTCCCTGCAGCCCTCTCCAAAGACAGATCAAGGTCACAAAACTTAAAAGAAGAGCGCTTCAAGGACATTTGGAACAGGTAAAATAGAGACCTAACATTTGAAACAATTAAAATAGAGGCCTGACATTTGGAACAATTAAAATAAAGACCTCACTCAGTTTTTCTGAGTTGCAAAAAGGGGGAAGGGAGTGGGAATGAAAATATTTGAAGAAATAAAGGCCAAACATTTCCCAGATTTGGCAGAAGCCATACACCTGAAGACTTGAAAAACCGAACAATCACGCAACAGGATAAACATAAAAAAATTCCACACTAGGACACATCATAATCACATTTCTGAAAACTAAAGACACACATTTTAAAAGCAGTTAGAGAGAAATGACACATTAGTAAAGAAGAAGAACAGTTCAAATGGAAGCAGATTTCTCATTTAAAACCAGAGGCCACAGGGAAGTGCTGCAATGTTTTTCAAGTTTTCCAAAAGAAAAGACTTGTCAACCATGAATCCTATACCACACAAAAATTTCCTTCAAGAATTAAGAAATAAAGATATTCTCAGATAAAAGAAAACAAAGAATATTTGTCACAGGTAGACTTATTCTAAAAAAAATGGCTACAGGAAGTTCTCCACATGCAAAGAAAATGGTAGAAGGAGGCTTCAAGATAGAAGAACAATGGAAAGGGTAAGAAATACAGGCAAAGAGACTATTCTTGTCCTTTCAACAAAGTCTGACATTATGACATAGGACTAGAGATTTTAAATAAATAGGTTTGACAACAGAAGCAGAAATTATAACATCATTCAATATGGTGCTCAGCACATGGAGAGTAAATGCTCAAGACAATTGTATTAAAAGAATAATGGGGCCGGGCGCAGTGGCTCACGCCTGTAATCCCAGCACTTTGGGAGGTTGAGGCGGGTGGATCACGAGGTCAGGAGATCAGGCCAACGTGATGAAACCCCATTTCTACTAAAAATACAAAAATTAGCTAGGCATGGTGGCAAGCGCCTGTAGTCCCAGTTACTGAAAGGCTGAGGCAGGAGAATCGCTTGAATCTGGGAGGTGGAGGTTGCAGTGAGCCGAGACTGCACCACTGCACTCCAGCCTGGCGACAGAGCGAGACTCCGTCTCAAAAAAAAAAAAAAAAAAAAAGAATAATGAGTATAAAGGGACCTAATAAAAGTAACATTTCTACAAATCACTCAAATTGCTATAATGTTGACAACCAGCAGATTGTGATTAAGTTACATAAATACATTTTAATACATAAAGTAACCACTAAAATAATTATACCAAGAAATACACTTAAAAAAGCACTATGTTAGAGCTTGCTGTTAAAATAAAATTTAAAAATTTAAAAAACACTACAGACAAACCAAAACTGAATTCTTAAAATTGTACAGGTATCCAAAAAAAAAGGCAAGAAAATAAAATATGCCAAAAACCAAACCAACACAGAAACAAAAAAAGAAAAAAAAGGAAAAAGAGGCCAGGCATGGTGGCTCACGCCTGTAAACCCAGCACTTTGGGAGGCCGAGGTGGTAGATCACCTGAGGTCAGGAGTTCGAGACCTGCCCGGCCAACATGGCGAAACCCCGTCTCTACTAAAAAAATACAAAAATTAGCCAGGCGTGGTGGCACATGCCTGTAATCCCAGCTACTCAGGAGGCTGAGGTAGGAGAATCGCTTGAACCCGGGAAGTGGAGGTTGCAGTGAGCCGAGATCATGCCACTGTACTGGAGCCTGGGCAACAGAGCAAGACTCTGTCTCAAGGGGGAAAAAAAAAAAGGAAAAGCAAAGGAAAAAAATGATATATTTAGTGCAACATATCAATAGCCACCTTAAAGATAAATGGTTTAATATACCAACTAAGAGAGATTTTCAAAGTGAAAAAGAAAAAGAGCAGGACCCAACTACATGTTGTCTACATAAAATTTACTTCAAATATAATGATGTAGGCAGGTTGAAAATAAAAGAAATGGACAAAGATAAGCCATGCAAACATTAACTTTTAAAAATGCAGCAATTATACCTTGTATTAGTGTAAGACAAAGTATACTTCAGAGCTCAGAAAATGAACATGGACAAAGAGGAAAGTTTCATAATGATAAGAGGGACAATACATGAAGAAGATATAATAATCATAAATGCATATACACCAAACAAGAGAACATTCAAATATATGAAGCAAAAAGTGATAGAACTGAAAGAAGAAATAAAAAATTCCACAATTACTGTTGGGGACTTTAACATCCTTCTTTTAGCAAAATATTAGACAAAAAATGAGGAAAATATAGAAAGTCTGAATAACATCATTAATCAACAGGATCCATAAACACAGAATATTTTACCAAACAACACCAGAATATACATCCTTTTTACAAGTACCTACGGAATACTCCACAAGCATGTTGTTTATGGGCTTTTTGTTTATGGCCCCAAAACAAACTTCAACAAATATAAATGTTTTGAAATTAAACGAGCTTGTGCTCAGGCCAAATGTGAAACTAAAAATAACAACATGATAACAGGAGTATTTTAAATACTTGGAAATGAAAGAGCACACTTTTCTTTTTCTTTTTTTTTTTGAGACAGAGTCTTGCCCTGCCGCCAGGCTGGAGTGCAGTGGTGCGATCTCAGCTCACTGCACCCTCCGCCTCCCGAGTTCAAGCGATTCTTCTGCCTCAGCCTTCCGAGTACCTGGGATTACAGGAGCCCGCCACCACGCCAGCTAATTTTTGTATTTTTAGTAGAGATGGGGTTTCACCATGTTGGCCAGGATGGTCTCCATCTCTTGACCTCATGATCTGCCCGCCTCAGCCTCCCAAAGTGCTGGGGTTACAGGCGTGAGCCACCGTGCTCGGCCAAAAGAGCACACTTCTAAATAACCCATGTGTCACAGATAATTTCTTAAATGGAATCGAGAAATAGTTAAGCTGAATGAAAATATAATTACAATATAGGAAAATGTAAGATGGAGCTCAAACAGTGCTGAGTTTAGCTTATAAAACTAAATGCTTATGTTAGAATAAAGTCTCTAATGATAATCTAAGCTCCCACCTCAAGAATCTACAAACAGCAATATACAACCAAAACAAGTAGAAAAAGAAAATAATAATGATCAGAATAGAAATCAAAGTCAGAACACATAGAAAATCAATGACACAGAAAGCTGGTTCTTTGAAATAGTCAATAAAATTTATAAACATCTAAGAAGATTAACAAAGATAAAGAAGACACACATAACCACTATTAGGAATAAAACAAAGGATACAACTATAGAACCTTCTGTCATGAAGGGAATAATAAGGGAATACTTCAAATAAATAACTCCACAAATTTAAGTTACAAAACTTAGATGAAATGGAACAATTCCTCAAAAATAATAATCTATCAAAACCCACCCAATATGAAATAGTTTGAGTACCTATTAAGTTGAATGACTACGTAATTCAAACCTTCCACAAGAGAAACCTCCAGACTTAAATGGTTTCACCAAAAAATTCTACCGAATACTTAAAGAAACAACACCAATTCTACAAAATGTCATGCAAATAAAAAGGGGGTGGCACTGGAGGAAAAATTCCCAGTTGATTTTGGGAGGCCAGTATTAGTCAAACACCAAAATCAGATAAAGTGAAAACAAACAAATAAAACTACTGACCAACATTGCTCATTGTAGTGGTCCCCAACTCCCCTTTCTGTGTCCTGGCCTAGAAGTGCAAGGTGCCTTGACAGCTCTGTGACCCTGGACCAAGTGCATGTCTTCCCCTGCAGGCTTAAACGTAAGCTAGGGATTGGAATGCCCAGGCACTGACAGTTACATTGTTGCCCGAAACACTGAGAGATCAAACATGTTGCTAAACATGTAGAAACTGGCCCTGGATCTGAGCCAAATTCCTTAAGCCCTCATATACTCTCCATAACCCAAACTTCTCATTGCAGACGTACACAAGTAGAGCTTTTTTTTTTGTTTGCTGTCCAACACAAGGACACACTGCAGCCCCCACAACCCTGTATGAAAGTTCCTCCGAACAATGATTTGAACTGATTACCCTGGTGTTTTATGCTCCTTTCTTTGGAATCCCAACAGGTCCTATCTCAGGACTTTTTGAAACAGTCCCTTCTGGGAACCCCTCTGCCACTTTTGATGAAATTCCAGCCACATATTTGGCCAGATGGAATACTCATGATTTCAGATACAAAATTTCTCAATAAAATACTAGCAAATGGAATGTTGTAATTAAAAGAAATCATATTCCAATTAGCCAGGCATGGTGGCACATGACAGTAGTCCAAGCTATTCGGGAGGCTGAAGCAGAAGAATCGCTTGAACCTGGGAAGTGGAGGTTGCAGTGAGCCGAGATCGTGCCACTGTACTCCAGCCTGGGTGACAGAGACTTCGTCTCAAAAAAAAAAAAAAAATCATATTCCATGACCTGGTGGGGTTTATCCCAGGAGTGCAAGGCTGGCCTACATTCAAAAAGCGGCCAGGCATGGTAGCTCATGCCTGTAATTCCAGTACTTTGGGAGGCCGAGGTGGGCGGATCCCTTGAGGTTGGGAGTTCGAGACTAGCCTGGCCAACATGGTGAAACCCCATCTCTACTAAAAATACAAAAATTAGCTGGGCATGGTGGTGCACGCCTGTAGTCCCAGCTACTTGGGAGGCTGAGGCAAGAGAATTGCTTGAACCTGGGAGGCGGAGGTTGCAGTGAGCTGAGATTGCTCCACTGCTGCACTCCAGCCTTGGCGAAAGAGTGAGACTTGGTCTCAAAAAAACAACAAAACATTCTAAAATCAGTTAAAGCCATCCATCATAACAGGCTAAAGAAGAAAAATTACATGATCATATCAATTGAAGGGGGAAAAGCATTTGGCAAATTACATGCCCATTCACAATAAAAGCCCTCAGCAACTCAGAAGGGAAACTTTCTAAAGAACATGTACATAAAAGTCTACAGGTATTATATTTAACGATCTACACTGAATGCTTTCTCCCAAACATCAAGAAAAAGGCAAGTATGTCCTCTTTCACCATTTCTATTCAACATCACACTGGAAGTTCTAGCTAGTGCAATAAACACAAGAAAAGGAAATAAAAGTAATATAGATTGGGTAGGTGAAATAAGATGTTTGGGCCAGGAGCAGTGGCTCATGCCTATAATTCCAGCACTTTGGGAGGCTGAGGCAGGAGGCTCACTTGAGCTCAGGAGTTTGAGACCCGTCTGGCAACATGGTGAAACCTCATCTCTACAAAATACACAAATATTAGCTGGGCATAGTGGAGTGTGCTAGTAATCCCAGCTACTCGAGAGGCTGAGGGTAAAAATTCCTTGAACCCGAGAGGCAGAGGTTGCAGTGAGCCAAGATCGCACCACTGTACTCCAGCTTAGGTGACAGAACAAGAGTGTCAAAAAAAAAAAAAAAAAGTAGAAGTAAGATGTTTGATGTTTGCTAATAACATTAATATTTATGAAGAAAATCCTAAGAAAGCTATTAAAAAATGTTGCTGGAACTACTGACTTCAGCAAAGTCACAGAATACATATAAAAATTCTAATTTATATATTTCTCTATAATTGCAAGTATCAAGTGCAAACTGAAATTTAAAACTCAATACAACATATAATGGCCCTCTAAGAAACTGTCTAGATTTTTAAAATATGTCCATAATCTATAAGCTGAAAATTACAAAACCCTTATGAAATAAATCAACGAGGACCTCAATAAACAGAGGGACGTACCATATTCATGAACTGCAAGACTCAACAAGATGTCAATTCCCACCAAAACGATCTTTAGATTTAAGGCAATTTATATCAAAATCCCAGCAACATATTTCATAGAGACAAACATGCAATAAAATGTATATACAAAGCCAAAGGAAACAATTGATATGAAAGCCAAATCAATTTTTATTTTTTATTTATTTTTTGAGACAGGGTCTCACTCTGTCACCCAGGCTGGAGTGTAGTGGCACCATCTCAGCTCACTGCAACTTCCACCTCCCGGGTTCAAACAATTCTTCTGCCTCAGCCTCCCGAGTAGCTGGGACTACAGGCGCCTGCAACCTTGCCTGGCTAGGTTTTGTATTTTTTAAATAGAGACGAGTTTTCATCATATTGGCCAGGCAGGTCTTGAACTCCTGACCTCATGTAATCTGCCCACCTTGGCCTCCGAAAGTGTTGGGATTACAGGCGTGAGCCACCATGCCTGGCCCCAAATCAATTTTTAAAAAGAATAAAGAGTGAGGAATAAGTTTACCCTATTTTAAAATTTAGTAGATAGCAATAGTAATCAAAATAGAGTGGTATTGGCATAGGTTTAGGCTCGAAGACCAATGGAATAACATAGAGAACCAAGAAATAGACCAACATGAATATACTTAAATAATTTTTTGCTAAGGTGTAAAAGCAATTCAATAGAGGCAGAATAGTCTTTTCAAGAAATGGAGCTTAAAAAAATTCATGGGCAACAACAAAAGAAACTAAAGTTCATACTGTAATACAAAAATTAACTTAACATGAATCAGATCCAATGTAGAAGATAAAATTTGTAGGAGGAAATACGATAGAAAACCTGGTGAGGAGTTCTTAGACATGACATAAAAAGGACAAGGAGGGCCAGGCGTAGTGGCCACGCCTGTAATCCCAACACTTTGGAAGGTTGAGCCAGGCAGATCACAAGGTTAAGAGATGAAGACCATCCTGGCCAACATGGTGAAACCCCATCTCTACTAAAAATACAAAAATTAGCTGGGTGTGGTGGCACAAACCTGTAGTCCCAGCTACTTGGGAGGCTGAGGCAGGAAAATCACTTGAACCCGGAAGGTGGAGGCGGCTGCAGTGAGCCGAGATCTCACCACTGCACTCCAGCCTGGGCAACAGAGCGAGACTCCATCTCAATTAAAAAAAAAAAAGGACCAAGAGATGTCTTCAAAATAATGACATGAATTAATGCAGTACAAAATGGCTTTGCCTACAATAGAAAACTATACAAGTGTTCACTAAAAGGCTGTGAGCGCTGGGCGCAGTGGCTCACACCTGTAATCCCAGCACTTTGGGAGGCCGAGGCAGGTGGATCACCTGTCAGGAGTTCGAGATCAGCCTGACCAACATGCAGAAACCCCATCTCTATTAAAAATACAAAATTAGCTGGGCGTGGTGGCGCATGCCTGTAATCCCAGCTACTTGGGAGGCTGAAGAAGAATCGCTTGAACTCGGGAGGCAGAGGTTGCAGTGAGCCAAGACTGTGCCACTGAACTCCAGCCTGAGCAACAAGAGCAAAACTCTGTCTCCAAAAAAAAAAAAAAAAAAAAGGCTCTGAGGAGGGAAGTCCCACTTGGACACCCCTCTCTTCTCAGAAGAGAGCTAGTCTCTTTTCTCTTTCTTTTGCCTATTAAACCTCTGCTCCTAAACCAAGTAAGTAAATAAGTAAATAAATAAAAAAGGCTTTGAGGAGTTCAAAGTGAATACATGATTATTTTTACTTCTGTACAATATATTTAATATGAGGTAAAACTATCACATGGCTCAAAATCTAGTCTTAAAAATATAAAAAAGGAATTACAAAACGCTCTAAATGTGTAGCATTTTAATCAAGCCTAAGTCCATGGTGACAACTGTGAAAGTCACACATCCCTACATATATGCATGCCGGCTTGCCTGTTAAAATTCCAGTTAAAGTGAATTTTCACACACTCTTTAAAAAGATTAAAAATGACATTCCTTCTATGTTTGTTCTTCTGAGTTTATCATGATCTTTCAAAGGAATTCAGCTACATACTGTATTTTTGGGGGGGCCTTAATTTGACCTTTAGAAAACTGAGGTGGACCTAACTCAAAGGAGAGGTAAAGAAGCTGAGAAACCACAATCATAGGAAAAAACTAAGATTCCCAGGATTACTGTGGGCATGAACAATTACACTATCATCCCTATCCCAGGAAAACTTAAAAAAAAAAAAAAAAAGTAAATCCACATCAAGAAAAAGTATGTGTATTGGGTAAAGACACATGGTGAAACATTTTTTTAAACAAGCATCTGAAGTGGACAATGTGTCCAAACATATGTACATCCTTATCTCCTTATAAAAGTGTTTCATAACTCAAGCCTCCATATTTTTTATAAAGATGTATGCTTCTGCACCTCGAGAGTGGAGAACGTTGCAGGACTAAGCAAGTTTTCACAAAATGTTTTCAAGCCCTCGTTTGTATAACTGTTCTGACACTGGGCAGCAGTGAATGCATACACAGAAAAATAAAGGGGATGAGATCTTTCGTTTCTGAAACATTTCCCTCTCCCACATAAAATAACAAAGGGACGACAAAATTGCCATAGGCTTGTCAGACAAGTCTAAAAGAAGCTGTGGTTTCTTTCTCTTCCCTATATTTCCTCTTCCTTTGTTTAAATATCCCTGAGATGGCCGGGCGCGGTGGCTCACGCCTGTAATCCCAGCACTTTGGGAGGCTGAGGCGGGCGGATCACGAGGTCAGGAGATCGAGACCATCCCGGCTAAAACGGTGAAACCCCGTCTCTACTAAAAATACAAAAAATTAGCCAGGCGTAGTGGCGGGTGCCTGTAGTCCCAGCTACTTGGGAGGCTGAGGCAGGAGAATGGCGTGAACCCGGGAGGCGGAGCTTGCAGTGAGCCGAGATCCCGCCACTGCACTCCAGCCTGGGCGACAGAGCGAGACTCCGTCTCAAAAAAAAAAAAAAAATATCCCTGAGATAATATTTCACTGTAAACTAAGAAGAAAGATGTGGCTGAAAGTTTTCCTAAGTGCATAGCAACCACTGGGTCTCTCTCATGGGTGAATTCTCAGGTGGAGAATAAGACTCCAGGCTGGTTCAATTTCTAACTTGATTGTTTAGACGACAAATGATCATCTATTACACGTTTTCTCAAAGAGAGGATGCTTATGAAGTTTCTCTTCAGTGTGAATGGCCAGATGGTAAGATGTTCCCTTTCACCACAGATTTTCTTCAGTGGTGATATTCAAAAACTCTTTCCCTAATAAAAGTTCCTGGATGTTGACTGAAGTCTGTGCAGTCATAAAAGGTCTTCCCACATCTGTTACAATGGTAGGGTTTCTCCCAGTATGAATCCTTTGATGATGTGTGAGGGATGAGCCGCGATTAAAAGCCTTTCCACACTCACTGCATTCATACGGCTTCTCTCCAGTGTGAATGATGGAGTGTCGAATAAGGTTTGCGCTCCGGCAAAAGGCTTTCCCACACTGGATGCATTCATAGGGTTTCTCTCCAGTGTGAATCTGTTGGTGCCTCGTGAGGTGTGAGCTGCGGTTGAAGGCCTTTCCACACTCCACGCACTCATAGGGTTTCTCTCCAGTGTGGATGCTGAAGTGGCGAATGAGGTCTGCCCTATCACTAAAGGCTTTTCCACATTCTTTGCATTCATAGGGTTTTTCTCCTGTGTGGGTCCTTTTATGCAAGACAAAAGTGGAGCAGTGGGTGAAGGCCTTTCCACATTCACTGCATTCATAAGGCTTCTCCCCAGTGTGAATCCGTTGATGCTGCTTGAGGTGTGACCTACGGTTGAACGCCTTCCCACACTCCATGCACTTATAGGGCTTCTCCCCAGTGTGGATAATGTAGTGTTGAATGAGGTCTGCACTCTCGCAAAAAGCTTTTCCACACTCGTTGCATTCAAAGGGTTTCACTCCAGTGTGAATCTGTTGGTGCCACGTGAGGTATGACCGGCGGTTGAAGGCCTTCCCACACTCAATGCACTCATAGGGCTTCTCTCCCGTGTGGATGATGTAGTGTCGAATGAAACCTGGCCTATCTCGAAAGGCTTTGCCACACTCTTTGCACACAAAGGGTTTTTCTCCAGTGTGGCTCCTGTGATGCAAGACAAAAGTGGAGCGGTGGGTGAAGGCCTTTCCACATTCACTGCACTTATAAGGCTTCTCTCCACTGTGAATCCGCTGGTGCCGTGTGAGGTGTGACCTGCGGTTAAAAGCCTTCCCACACTCCATGCACTTATAGGGCTTCTCCCCAGTGTGGATGATGAGGTGCTGAAGAAGATGAGTGCTCTTGCTAAAGGTTTTCCCACACTCTGTGCATTCATAGGGCTTCACTTGAGTGTGAATCCGTTCATGCTGAACAAGGAGGGCATTCTTTTTAAACACTTTCCCGCATTCCTCACATTTATAGGAATTTTTCTCTTCGCGAATCAAGGCATCTGTAACTGGTCCATGTGAATCACATTCATAGAGATCACCTTCTGTTGAAACTTGTTTCTGTGTAATCTTTGTACATACACCATCATCTGACCCCAAACCATCACGTTCAGAACTCATTTTCTCCAGCAGCTTCCCCCGCTGGGGGCCTATCCCTATTTTCAAGTGGACTTCTTGCATTTCAGATGGCCCATCCTGATCCTTGGATTGCCCTAATTGGGAGTTCTTTGAGGCTCCTTGTGTCAGTTGTTCCTGGAGTAAGACTTCCTCAGGCAAGGCCAGGTGAGAAAAGGTAGGCTCTGTGGTCTTGGGTTTTGTGTTGTCACCTGGAACGAACACAATACACAAAAAGGCTTATTAGAGATGGCATTATAGAAAAAACAAAGGCCAGGGACAGTGATTCATACCTGTAATCCCAGCACTTTGGGAGGCCAAGGCAGGCAGATCACCTGAGGTCAGGAGTTTGAGACCAGCCTGGCCAACATGGTGAAACCCCGTCTGTGCTAAAAATACAAAAATTAGCTGGGCATGGTGGTGCACGCCTGTAATCCCAGCTACTCAGGAGGCTGAGGCAGGAGAATCACTTGAACCCAGGAGACGGAGGTTGTAGTGAGCCAAGACTGCACCATCGCACTCCTGCCAGGGCAACAGTGGGAGGCTCCATCTCGGAAACAAACAAACAAAAAGGGCCAAAAATAGAGTCTGCCTTGTAAGACTATAGTGAAGATGAAGTGAAACACTACATATACTATCGTCGGCAGAGAGCAAGGCACTGAGTAAGAAATAAATACATGTTAGCCATAATTTTTTATTATGCGTTAGTGAAATATATACATCTGGGACCTAACTTGGAAGTACTTAAATTTAAGATGTAAGAGGCCAGGCTTGGTGGCTCAGCATTTTCGAACACTGAGGCAGGAGGAGAGCTTGAACCCAGGAGTTTGAGACCAGCCTCAGCAACATAACAAGACCATCTCTATAAAAAATTTTAAAAACTCAGCCAGGCATGGTGCATATGCCTGTAGTCTCAGCTACCCGGGAGGCTGAGGTGGGAGAATCCCTTGAGCCCAGGAGGTTGAGGCTGCAGTGAGCTATGATCACATCACTGTACTCCAGCCTGAGTGACAGAGTGAAACCCTGTCTGAAGGCGGGTGGGGGGGGGCGGGCGGGGAGAGGCTCCATGGATCCCAAGCACCCAGAGAGACCACAATAAGAAGATTGCCCACAAAATTCAGAGGCAGTGTTCACTTTTCCATGTGTAAGCTGCCATGACCCCCACCTTCCCAGCTGTTGGCTCCTACCTGGATAGGAGCTTTGGGAGAGGTCTTTTGTAGCCATCCATAGCTCCTGTCTGTGATCCAACTGGTAGATCAGCTCTGGTTTGAACAAAGGACAGCCTGTGCATGGAGAACAAAAGAGGACACAGGGAGTTAGGTTAGAAGAAAGAAACCTGTCAATCTGATCTGGGACTGCAGGATGGGGAAGACCATGAAGTGAAGCTATTCTCAGCCAAGCAAAGAAAACGTTGAACCGTGACCATAAAACAACCACAAAAACACCATCTGGCAGGGCACAGTGGGTCATGCCTGTAATCCCAGCACTTTGGGAGGCCAAGGCAGGTGGATCACCTGAGGTCAGGAGTTCGAGACCAGCCTGCCCAACATGGTGAAACCCCATCTCTACTAAAAATACAAAAAGTTAGCCAGGTGTGGTGGCGGGTACCTGTAGTCCCAGCTACTCGGGAGGCTGAACCCAGGAGGCGGAGGTTGTAGTGAACCGAGATCATGCCACTGCACTCCAGCCTGGGCGACAAGAGCGAAGCTCCGTCTCAAAAAAAGAGAAAAAAAACATCCTCATTGGGCCCCAAAGACTGTAAGCAGTAGTGCTGGCTGTGTGATAGTACCAATTACTTTTAATCTCCATCCTACAAAAATCTCAACCCTGTTAAGACAAATTTTCTGAAGGGATTTTATAATTAGTCCCCATGGCAGTAGAAAAGTCCTGGTCTCCATCATCTTGCAAATGGCAACCCTGATCAACTGTACTCTGAGGTAGGCAGGTGACCTATACCAGCCACTCCAAAGAGAGAAAAAACCTTCTCTTTCAGGAAGGGCTAAATGAGGGAGGCTGCCACTCCTGCTGCCATGCAGCATCCTGGGAATTCTGTGAGGGAACCTGCCTAAAAACCTTACCAAGAAGAGGGAGCAAAGAGGCTGGGCACAGTGGCTCACGCTTGTAATCCCAACGCTTTGGGAGTCTGAGACCAGCTAGGGCAAATGGTGAAACCCCATCTCTACTAAAAATACAAAAAGTAGCCGGGTGTGGTGTCATGCACCCGTGGTCCCAGCTACTTAGGAGACTGAGGTGGGAGGATCACTTGAGACTGGAAGGTGAGGCTGCAGTGAGCTGAGATCGTACCACTGCACTCCAGTGTGGGTTACAGAGTGAGACCCTGTCTCCAAAAAAGAAAAAAGAAAGTGGGAGCAAAGAAAGACAACTGGCTTGACACCCACCAACCCAGGAGCCAGCCTTACCACTAAGCTTATTAGGTGAGATAATATATTTCCTTCAGGGTTAAGACTGTATGAGCTGATCTGCACATATAGCCCAAAACTTTTCAAAATATAAGGGGGTAAAAGACATAAGTACTCTATGGAGAAGTTAATGGCACAGGCAGTAGGACCCACAAAAACACAGGGTGGGATTCATCAGTCATCTCTAAGCAAATGTTCACTCATTTTTGCTATGTGCTTGGCACTGGGTTCAATGACAGTGCAGTGAAAAAGGGGAATCAGACCTTCCTTCAGCTTTGTCAGGATCATGCTCTTCACCACCTCAGGGCCTTTGCACATGCCAGCCTGCCTACTTGGAATACTACTTGCTCCTCTATCTTGCTCCTTCTAATCAACTCACTCTTTGGGTCTCAGCTCAAATGTCACTTCTTGGAGAGACTTTGCTGCTGTGGCTCTCAAATCCAAGTCCTTAATCAATATGCCACCTGGCCATAGAACTTTACTCCTAATAGTATGTCAATAACTGATATTTATACAATGTAACTATAACCTAGGGAATATGCCAAGCAATTTAAATGCATTGTATTTTATAAACACTCAATTAAATTTAGTCATTAGTTTAGAAAAGAAATAACATATTTGAGATACTGAGTCTCCATTCAGGAGAAAGGTAAGTTTCTTCACTGACCTAAGGCTTTTTTTTTACATTCTAAGCAAAGCATTACATTGCTACTCCTATGGTCCCTGCATGAAAAATTCTATTTTAGGATTTCTTCACAGGATGCACATTAAGAATGTACTGCAATCAGGACCACATTATAGATGAAGAGATCGAGGCTCAGGCAGATAAAGTGACTTGCCAAAATCTGGGAAATGGCGAATGGCCAAGCCAAAATGTACACCTGAGTCTAGTCATCAAAAGCATCTGGCCAATTTAACTAAAAAACTATACAAAGTTGTTCCAAAAACTGCGGAGTCCAAGTGTGATACTGCTGATTATGAGGACAATGATTTAGACAGCAGTGACAATAGTGACAGCAACAGAGGTCACAATTGCTAACCTGCGCCCAGCCACCTATCACAACACACTCTACTGAACCATTTGCCCTCACACTAGCCCTATGAAACAAATACTATATTGGCCTTTTTTTTTTTTTTTTTTCAGACGGAGTCTCTCTCACACTGTCGCCTGGGCTGGAGTGTAGTGATGAGATCTCAGCTCACTGCAACTTCCGCCTCCCGGGTTCAAGTGATTCTCCTGCCTCAGCCTCCTGAGTAGCTGGGATTACAGGCACCCGCCATCACACCCGGCTAATTTTTTGTATTTTTAGTAGAGACGGGATTTCACCATGTTGCCCAGGCTTGTCTCAAACTCCTGACCTCCTGATTTGTCCGCGTCGGCCTCCCAAAGTGCTGGGATTACAGACATGAGCCACTGTGCCTGGCCTGGCCCTTTTTATTCATGAGAAAAACTGAGGCACAGAGGGATTCCTTAACTTGCCCAGGAACACAGGGATCATGAGCAGTGGAGATGGGAGTGGACTCCTGGACACCAGACCCTGGTCTCCCAAGTGCTACGCTCAGAGCCAATGGTGAACACCCCTGCGTGGTGCCAGGAGCCTCAGAACAAGTGGGCTGTGGAGGAGAGAGGGGAACATGAGTAGGAGAACTCAATCCTAAGGGAGCACAGGACCAGAAGGGGCCTTACCCAGAGACATGAGAAGTCCGCAGGTCTCCAGCATCACCTCCTGATACAAGGTTCTCTGGGCTGCATCCAACTGTCCCCACTCCTCCTGGGTGAATGTCACAGCCACATCCTCAAAGGTCACAGACACCTGGAAAATTAAACAGAGATAGTAGTGTTTCCCTTGGAACTGTGGAATACAACTAGAACTTGTCACTTCAGCACTGCAAAAGATGCGCAGTGACCCAAGAATCAAATCACCAAGCATCTCTAGAGGGCCATGATCTGTGCCAGGCATGAGGGGAATGTGGACATTGCCTTGGATAAATTACAGCAGTGTCGGTCAGGCGCGGTGGCTCACGCCTGTAATCCCAGCACTTTGGGGGGCCATGAAGGGCAGATCACGAGGTCAGGAGATCGAGACCATCCTGGCTAACATGGTGAAACCCCGTCTCTGCTAAAAATACAAAAAAATTAGCCGGGCGCGGTGGCGGGCGCCTGTATTCCCAGCTACTCGGGAGGCTGAGGCAGGAGAATGGCGTGAACCCGGGAGGCGGAGCTTGCAGTGAGCCGAGATCGTGCCACTGTACTCCAGCCTGGGTGACAGAGCGAGACTCGTCTCAAAAAAAAAAAAAAAAATTACAGCAGTGAAGAGAGAGAAGCCTCCTATGCAGAAAGCCACTTCACACAGAAATAAGGTTAGGACAATCCTAAGGGGACTGAGAGGCAAGACAGTAAGTGCTCTGAGACATCAGAGGAATGGGAAAGAATAATAACAAAAACAACACCAGCAACAACAACAAGAACAGCACCTGAGTCTTACCGATCCTCCCTGTGAGCCTGCCTCATGCTAATGGCTTTACATGCCATGGTAAAGTGACTAAAAGTCCCCAGCTCAGGAGTCAGACTCCTGAGGTTTAAAACCAAATTCCTGAAATCAACACAAGCCTGCTATGTGACCTTGGAAATCTCATTTCATTTATCTGAGCCCTGATGTCCAGGTCAACACAACAGGGTTTTCCACTTCACCAAGAATAGTCAAAAGATCTGAAGAAAAGCTGTAAAGGAAACACTGGGGCAAAGGGCCACAGCTCCTGAGTTCACCATCATCATCTCCATGTCACACTCAGAGACTTGAGGTCCAGGACCTCCACTAGTCTACCCAAAGTCACATCTCTTATCAGGAGAGACAGAATTTGAACCCAGGGCCCTATGGTCTATGTTCTAATCATGCAACCCGACACTCCTTCATTAGCAAAGTTAATGCACAGTTAATGAGGATGGGAAACATTGAAATACATCCATTTGAGCCACCCTGAAAATATTTTCAGGATTTTTTTTTTTTTTTTTGAGACAGGGTCTCAATATTTTGCCCAGGTTGGGCTTGAACTCATGATCCTCCTGCCTTAGCCTCCCAAGCTGGATATACAGACACATGCCACTGTGCTGGGGTTAGCCACTTGAAATATTTTCATGGACCTGGGCAGAGCAGCATAGTCATAATCACCTACCTCACAGAAGAGTCACCTGAGGTGGTGGCACCTGCCTCAAAAGTGGCAGGGCCTGGACCTGCATCTGCTGCCTCGGACACTTCTGGGCCTCACAGATGCCCATTCTCATAGGAAGAATCCACAACGAGCTATCACTACCTTTTCCTGTTTGAGTCCTACCAACAAGTATCCCTGAGGTCAGGATACTTCAGGAGCAAGGAACAAGAGTCACAGAGGACACAGCAGGTTGTAGCCATGAGAACATGGGCCCCTGACTGGCTATGTCTGTCCTGGCTAAGGAGGAAGGCACATCTAGCAAAAGACCACAAAATCTTGTGTCCCAAGACATGTGTCAGCTGGTATAGGAGAAAACCACTCAGGAAACCACTGTGGAAGCCACACGGGTCCCCTGCGGACTCCTTAAACAACCAATAAACCATTTTTTTTTAGTCCACACAGTTCCACCAGCATGAAATGCCATGACTCCTCATGTCCAAGACCACCTGCTAGAAGGAAGCCTGCTCAACTTGCAAAGTTTACTTTAGGTGTCACCCCCAGGCCTCCCTAACCATTGCGGGCAAAGAAGAGGGTAAAAACACAGGCTGTGATGGTAGACACACCAGTTGTTAGTTTCTGATACTTAAGAGCTACAGTGATGTAAGGCAGGTAATTGAACCTATGTGAGCCTCCAGCTGCTCTTGTGTAAAACAGTGAGGACAAGAGAACCTAATTCTAAGGAGTTCAGGATTAAAGGAGCTGAGGGTTAAATAATGCCTGCCAATCAGCCCACAGCAAGGACTCTTTATGATCAGCTGTCACTCTTTGCAATTATTTCGTTTCTCTTTGTTCACATAACATCCTAGACCAACTCAAACGGCAAGCTTCTTTAATATCGTCAGATTCTCTATACAAAAATGCCACACATTGCCAAAAATGGGCAAGTGCGTAAGGCGCCACTTTAGCCGGAATTGCCAAGAAAGCCACCTCCAAATAGGTGACATCTGGACAGAGGCCAGAAAGATATGAGAGGGAGGCCCTGCGAAGTTATAGGGGCAGTGTTCAAGGCAAAGGGAAGTGCAAAGAGAAAGCCTGGAAAAAGGAAGAAGACTGCACGGTCAGGTTGGTGGCTCTGAAGAGCAAAGGACAAGGGAAAAATGGAGAGACAAGGTCAGGGGTGGTTGGCCAGGTGGATGGGGTAGGGGCTGGCAGGCAACAGAGGAGGTTGGATTTAAGGGAAGTGTGATGAGATCCATGAAGGAAGCATCATTCATCCTTCTACCAAGGACTGAGCACCTGTCGGAGGCCAACACTATTGCAGGACTGCGGATAAAGGAAATGACAAGCTACGGCCACTTCTCTTAAATAAACGACGGCGACAAAGAAACATCCTGTGGCTGTCTTGGCTTCTGCCTGCCCACGAGGCCTCCAGAAGTAGCAGAGCAGCAGCAAGGCCAAAACCTCGTCCACTCACCTGCGCCGAGGCTGCCATCCTGAGACCCTGCAGCCCTAGCGGGGCCCGGGAATGCCGCGGCTCAGCCGACCCCCAGCCCTTCTCTGTCCTGGGCGGGGCGACCTCGGCTGACTTTCGCACTCGGAGCCTCAGTTTCCCCAGAGAAAAATGCGCACAAAGCGGGCGCAGCGTCGGGGCTGAGGAGACGGAGGGCGGCTGCGGAGGCCTAGGCCTCGGCAGGCGCCGGTGGAACACCCCGTTAGGGAAGAAGCGGGGCGTCAGGCTCCCGCCAAGATGCGGAGAAGGCGCGTAACAGCCTCATTACCCTCCCCTGCTCAGGCCGCTGGACGCGCCTACCCAGCGGTCCAGGCCCCACACTGTTCCAGGGCCAATCCTGCTCACGGAGATGACGTCACGCGACGAAGCGGAAGTCCCACCTCCGCCGCCCTGGCCCGCAGAAATCGCCCGTGTCCTGGCCCGTCATTGGCCTAGAGTCCGCGGCCGACGCAAGGGGTGGTGCCTTCTGAGTAAGGCAGTTTTTCCCTCACATCTACCGGGTGTGGGAACTCACCAAGCGCAGCCGACTCCATTTAAGTGCGCACAAGGACCCCCGCGTCGTCTTAGGGCCGCCGCTTTACTATGGGCACAAGTCGGAGGGTCGAAAGGTCCTTTCTAGCTTAGGAAAATTGAGGTCAGGAGGCGGGGATATTCGCCCCGATTGAGATCATGGGCTGGGCCCAGAGCTTCTGGCTCACTTCCCTTATTTTAGGGAGGTAGCTCATATATGTAATCTCAGTGCTTTGGGATGCCAACACAAAATAATTGCTGAGGTCAGGAGTTTGAGACCACCCTGGGCAATATAGTAAGATGTTATATCTACCAAAAAAAAAAAAAAGAGCAAGGCATGATGGTGTACACCTGTAGTCCTAGACACTGGGAGGCTGAAGCAAGAGGATTGCTTGAGCCCAGGAATTTGAGGTTATAATGAGATATGATGAGAGAAAACACACACACATAAACACACTGAGATGCCATCTTATACTGGTCAGAGTGGCTATTATTAAAAAGTAAAAAACCAACAGATGTTGGTATGGATGCAAGGAAAAGGGAACGCTTATATGCTATTGGTGGGAATGTAAATTAGTACAACCTCTATGGAAAACAGTATGGAGATTTATCAAAGAACTGAAAATAGAACTGCCATTTGATCTGGCAATTCCACTATTGGGTATTTACTTAAAGGAAAATAAACCACTATATCAAAAAGATGCCTGTACTTACATGCTTACTGTAGCACTATTCACAGTAGCAAAGTCATAGAATCAACCTAAGTGTCCATCGACAGATGATTGGATAAAGAAAATGCGATATATATATGTATATATATGTATGTATATGTATATATGTATATATATGTATGTATATGTATATATGTATGTATATGTATATATATGTATATATGTATGTATATGTATATATATGTATATATGTATGTATATGTATATATATGTGTATATATGTATGTATATGTATATATATGTATATATATGTATGTATATGTATATATATGTATGTATATGTATATATATGTATATATATGTATGTATATGTATATATATGTATATATATGTATGTATATGTATATATGTATATATGTATGTATATGTATATATATGTATATATATGTATGTATATGTATATATGTGTATATATATATACACTCCATGGAATACTACTCAGTCATTAAAAAAAATCATGGCTTTTGCAGCAATATGGCTGGAACTGGGGGGCCATTCTCTTAAGTGAAATAATTCAGAAACAAAGTCAAATACTGCATGTTATCACTTATAAGTGGTAGCTAAATGATGTATACATATGGAAATAGTGGAATAATAGACACTGGAGATTCAAAAAGGTGGGAGGCATTGCCGGGGACCCCTCACACCATGGTGCTTCACTCACCTACACCACAGCCATGCCACCCCATTGGCACACACTTGCAGGTAGCCCCCCTCTACTGCCCAAGTGGTGCACACTTGCCTGTGGCCTCCCCATCCCCCAGCCACAGTGCACTCTCTGCAGTCCCCACAATGCTCTGCTGGAGCACTTTTGCCAGCAGACTGAGAACACCTCAGCCCCTCTAGCACAGCAGGTGCTTCACCCCAAGCAGCCAGAGAACAAAGCCAAGGGCTTAATCCCCTCTACCCAGGTTTACAGCATGCAGCTCAGGAGTGCTCAGCTGAGCCTTGGCCTGTGAAAGCACCCATAATTGAAACCATGAAACTAAACCCAACTTATACCACAGTAAAACTCCCAAGGGCATCAAATAATATAAAAGCAGAAAGCCCCATCCAAAGGAGAGCAACTTCAAAGATTCAAGGAACATCAGCCCACACATATGAGAAAGAACCAGTGCAAGATTTCTGGCAACTCTAAAGGTCTCCAAACGACTGCACTAGCTCCCTAGTGATGGTTTGGAACCATGCTTAAATGGCTGAAATGACTTAGAATTCAGAGTCTGGATGGCAAGGAAGGAAAAATCCAAGGAAACCAATAATGCAATCCAAGAGTTTAAATATAATATTACCATATTAACAAAGAACCAAAATGGGCTGGGCACGGTGGCTCACGTCTGTAATCCCAGCACTTTGGGAGGCTGATGCGGGTGGATCACTTGAGGTCAGGAGTTCGAAACCAGCCTGACCAACATGGTGAAACCCTATCTCTACTATAAATACAGAAATTAGCTGGGTGTGCTGGCAGGCACCTGTAATCCCAGCTACTCGGGAGGCTGAGGCACAAGAGTCCCTTGGATCCAGGAGATGGAGGTTGCAGTGAGCCAAGATCATGCCATTGCACTCCAGCCTGTGCAACAGAGCAAGACTCCGTCTCAAAAAAAAAAAAAAAAAAAAAAAAAGAAAGAAAAAAAAGAAAGAAAAGAAAAAGAGTCATCAAACTGAACTTCTGGAAATAAGAAATTAACTACAGCAATTGCAATTTCATAATGTAACTGGAAGCGCTAACAACAGAATAGACCAAGCTTAGAAAATAGTCTCAGAGCTCAGTTTTTCCCCATGTGTCTGCCGCCTAGGGGAGGTGCCTCATCCGGAGCGGGCCGCCAGCTGTCCGGCCCTGTCCGCACAGAGGCTCCTGTCGTTGGCGCCCGGGAGTGGCTTGGCTGCCCGATGCTTCTGCCCCGGCTGCCACGGGCAGGGCTGTACGCTTAGTGCCCGGCTCAGGCCCCTTGAAGCGCCCGCGGGGGTGGGAGCGGCCTCCGGCCCCGCGGAGACCGAGCGGCTTGAGGACTAGGCGGCGGCCGCGGGGAGGAGGATGGGGGCTAACCAGTTAGTGGTGCTCAACGTGTGTGACATGTATTGGATGAAGGAATATACCTCATCCATTGGAATTGGAGTTTTTCATTCAGAAATTGAAGTCTATGGCAGAGAATTTGCTTATGGTGGCCATCCTTACCCCTTTTCTGGAATATTTGAAATTTCCCCAGGAAATGCTTCTGAACTAGGAGAACCATTTAAATTTAAAGAAGTTGTTTTAGGGAGCACGGACTTCCTAGAAGATGATATAGAAAAAATTGTAGAAGAACTGGGAAAAGAATACAAAGGCAATGTTTATCATTTAATGCATAAAAACTGCAATCATTTTTCTTCAGCTTTATCAGAGGTAAACTAAATTTTATCCTAAAAGTTCTTCAAATAAGTGTTTGCTATCCCACAAAAAAAAAGAAAATAATCTCAGAGCTCAAACACGACTCCTTTGAACCAATACAGCAGAAAAAAATAAAGAAAAAAGAATTTTAAAAAATGAATAAAACCTACAAGAAATATGGGATATGTAAAAAGACCAAGCCTATAACACATTGGCATTCCAGAAAGAGATGGAGAGACAACAAGGAACTTGGAAAACATATTTGATGATACTGTCCATGAACATTTCCCCAACCACACTAGAGAGGTTGACATGCAAATTCAGGACATTCAGAGAACCCCTGTGAGATGATATTATACAAGATGACCATCCCTAAGACACATAGTCATCAGATTCTCCAAGGTCAATACAAAAGAAAAACATTAAAGGCAGCTAGAGAGAAGTGGCAGGTTACCCACAAAAGGAACCCGATCAGGCTAACCGTGGACCTTTCAGAAAGTTTACAAGCTGGAAGAGACTGGGGGCCTATATTCAGCATTTTTAAATGAAAGAAATTTGAACCAAGAATTTAATATCCAACCAAACTAAACTTCATTAAGTGAAGGATAAATAAAATCTTTTTCAGACAAACAAATGTTAAGGGAATTCATTACTACCAGACCTGCCTTACAAGAAGTCCTTAAAACAGTGCTAAACCTAGAAGCAAAAGATGAGTATCTGCCACCACAGAAACAACTTGAGCACATATCCTGTTGATACTACAAACCAACTATACAATAAAGTCCACATAACAACCAGCTAACAACATAATGACAGGATCAAATCCTCACTTATCAATATTGACCTTGAATGTAAATAGGCTAAATGCCCCACTTAGAAGGCACAAGGTGGCAAGTTGGAAAAAGAAATGAAACCCAACTGTGTATTCTCTTCATTAGACACATCTCACATGCAATGACACCCATAGGCACAAAGTAAAAGGATGGAGAAAGATCAAGCAAATGGGAAAAAAAAGAGCAGGGATTGCTATTTCACACGAAACAGACTTTAGACCAACAATGATCAAAAAAGGCAAAGAAGGGCATCACATAGTGATAAAGGATTCAATTCAACAAGACTTAACTATCCCAAATATATATGCACCAAACACTGGAGCACCCATATTCATGAAACAAGTTCTTAGAGACCTACAACAAGACTTAGACAACCAGACAATAATAGCAGGAGACTTCAACACCCCACTGACAGTGTTAGATGCATCACCAAGGCAGAAAGCTAACAAAGGTATTTGGAAGCTAAACTGGACATTTGACCAAATAGACCTTACAGAAATCTACAGAATACTCTACCCAACAACCACAGAACATACATTCTTTTCATCTGCACATGTCACATATTCTAAGATCAATCACATACTTGGCCATAAAGCAATACTCAACAATTAAAAAAAAAGTCATACCAACCACACTCTCAGACCATAGCACAGTAGAAACAGAAATCAATACCTAGAAGAACTCTCAAAACCATACAATTACATGGAAATTAAACAATCTTCTCCTGAATGTGTTTTAGGTAAAGAATGAAATCAAGACAAATAAAAAAATTCCTTGAAACTAATTAAAACAGAGATACAACATACCAGAATCTTTGGGACACAGCTAAAGCAGTGTTGAAAGTTTATAGTGCAAAATGCCTACACCAAGAAGTTAGATAAATCTCAAGTTAACAAAATAACATCACACCTAGAGGAACTAAAAGAAAAAAAAAACAACCCCAAAAGAAAGAAAAGCAGCAGAGAAAAATAACCAATATCAGAGTTGAACTGAATAAAACTGAGATGTGAAAATCTACACAAAGATCATAAAACCGTAAGTTGGTTTTTCAAAAGAATAAACAACACTGGTAGCCCACTAGCTAGATTAATAAGGAAAAAAGAAGATGCAAAAAAACGCAATCAGAAATGTTAAAGGTGACATTACCACCTACCCCACAGAAGTACAAAATTCTCTCAGAGACTATTAAGAACTAAAAACTTAGCACACAAACTAAAAAACCTAGAAGAAATGGATACATTCCTTGAAACATACAACCTCCTAAGATTGAACCAGGAAGAAATTGAAATCCTGAACAGACCAGTAATGAGTTCTGAAATTGAATCAGTAATTAAAAAGCTACCAACCAGAAAAAGCCCTGGACCAGGTGGATTCACAGTTGTATTCTACCAGATGTAAAAAGACGTGGTACTAATCCTACTGAAATTATTCCCAAAAAATCAAGGAGGCGGGACTACTCCCTAACTTATTCTGTGAGGCCAGAGTCATCCTGATACCAAAACCTGGCAGAGGCAAAATGAAAAAAGAAAATGTTAGGCCAATATCCCTGATAAACATAAATGCAAAATTCTCAACAAAATACTAGTTAACTGAATCCAACAGCATATCAGAAAGCTAATCCACCACGATCACCACACTCAAGCAGGCTTTATATCTGGCATGCAAAGTTGGCTCAACATATGCAAATTAAGAAATGTGATTCATCACATAAACAGAACAAAAAAACAAAAACCACATGGTTATCTCAATAGATGCACAGAAGGCTTTCAATAAAATTTAACAACCCTTCCAACCCTCCACAAACTAGGCATTGAAGAAACAGACCTCAAAATAATAAGAGCCATCTATGGGCCAGGTGCAGTGTCTCACACCTATAATCCCAGCACTTTGGGAGGTGGAGACAAGCCTGGGCAACATAGCAAAACCCCGTTCCTACAAAATACACAAAAATTAGCCAGGTGTGATGGCATACACCTGTAGTCTCAGCTGCTCGAGAGGCTGAGGTGGGAGGCACTTGAGCTCAGGAGGGCAGAGGTTGCAGTGAGCTGTGATTGCATCACTGCACTCCAGCCTGGGTGACAGAGCAAGAACCTTGTCTCAAAGCAACAACAAAAGCCATCTATAACAAACTCACAGCTAAAATTATACCAGACAGGCAAAAGCCGGAAGCATTTTCCTTGGGAATCAGAACAAGACAACGATACTCACTCTTACCACTCCTATTCAAGATAGTACTGGAAGTCCTAGCCAGAGTAATCAGGCAAGAGAATGAAATAAAAGGCATCCAAATAGGAAGAGAGGAAGTCAAACTATCTCTCTTTGCAGAGGATATGATTCTATACTTAGAAAACCCCATAGTCTCTGCACAAAAGCTCCTAGAACTGATAACTTCAGTAAAGCTTTAGTATATAAAATCAATGTACAAAAATCAGCATTTCTATGTACCAATAATATACAGTGAATGTCCAGTCTGAGAGCCAAATCAAGAATGCAATCTCATACACAATAGTCAAGAAAAAGAATAAAATACCTAGTAATAAAGCTAGCCAGGGAGTGGAAAGATCTCTACAACAAGAATTACAAAACACTGCTGAAAGAAATCAGAGATGACCAAAACAAATGGAAAAACATTTCATGCTCATGGATAAAAAGAATCAATATTGTTAAAATAGCCATACTGCCCAAAGCAATTTATGGATTCAGTGCTATTTCATCAATCTGCCAATTTCATTTTTCACAGAATCAGAAAAAATATTCTAAAAATCACATGGAACCAAAAAACAGTCCAAATAGCCAAAGCAATCCTAAGCAAAAAGAACAAAGCTGGAGGCATCACAGTACCCAACTTCAAACTATACTTAAAGGCTACAGTGACCAAAACAGCATGATATTGATACAAAAACAGACATATAGACAACTAGAACAGAATAAAGAACCCAGAAATAAAGCCACATATCTCCAAACATCTGATCTTTGACAAAGTAAGCAATAACAAGCAATAGGGAAAGGACTCTCCTTCAATAAATGATGCTGGGATAACAGGTTAGCCATAGGCAGAAGACTGAAACTGGACCCCTTCCTTTCATCATATACAAAAATCAGTTCAAAATGGATTAAAGACTTAAATGTATGACCTAAATCTATAAAAAACCTTAGAAGAAACCTACAAAATATCATTCTGGACACAGGCCTTGGCAAAGGTTTCATGACAAAGTCTCTAAAAGCAATTGAAACAAAGGAAAAATAGACAGATGGGACCTAATTAAACTGAAGTGTACAGAGAAAGAAACCACCAACAGAGTAAACAGACAGCATACAGAATAGGAGAAAATATTCACAACCTGTGCATCTGACAAGGTCTAATATCCAGAATCTATAAGGAACTTAAGCAAAGTAACAAACAAAACAACAACCAATCTCATTTAAAAAATTGAGCCAAGGACATAAACAGACATTTCTCAAAAGAAGACATACATGTGGCCAACAAGCATATGAAAAAAAAGGTTCAACATCACTAATGATTAGAGAAATGTAAATCAAACCACAATGAGATGCCATCTCACATCAGTCAGAATGGTTGTTTTAAAGTCAAAAAGTAACAGATATTGGCAAGGTTGTGGAGAGAAGGGAATGCTTATACACTGCTGCTGGGAAAGTAAATTAGTGCAGCTATTCAGGAAGGCAGTTTGGATGTTTTTCAAAGAACTTAAAACAGACCTTCCATTTGACCCAGCAATCCCATTACTGGTTATGTACCCAAAGGAATAGAAATCGTTCTACCAAAAAGACACATGCACCTGTATGTTCATTGCAGCACTATCCACAATAGCAAAGACATGAATCAACCTAGATGCCCATCAACAGTGAAATGAATAAAGAAAGTGGTATGTATACACCATGGATTACTATGCAACCATAAAAAACATCATGTCCTTTGCAGCAGCATGGATGGAGCTGGAGGCTATTATCAGAAATGAATTAATGCAGGAACAGAAAACCAAATGCTGCATCTTCTCACTTATAAGTGGGAGGTAAACAATGAGAACACATAAACACAAAGATGGGAAAAATAGCTACCAGGGCCTACTTGATGGGAGAGTGTGGGAGAAGGGTAAGGGAAACACAAAAAACAAAAAAACTTTCTGTTGGGTGCTATGCTCACTACCTGGGTGACAAAATCATTTGTACATCAAACCCCAGTGATATGCAATTTACCCCTGTAACAAGCCTGCACATGGACCCCCTGAGCTTAAAATAAAAGTTGAAAATAAACCCACAAAACAAGGGAAAAAAGGTGAAAAATGAGAAATTGTCTATTGGGTACAATGTGAACTATTTGGGTGACAGTCACACTAAAAGCCCAGACTTCACCAATACATAATATATCCCTATAACAAAACTGCACTTGTACCCCCCAAATCTAAAAAGAAACAGTTTACTGAAAGACAGATAAAAAATAAACACATACCATATGATTACATTTATATAAAATTTCAGAAAATACTAACTAATGTATAGTGTCATTAAACAAATCAATGGTCACATGGGGATAAAGTATTGGAGAATAAGAGGAGATTAGTAAGGGGCATGAGGAAACTTTTGACATGTGTATACATGTCGAAATTTATCAAATTATACAATTTCAATATGTCTAGTTTATTGTATGCCAATTATATATCATTGATGTGTTAAGAAAAAAAAGTTTCCACATAAAAATCTGAATCAATCAATCCTGTATTTATTCAACTCTCTCCCTCTTCCCATATCTTGAGTCAGCCCTCCTTCAGTGGCAGCAAAAACTAGAAAGCAATGAAGGCCATCACTTCCCACATGCTGACTGGGTCACAAAAGATGCACGATCGACTCCAAGCTCTCTTTTGTCAGTCCTGGGGTTCCTGCCTGTTCAGTGATGACCAAAATGTCAACAGCCCAGGGAGGTACAGGAATTCACAAACTTTCAGATTGTTTGCTCTCACACCGGCCTCAGCCATAGGAGAAAAGGAGCTCAGCCGGTCGTGAGAATTTTTGTACACCCTCATCGCAGAGTCATAGTTACATTAAATTTGTGTATCCCCCTTTAGAGTACACACATAACTTCTAGTTTCCCAGTCTCCACTACTCCCTACTATCCAATGTTTCTGTATGTAGTGTTTCTGTATCTGTTTCCTGCTTAGCCCCTGTAGGTCTTACATGCCTACCAGATTTTAGATTTCAGGGGCAATGTCCTCTGCATAGAGGTCCTAGGAGACAGCCACCCCTCAACAGAATTGATGGAATATGACACATCCTCTGGGAAAAAGGGACTCAACTTATGCTGTTTCTAGAAGCACTGGAGGTTGTCACACCAACTACTCCCTCATGAGGGTGAGCTTAGGGCTCACAGAGATCCTGACATCCAGGTCACAAGATCAGTCTCACAATGCCCTACAGTTTTCCCTAAGAGACGTTGCGTAGCATTGCAAAACAGGCCAAACTAGACTTAGAGCTACTCTCTACCATCCTGCTGTCCACTCTGAGGCACATAAAGTTGGTGGTCCCTGCTAGCAAAGCCCTTCTTTTCTCAATCAGTCCCACACAATGAACAGAACAGATTGAAGGGTTAAACACTATGGCATTTATCTCTGCACAAATGAGAACATCATGAGGTGGGCATATCTAAGGTTGGTGGATTGGGAAGCTGGTTGGAGAAATCCATCTCAGCTACCATGTGGGGTCAACACTGTTTATTAAGGATGGGGACCTCTTGAAATCCACAGCAGGCCCCAGCTCAGATCTTTTAGGCTGCAGCTGGATAATATCCACGCTGAAACCACTAAGGGGAAATAGATGAGGACCCCATTTGTTTCTGATCACTCATGCAGTTGTAGGTAATCTCCACAGTGTGAATACACATATGTCTGAGGTTCAAATCCTGGCTTAGAGCTCCCTCTCAAAGGTTACTCTCAGAGATTTTCTCTTAGGATCATGCCATGTTAAACAATGAGCACATTCCATGAACTCTTAAGGCCTCTCTCCAGTGTAAATTTTCTGATGCCTAATGAGGTTAGGCCTTCACTGTATGCTTTCTTATATCTGCTACAAAAGGCCTTTCTCTGGTTGACTTTCATTTGCCAAGCAATGTGGGAATTTCTGCTTTCCCACATTTCCTGAACACACAAGATCTTGTTCCATTGTGAATTCTCTAACATGTTACAAGATAGTCCATTACTCCATTCTCACACTGCTATAAAGACATACCTGAGTCTGGGTAATTTATAAAGGAAAGAGGTTTAATTGACTTACAGTTCTGCATAGCTCGGGAGGCCTCAGGAAACTTAAAATCATGGCAGAAGGCAAGAGAGAAGCAAAGACACGTCTTACGTGGAGGCAGGTGAGAGAGAGCGAACGAGCGAACAGGAAAGAGCCCCTTATAAAACCATCAGATTGAGGGCTGGGCTCGGTGGCTCATGCCTGTAATGCTAGCACTTTGGGAGGCTGAGATGGGTGGATCACCTGAGGTCAAGAGTTCGAGACCAGCCTGGCCAACATGGCGAAACCCCGTCTCTACTAAAAATTCAAAAATTAGCTGAGCCTGGTGGCGCACACCTGTAGTCCCAGCTACTTGGGAGGCTGAGGCAGGAGAGTCACTTGAACTCAGGAGGCGGAGGTTGCAGTGAGCCAAGATCATGCCACTGCACTCCAGCCTGGCCAACAGAGCAAGATTCCGTTTCAAACAAACAAACAAAAAACCCCTTAGATCTTGTGAGAACTCACTATAGGAGAAGAGCATGGGGGAAACTGCCCCCATGATCTAATCACCACCCACCAGGTCCTACCCTGGTCACTGGGGATTATGGGGATTACAATTCAAGATGAGATTTGGGTGGGGACACAAAGCCTAACCACGGTAAGAATTGTGGCTTTAGAATGTCTCACGTTCACCACACTGAGAAGATATTTTTCCATTGTGGACTTTCTGGTACTCAACAAATGTGTCTTTATAAAGAATTTGCCACATGATCTGCACTCATAAGGTCTTCTCCACTATGAATTCTCTGGTGCTAAACAGGATGAGGTCTAGTGATAGAGGCTTTCTCACATTCAGCACTTTTTTTTTTTTTCTTTGAGACAGAGTCTCGCTCTGTTGCCCAGGCTGGAGAGCAGTGGCGTGATCTCGGCTCACTGCAACCTCTGCCTCCCAGGTTCAAGCAATTCTCCTGCCTCAGCCTCCCGAGTAGGTGGGACTAAAGGCGCGCACCACCACGCCCAGCTAATTTTTGTATTTTTTTACTAGAGACGGGGTTTCACTATGTTGGCCAGGCTGGTCTCGAACTCCTGACCTTGCGGTCCGCCTGCCTCAGCCTCCCAAAGTGCTGGGATTACAGGTGTGAACCACCATGCCTGGCCAACACACTCTTAAAGCCTTGATCCTGTGTGAACTATTTGGTGTATATGGAGATTAGAGCTGGAGCCAAATAATTTCCCATAATCACTGCACTCATAAGGCACAGCTTTGCTGTGAATTCTCTTGGGTAACTATAGAATAGTAGCTGTTATTAAAGGTATGCCAGCACTGACTGCACTCATAAGGGTTTACTCCAGCATGGATTTTCTGATACTGAAAAAGTATGTATTTGCAGCAAAAGGCTTTCCCACAATTGCTGTACTTGGAATCCCTTTGTCCAGTGTGAAAAGCCTCCCCACTCTCATTGCTCCTGTGTGGCTCTTCCCCATTGAAAGAGGCCTGATGCTGCACAAGTTGAGAGCTGACCAAGAGGTATTTCCCACCCTCCTTGCAAGTGAAGACCTTCTGTGACATGTGGGTAAGCATCTAACCAGTTCATGGCACAATCCATCCATTTGTTCACCAGATATATAATTTATTATGTTGCTTATGCATTGTACACTGTAACTCCATTATTCCAGCAACTCAAAACCCCATCCAATCACTTGGTTCATCTCACTGTTACAATCTCTAGGGTGTGTTGTCCTTTGCATCAGATTCGAATACTGTTCCTATAGCACAGGAAAACTATAAACACAATATATAATTGTATCCATTCACATCCAGTATACAGGAGGCCAGGGACACAGTGGAATGACATGGTCAAATTGCTGAAGAAATAACTACCAACCCAGATTTCTATCCACAACAATAGTATTTTTCAGGAAGAGCACAATATAAGATTATATCTGGTCAAAAATTGGAAATTTAGTAGAAAAGTAACCCTAAAAGTTATCCTTAAGGCCAAAGGAAAGTGATTACAGGTGAAAGTTCTGCAGTGGTAGAAGGAATGAGAATCCAAGAGATGGATGCATCTGCAGATCAATACAATTACTTATTATCTCTATACAACATGAACAATATCTTCTAATTGAGCAGAATAATAGATATGCTATACTCCAATACCAACACTCAATGACATCCTTTGATGTGTTCAAGAGAAGGGTAAAGGTATTAACAATTCTATAATAGGTTAGAGAAGTGTTACAATTCTTATCTTAGACTAATGAATAAAATGAGTATATACATTTCAAACTAAAAGAAAATTAAGATTATTAAAACCTATATATTTTTAAAAGAAAGCACAAAAAACAGCCTAGAAGAAAACCACAAAATAAGATGCATTTAAAACCAAATATATTAGCTATCACATGAATTGAATACAGAATGCGTGAATAGTAATTTCTAATGGATTAAAATAATCCAGTAGTAGTTCATAAATTACACATCTAAGATATAATGTCATAGAAATATATGAAATAGAAGAATGAAATATGTATACTTATAATTACTAAACACAAACACACAAAAATGTGTATTTGCATCTGACAAGTAGGAATAAGGAAGAAAACACCAGTAAAATATACTTTACAGTTTATACACTTTTAAAAATTTTAATATTACTTTTTATAAAGATGAGAGTTTCACTATGTTGCCCAGGCTGATCTCAAATTCCTGGCCTCTGGCAATCCTCCTGCATAGGACTTCCAAAATGCTGGGATTATAGGAGTGAGCCACTGCACCCGGCCTGTATACAATTTTTACCATCAATTCAAATTACATTAAAAAAATTTAGTATAATGAGAGTAAAGAATTAAATATACAGACAAACCAGGATATTTTAATATTAGCTATCTCAGTAATGATTTCAAGAAGGCAGGTATAACATTGGTGAGGTTCTATTAGATTCATACACCATAATGGACAAATCTGGACTGACAGATACATACAGAACAGCAGATATCAGTTGCCGAATGTTTTCTTTTAGCACAAACTGAGTATTTAAAAAACTGACAATATGTAGTATCAGAAAAAATCTTTAACTTTCATAGAATAAAAGAGAGAATACAATCAGTGTAGAGATCAACAAAAGATACCTCAAACTCCTGGCCTCAAGTGATCCTCTTGCCTCAGCCTCCCAAAATGTTGAGATTACAGGCTTGAGCCATCATGCCCAGCCTAGATACCTGATTTCTTTTTAATTATGCTTGAAATTCAAATTACAAAATACTAAGTAACCCATGCATAGAGGAAACAAAAATTGAAGATTATTTTATTTGTAAAATAATGACAATACCAATTTCATAGGACTTTTTATTAGTAGTATCATAGGCAGTCTTCTGACAAATTAGGAAAAGTAGATAGGGTCTGTCCTTAGAGTAGTGGCTTGGGCTGATTACCTAACTTCTCTGCACCTCAGCACTGTCATCATTACATTGAAGGGGTCCCTACGGTGCCTTAAAGTGCTCAAGCTCTATTATTCACCACACTATTTTGTCATTTTTAAATTATCATAGGATATTCAACCTGAAGTTTTACTTTACCTGCCCACGTCATCTCTACATATTCTCATGAGATGCAGTTCATGAATTCTAAAGCAGTATCATTTAATGTATTATTTTAAAAAGATATTTAGAAAGGTATATTCATTTCAAACATCTTTAAGAATAACAGTATATCCACTTAATACCAAAAAGCATCTCTACAGCATTATTTCATTTATATCAATTTTTAAATCAGCCAAAAATGCAAAGCTACTATTAGTAATATACATTTAAGGTGTCGAACTATGAAGAAAGTAAAATGAGTAAGGCAAAATTCTGGATGGCGGCATCCTCTGAAGGTGGAGGATGGAATTGGCAATCTGGCAGGCTCATGCCGGGCATGCTGATTTTGTTCTATTATATAATCAAGGGGCAGGGTTGAGTGTATTAGTTTATTATATTTATCATGTTTTCCCATTTTTTATTCATGTATAAGTAAAGATTAAGTGGACAAATCTTAATAGCCTGAAGACTGTCTACATGTGTTTCCCATGTAATTCCTAGTAATGCAAAGAGAGAGAACATTCCCAATAGCTTCTCAGGCACAAATTTGCCCTCTCAGTTAATACTGCATAAATGTGACCATTATCTTGTCTTTTATCATCATGTATGATGTTTGGTTATGAACTTAACAACATAATTCTACAGTATTTCCTACTGTGTATCTGGTATGCCACTGCCACTCAAGGTTTCTTTGAGAGGGAGACTATATATTTGTTACTATTATTAATGAATCTATTTCCATGACTGCTGTGAAAAACCCAGGCTGAGTTAACAGTGATGAGCTCTGGCCAGGCACAGTGGCTCACGCCTGTAATCCAACACTTTGGAAGGCTGAGGCAGGAGGATCACTTGAGCCCAGGAGTTCAAGACCAGGCTGGGGAACATAGGGAGACCTCATCTCTAGAAACTCACAGGTGGCATGCGCCTGTGGTCTCAGCTACTAGGGAGGTTGAGGCAGGAGGACTGCTTAGGCCAGGAGGATAAGGCTACAGTGAGCTATGACTGCACAACTGCACTCCAGCCTGGGGGATAGAGCAAGACCCCATCTCAAAAAAAAAAAAAAGAAAAAGCCTCAAGCATGTCAGTTCAAAAAAAATTTTTTTTTAAGTGATGAGTTCTGGAGGTAAATACACCCACTCTGGATTTTCTGGTTACAATCACTACCTTTTCTCTCAACCTCAGCTAGAAATCCAGACTCATGAGGCCTCAATCCCTGACCTTTCATTCCTTGCAAATGCCAAAGCCAACTATGTAGGAAACTTTTTCAGAGAAGAAAACTCTGTCCTCCCAGAAGATAAATTTTCCACTTTGCTCTACGAGGCAGAGAGCAACCTCAAACCACAAACAGGTTGGGACTTGAACAGGCCTGAACTCAAGTATTCTTTCCTGGGAAATTCATCCATCTTGTTGGATAAAAGCAGCAGTTTTAATCAGTGTGTTTTCATCCATTTACTTACTGTTTCACAGTTTACTTAAACATCTTACAAATGACTGTCAATTGAACTATTTACAGTTGTTATTATAAAAGTTTTTTTTTTTTTTTCTTGAGACATAGCCTTCACTCTGTCGCCCAGGCTGGAGTGCAGTGGGGTGATCTCGGCTCACTGCAAGCTCTGCCTCCCGGGTTCATGCCATTCTCCTGTCTCAGCCTCCCGAGTAGCTGGGACTACAGGCGCCTGCCACCACGTCTGGCTAATTTTTTGTATTTTTTTAGTAGCGACAGGGTTTCACCGTGTTAGCCAGATGGTCTTGATCTCCTAGCCTTGTGATCCACCCGCCTCGGCCTCCCAAAGTGCTGGGATTACCGCGCCCGGCCGAAAGTGTTTTAAATCTTTGTATACATGTATTTTGGTGTAAGAAAGCACTCAATCCTAATGAGTATGCCCCAACATGACTTGTTTGGTTATAAAATATAAGTATGTTTAAATTTAATGTGAAACCCTTAAGTAACAACATATATAAACATTAACTCAAACAGATGTCAAAGCTTTGCAACACTGAGTTACACAAAGCCTAATTAGGTAGACAAGGATGGGAGGCTGAGGTGGGAGGATCACTTGAGTTCAGGAGATCAAGACCAGCCTGGGCAACGTAGTGAGACCCCCATATCTATAAAACAACAACAACAAAAATAGGATAACAAAGAACACAAACAACCGAAATATTTTGGATTACATCAAAATTTAAAACTATTCTTCAGGATACACTGCTAAGATAACAAAAAGAAACCAAATACAGATAAATGGTTTGCAAAACATGTATCTGACAAATAACTAGCATTCAGAATATTAAAAGATACAATGAATTCTTAAAATTCAATGTTAAGAAGAAAAAACAATTTAAAGTGGGACAAAAGATTTGGACAGATAGGGTCTGGTGCAGTGGCTCACGCCTGTAATCCCAGCACTTTGGGAGGCTGAGGTGGGCGGATCACCTGAGGTCAGGAGTTCAAGACCAGCCTGGCCAACATGGTGAAACCCCATCTCTACAAAAAATAAAAAAATTAGCTGGGCGTTGTGGTGGGGGCCTGTAATCCCAGCTACTTGGGAGGCTGAGGCAGGAGAACTGCTTGAACCTGGGAGACGGAGGTTGTGGTGAGCTGAGATCTCACCATTGCACTCCAGCCTGGGCAACAAGAACGAAACTCCGTCTCAAGAAAAAAAAAAAAAAGATTTGGAAAGATAACTAAAGATATATGAACAATGAACATATGAAAAAATGCTCAATACCAGTAGTCATTTCAGCAATGAAATTTAAATCCACAATGAGACACCTCTACACATCTGTTAAATTGAAAAACTTAAAGTGTAACAAAACCAAGTGCTCAAAAAGATGTAGGACTGGAGCTCCCACAAAATACTGGTGAGAAATCAAAATGGTACAGCCATTTTGGAAAACAACTTGGCAGTTTCCTATACAGGTAAATATACACATATCATATGACACAGCAATTCTACTCCTAGTTATTTACAGAATACAAACGAAAATGTTTCCAACCAAATATCTGTAGCAAGAGAGTGACTTCAGCAAGAAGGCAGATTAGCAGTCCGTAAATGCTGTTCTCCCCACCCCCACAGAGCCAAAATAAATAAGCAAATACATTTTAATGCAAATAACTAAAGGAAAGCACCAGAATATGTCAAAGTAATAACAAAAACTCTGGTGAGCACAGAAACTCAGGATAGCCAAGCAGAGAATGGAACACCTGGTCTCCACAACCCCATCCCCCAGCCAAGATCAGCTGAAAACCAGAAGGAATTTCTCCGTATGTGGAAAAAGTGAGCAATAGCATACCAGCAGCGTACATCACCACCTTGGACACCTACAGTACTCACCACTGGGGTCCCCTACAGCCCTCACAGGCACTAAGCTTAGCTGACGGACCCGCCTGGAGTCCATACAGCTGTGCTCCTGAGGAAGGAGCTGACACTGTCCTGCCCCCAGTGGCCCATACAGCTACTGTGCTGTTATTTTGGAACGGCTGGAGTTCTGTCTGGTTCCATGGCACCTCTTCATCCCTGAGGATAAGCCATCACCATCCACCCCCACCTGGTGGCCCAACATCTACAAGCAGCTTTTCCACCTTCCCATGTAGGGCCATGCAGTGGGAGAGCTGCACCACCTACCCCTCAAGTCCCTATGCTAGGCTGTGTCCTGTCACCTTCGACTAGAGCTGAAGCTGTGCACTCCCTCCTGGGAAAACAATGCTCTGGCAGATGTGCAACATCCACCTCTCACTGTCTACCTCTCAGTCTACTTCTCCCAAAACTGCCCTGCTTCCAGGGACCTGAGCTGAAGCTGCACATTGCCTCCTGAGGAAAGGATGCCTTGGCGAAGCTCCTCCACCTACCCCTCCCAGATGCTGCTACATCCTGCCCCTCTAGGCCAGAGCTGAAGCAATGCCAGGCATCCTGGGAAAACAGTGCATTAACCATCCAGAGCAGTCACACCCCTCTGTACCTGAGCTGAAGCAGTACCTTGTCTCCTGGGAAAACAGTACTTTGGCCATCGAGAGCAGTCATGCCTCCCCAGTGCCTAAGTTTAAGCAGCACCCTACCTACCACCCTGCCTTCCAGGTAACAGTGTCTTGGCCATCCCAAGCAGACACACAGTCCAGTACCTAATCTGAAGCAGCTTCCTGCATCCCAGGAAAATGGTGCCTGGGCCAACCTAAGGTCACACACCCTAGACCTGAGCTGACGAGGCACATTACCCTCTGGGGATGCAGTGCCTTGCCTGAACTGAGTAGCTATGCAATACTGGGCTGAGCTGGCATGGGCCTTCACATTCCAGGGAAACAAAGCAGGGCATGAGATGAGACACCCCACACTACAGGCCAAACAACTCTAGTACTCACTTTAGGGAGCTAGCTGGATAACCAGCTGCCAGGGGGCAGGACTAACACCCTGAAGTATGGGCTGCTGAGACAGCTTTCTCCCTGGGGAGCTGAGTCATCACTGGGCTGCTCCCTATTGCCCAAGGCCCAAACAAAAACTGTGCTATGCCAGAAACCCAAGTTGCCAATGAGCCTGAATGGTTCAGGTTACCAAACTGCAGCTGTATTCTGTTTCCTTGGCCCAATACTCCAAAGCACCACTTCTTCCCTAGAGTTGGGCCTGTGCTGTGCCTGGCCGCCCAGAAACAAAAAGCTACAACCTGGCCCTTTGGGCCCAAGCTGCTAGGGAGTACATCAGAGTTACAGATCTTGGCTCTGTGGTAAACCTACCTCCAATTCTACCACATGGAGCAAATCTATAGCTCAAAACCCAGGTGCCACAATAGGTTCATCAGATGCTGAGCCTAGAACCCCAGACCCACAGCTGCCCTGAGCACCTGCACCTGGAACCCAGAGCCACTGTACCTGCCTATAGGCCATATCATACTTGACAGCAAGAAGTATCTTCATGGCTAAGTAACTTCATTGTGGGGCAAATGAAAATAGGAGGACTCCAAAAAAGCCCTTGCCATTAACAACCTATGCCATTACTGCTACAAACTTTTACAACCTAGGCCACTGAGGAAAACAAAGTTACTGCCAACATTAAATACTGTTGATAAAGCTGAACAAAGACTATACCATTTCACTTATCTGGAAACAGAGTTACTACACCCTTCTCAACTAGCACACTAAGGACCAAGTGCAGGTGAAAGCCTCTATGAAAGTGACTGTAGAAAAATGGGAAGACGCCATTGTTTCACCAGATGCACAGACATCAATGCAGGGACAATAGAAACATGAAAAGGCAAGGAAATGTGTCACCATGAAAGGAACACAATAACTTTCCGTTAACAAGCTAGAAGGAAATCTACCAATTACCAAAAAAGTAATTCAAAATAATGATCTTTTAAAAACTCAACAAGGCCAGGTGCAGTGACTCACACCTGTAATTCCAGCACTTTAGGACACCAAGGTGGGCGAGTCACTTGAGGTCAGGAGTTCAAGACCCGCCTGGCCAACATGGTGAAACCCTGTCTCTACTAAAAATACAAAAATTAACTGGGTGTGGTGGTGCACACCTGTAGTCCCAGCTACTTGGGAGGCTGAGGCAGGAGAATCACTTGAACTTGGAAGGCAAAGATTGTTGTGAGCCAAGATCACGCCACTGCACTCCAGCCTAGGTGACAGAGTGACACTCTGTCTCACAAACAAACAAACAAACAAAAAACCCTCAATAGGATACAAGATAATACAGAAAGATAATTCAATAAAATCAGAAAAACAATTCATAACATGAAAGAGAAATTTAAGAAAGAAATATTTTAAAATCACCAAACAGGAATCCTGCAGCTGAAGAATTTAATGTATAAAATATAAGGTACAATAGAGAGCATCAATAGCAAACTTACTCAAGCAAAGAAAGATAAAGAGTTTGTTTGGAATTACCAGTGAGAGAAGAATAAATAAGAATGACAAGGAGTGAAGAAAGCCTACCAGACTTATTAGATAACATCAAGGGAAAAAAATTTCATATTTTTAGAGTTCCAGAAGGCAAAGAGATGACAAAAGGCATAGAAAATATATTTAACAGGTCGGGTGCGGTGGCTCACACCTGTAATCCTAGCACTTTGGGAGGCTGAGGTGGGTGGATCACCTGAGGTCAGGAATTTGAGACCAGCTTGGGCAACATGGCGAAACCCCGTCTCTACCAAAAATACAAAAAATTAGCCAGGCATGGTGGTGGGTGCCTGTAATCCCAGCTACTCGGGAGGCTGAGGCAGGAGAATCACTTGAACCTGAGAGGCAGAGGTTGCAGTGAACCAAGATTGCACCGTTGCACTCCAGCCTGGGCAAGAAGGGTGAAAATGCCGTCTCAAAAAAAAAAGAAAAAAAGAAAAAAATATATATTTAATACAACTTTTTAAATAAAACAGGCCAGGCGTGGTGGCTCACGCCTGTAATCCCAGCACTTTGGGAGGCCAAGGCAGGTGGATCATGAGGTTAGGAGTTCAAGACCAGTCTGGCCAACATGGCGAAACCCCGTCTCTACTAAAAGTACGAAAAATTAGCTGGGTGTGGTGGTGTGCACCTGTAATCCCAGCTATTTGGGAGGCTGAGGCCAGAGAATCGCATGAACCCAGGAGGCGGAGGGTGCAGTAAGCCAAGACTGCGTCATTGCACTCCAGCCCGGGCGACAGTGCGAGACTCTGTCTCAAAAAAAAAAAAATTAAAAAAATAAAACATATTTAATGAAATTATAGCTGCTAAGGAGATCACAGCAAGATTAAAAATAAAAGAAAACGAAAAAGACAATGAAATAATAGCTAAAAACCTCCCAAGTCTTGCGAGAGATATGGACATTCAGATCCAGGAAGCTCAAAGATCCCCAAAAAGGTCACCTCCAAGGCACATTATATTTGAACTGACAAAAGTCAAAGACAAAGAGAAAAATCCAAAAGTACCAGTAGAAAAGCATCAAGTCATATATAAGGGAATCTTCATTAGAATAACAGCAGAAACCTCACAGGCCAGGAAAAAATGGGATGATATATCCAAATTTCTGAAAGAAAAGAAAAAATATCGGTCAAAAATACTATGCACAGCAAACCAATCCATCAGAAATTAGGTAGAAATAGCCAGCCACAGTGGCTCATGCCTATAATCCCAGTATTTTAGGATGCTGAGGCAGGCGAATTACTTGAGGTCAGGAGTTCAAGACCAGCCTGGCCAACATGGTGAAACCCCATCTCTACAAAAATACAAAAATTAACCAGGCATGGTGGCATGCGCCTGTAATCCCAGCTGCTCCAGAGGCTGAGACAGGAGAATCGCTTGAACCTGGGAGGTGGAGGCTGCAGTGAGCCAAGATCATGCCACTGCACTCCAGCATGGGCAAGAGAGTGAAACTCCACTTAAAAAAAAAAAAGAAAGAGAAAAATTAGGTAGAAATAAAGTGTGTCTCAGGCAAGCAAAAATTAAGGGAATTTATCACCACTACACCAGCCTTTCAAGAAATGATCAAGGGAATGCTATATCGGGAAATAAGAAGACAATAATCACCATTATGTAACCACATAAAAGTATAAGACTCACTGGTAGAGCAGATAGGCAAAGAAAAAAGAGAAAAAAAAAATCAAATCTTATCACTACAGAAAACCACCAAAATACAATGATAAAAAATAAGAGATGAAGAAAAGAACAAAGGATATACAAAACATTCTGAAAACCACAAAATGAAAGGAGTCTTCACTTAAAAATAATAACCTTGAGGTAAACAGATTAAATTCCTACCTTAAAAGATATATACTAAATGGGTTTTTAAAATGACCCAACTATATGCTACCTATAAGAAACTCACTTCACCTCTAAAGACACAAATATGGCCAGGCGCAGTGACTCACACCTGTAATCCCAGCACTTTGGGAGGCTGAGGCGGGTGGATCACCTGAGGTCAGTTCGAGACCAGCCTGGCCAACATAGTGAAACCCCATCTCTACTAAAAATACAAAAATTAGCCGGGTGTGGTGGCGCACACCTGTAGTCCCAGCTACTCGGGAGGGTGAGGCAGGAGAAATGCTTAAACCCAGGAGTCAGAGGTTGCAGTGAGCCAAGATAGCACCACTGCACTCCAGCCTGGGTGACAGAGCGAGACTATGTCTGGAAAAAAAAAAAAAAAAAAAAGACACAGACTGAAAGCGAAGGAATAGAATATATTCCATGCAAATGGAAACCAAAAGCAAGCAGGAGTAGCTATACATTTTTTTTCTTTTTTCTTTTCTTTTTTTTTTTTTTTTACCACAATCATGACTATATAAGGAGTAGCTATACTTACGATAAGAGACTTTGTATCAAACACAGTAGGGATGAAATCAGGAAGAGGATACAAAAATTGTAAATATATATGCACCCAATATCAGAGCACCCAGATATGTAAGGCAAATATTATTAGATCTAAAGGGGAAGACAATACAATAATACAATAATACTTGTGGACTTCAACACCCTACTTTCAGCAATGGACAGATCATATACATAGAAAATCAACAAAGAAACACCAAGTTTAAACTGACTTTAGACCAAATGGACTTAAAAGACACTAACAGATCTTTTCATCCAACAGCTACAGAATACATATTTTTTTTCATAAGCACATGCAATATTTTCAAGGAGAGGCCACATGTTAAACCACAAAACAAATCACAAAAATTAAAAGAATTAAAATCACATCAAGTACCTTTCTGACCACAATGAAATAAACCTAGAAATCAATAACAAGAGGAACTTTTAAAGCAGCACAAATAAATGGAAATTAAATAACATGATTCTGAATGACCAATGGGTAATGAAGAAATTAAGAAACAAAATTTAAATGTCTTAAAATGAGTGAAAACAGAAACACAACATATAAAAATGTATGGGATGCAGCAAGAGCAGTTTTAAGAGGGAAGTATTTAGTAATAAACACCTACATCAAAAACAAGAAAGATCTGGCTGGGCATGGTGGCTCACACCTGTAATCCCAGTGCTTTGGGAGCGCAAGGCAGGAGGACGACTTGATGCTGGGTCAAGACCAGCCTGGGCCATATATATAGCAAGACCTTATCTCTAAAAAAAAAAAAAAAAAAAAAAAAAAAAAAAAAAAAAAGATTAGCTGGTCATGATAGCGCATACCAGTAGTCCTAGCTATTCTGGAGGCAGAGGTGGGAGAACTGCTTGAGCCCAAGAATTCAAAACTGAGGTGTGAGGATCACTTGAGCCCAGGAGTTTGAGTTGATTGTACCATTACACTCCAGCCTACGTAACACAGTAAGACCCTGTCTCTTAAAAAAAGAAAAAAAGAAAAAAGAAAAATCTAACAATGCTTCTCAAGGAACTAGAAAAGAACACATCAGACCCAAAATTACAAGGAAAGAATTAATAAAGATCAGAAGAGTAATAAATAAAACTGAGACTTAAAAAAAAATTCAAAGGATCAACAAAATGAAAAGTTCATTTTTTGAAAAGAAACCATTAGACTAACCAAGAGAAAAGACTCAAAATCAAACACATACAAAAATGACACTGCAACTGATACCACAAAAATACAGAGTCATTAGAGACTATTATGAACAACTACAAACCAAAAAGTTGGAAAACCTACAGAAAATAAATTCCTAGACACATACAACCCATCAGGATTGAACCTAGAAGAAACAGAAAATTTCAATTGACCAATTCTGAGTAACAAGATTTAAGCAGTAATAAAAAGTCACCCATCAAAGGAAAGTCCATGATCTCATGGCTTCACTGCTGAATTCTACCAAACATTTTAGGGGAATTAAATATGAATTCTTCTCAAACTTTCCCAGAATAATGAAGAGGAGGGAATTATTCTAAACTCACTCCACAAGCCAGCATTACCATGACACAAGCACCAGATAAGGACACACACATGCAAAAGAAAACTACAGGCCAATATTCCTGATGAACATAAATGCAAAACTCCTCAACAAAATACTAGCCAACCAAATCCAAAAGTACATCAAAAAGATTGTTTACCATGACCAAGTGGAATTCATTCTAGGGATGCAAGAATGGGTTCAACATACACAAAACAATAAACATGATAAATCAACAGAATGAAGAACAAAAAATGTGATTATCTCCATAGGTGGAGAAAAAGCCTCTGGTAACATTCAATATCCCCTCATGATGAAAACTCTTAACAAATTACACATAATAATAGAAAGAATGGGCCGGCCGCGGTGGCTTACACCTGTAATCCCAGCACTTTGGGAGGCCGAGGCGGGCGGATCACGAGGTCAGGAGATCAAGATCATCCTGGCTAACATGGTGAAAACCCATCTCTACTAAAAATACAAAAAATTAGCCAGGCATGGTGGTGGGCACCTGTAGTTCCAGCTACTTGGGAGGCTGAGGCAGGAGAATGGTGTGAACCCAGAAGGCGGAGCTTGCAGTGAGCTGAGATCATGCCACTGCACTCCAGCTGGGCGACAGAGCGAGACTCCATCTCAAAAAAAAAATTAAAAAAAATTATAATAATAATAGAAAGAACGTACCTCAACATAATAAAGGTAATAAGTAACATACCCACAGCTAACATCATGCATAATGGGAAAGTGCTGAAAGCTTTCTCTCTATAATCTGAAACAAAACAAGTATGCCCACTTTCACACCTTTTAACAAAGTACAAAAGGTCTGAGACAGAGTAATCAGGCAAGACAAAGAAATAAAGGGCATGCAGATCAGGAAGCATGAAGTCAAATTATCCCTGTATGCACATGACAGGATCAAATATATAGAAAACCCTAAACTCCAAAAGTGGCACCAAAAAAATCTTAGGACTGATAAATTCACTGAACTTGCAGGATATAAAATCAACATGCAAAAATCAGCAGCATTTCTATACACCAACAATGAATTAGCTGAAAAAGAAATCAAGAAAGCCATCCCATTTACAATACTTCAACAAAAATAAAATAAGAATACATGGAAAACTATATAACACTGATGAAGTAAATCAAAGAGGACACACATAAAAAAGGAAAAACATCCCATGGTCATGGATTAGAATGGTTACTATAAAAATGAACATACTTTCCTGTAAGAGATAGCTTATGAAAAAAAATGAACATACTACCTCAAGTGATCTACAGATTCAATGCACTCTTAACAAAATACCAATGACATTTTTCACAGAAATAGAAATAGTAATCCTAAAATTCATGATATCACAGAAGATACTGAATATCCAAAGCAATCCTAAGCAAAAAGAACAAAATGGGAGTCATCACACTACCTGACCTTGAAATATACTACAAAGTGATGGTAACCAAAACAGCATGGTTCAGGTATTTTTTAAAAACCACACAAACCAATGGAACAAAACAGAGAGCCCAGGAATAAATCCCATTTACAGCCAACTGATTTCTAACAAAGGCACAAAGAACATTCACTGGGAAAAGGACAGTCTCTTCAATAAATGGTGCTGGGACACTGGATATTCATATGCAGAAGAATGAAAGTAGACTCATCTCTCACCATACACAAAAATCAACTCAAAACACCAAGTATGCTGGCTCATACCTGTAATCTTAGCTACTCAGAAGGCTGAGTTGTGGCTCACTTGAGTCCAGGAGTTCAGGACCAAGCTGGGCAATGTGGTGAGACTATGTCTCTAAAAAATAATTAAAAAGCAAAAACAAAAATTGGGAATGTATTTTTAGGGCAATTTGAATCTATGCTCTCAGGATAATCAACTCAAAATGGTTTGAAAGCTTAAATGTAAGAGCAAAAACTATGAAACTACAGAAGAAAACATAGGGGAAATGCTTCTGGATATTGGTCTGGGCAAGGATTTTATGAATACCTGAAAATCAAGGTAACAAAAGCACAAATAAACAAAGGGATTATATTAAACTAAAAAACTTCTGCACAGCAAAGGAAACAACAGAATGAAGAGACAACTAGTAGAGTGGGATAAAATATTTGCAAACTATTCATCTGAAAGGGATTAATATCCAGAATATAAAAGGAACTCAATAGCAAAAAAAATAAAAATAAAAAATCTGATTTTAAAATGGGTAAATAAGGTGAATAGACATCCCTCAAAAGGAGACATACAAATGGCCAAGTATATGAAAAAATGCTCAACATCACTAATCAGGGAAATGCAAATCAAAACCACAATGAGATATAATTTCACCTCAGTTAGGATGGCTATTACCAAAGATAAAAAATAAAAAATGCTGCTGAGAACATGGAAAAGGGGGAACTCTTATATATGGCTGGTAGGAATGCTAATTAGTATAGCCATATGGAAAACAGTATGAATGTTCCTCAAAAATCTAAAACTATAGCCAGGCACGGTGGTGTGTGCCTGTAGTCCCAGCTACTCAGGAGGCTGAGGTGCAGGACTGCTTGAGCCCAGGAGTCTGAGACCAGCCTGAATAACACAGCAAGACCCCATTTTAAAAAATGAAAAATAAACAAAAGTTAAAAATACAACTACCATATGATCCACTGGTAATGATCTATACCACTACTGGGCATATATGCAAAAACAAATATATCTATACGTCAAAGAGAGATCTACACTCCTATGTTTATTGAAGCACTATTCATAATAGCTAAGAAATCAGTCTAAGTGTCCATTATCAGATGAATGAAGAAAGAAAACATGGCATATATACACAATGGAATACTACTCAGCCATGAAAAATAAACCTGTCATTCACAGCAACATGAATGAGCTTGAAAGACATTAAGTGAAATAAGCTAGACACAGAAAGAGAAATACTCCATGTTTCTACTCATATGCAAGCATAAAAGGTTGAGAATGGTGGTAACCAGAGGCTGGGAAGGACAGCAGAGAGGCAGATAGAGATTGGTTAACAAATACAAAATTACAGCAAGTAAGATTCCATTTGAATAAGTTGTAGTGTTCTGTGGCACTGCAGAATGAGTACAATTGGCAATAATACATTTTATATTTTCAAATAGCTAGAAAAGCAGACTGTGAATGTTTCTAAACACAAAGAAATGATAAATGATTGAGATGGATATGCTAATTACCCTGATTTGATCATTACTCTTAGCACACATGTATTGAAATATCACACCAAACCCCATAAACATTGTCAATTAAAAACAATAAAAGAAACAAAAAGAATACCAAAAGAGAAATTCCAAAATATTCTGATTAAACATATTAATTACTACGACTGGACTCAATCCATGGTGACAACTACCTGCATATACATATGCAGGTTCACCTGTTAAAATTCCAGTCACTTTATGTATAGTCAGCCTTCACACAATCTTCTGTAAGACTGAAAAATGAGATTCCTTCTCTGTGTTTATTTTCTGAGTTTATCATAATCTTTTAACTTACTTTAGCTACATGTCTTATTTCATTTTTGGTTCCAAATTGACCTCTAGAAAATTGTTGAGGTGAATTTTGAACTATTTACTCTCTCTAAAGAGCAGTAAAAAAGCTGAGAAACCACAATCAGAGGGAAGAATTAGGACTCCCTGGATTACATTATGTACAAACAGCTACAATATCATCTCCATCCTACAGAAAAATAAAGAAGAAATTGACAAGTAGATCCAGATCAAGAAAAAAGTATGGTACTGGGTGGTTAAAGACACACGGAGAAACAATTTTTTTAAAAAAGTCAAAGCGTCTGAAGTGTGCAGTAAAATGTGCCCATTCATATGTACATCCTTTATCTCCTTAAATGTAAAAGTATTTCATAACTCAAGCCTCCATCTTTCTCATAAAGATATATGCTTCTGCTCCTCAAGAGTGGAGACAATGCTGTGGAACAAAGCAGGCTTTCACAAAATGTTTTCAAACAAACCGTTTGTCTACAGCACTGGACAGCAGTGAATGTATACACAGGGAAAATAAAGGGGATGAGGCCCTTTTGTTTCTGAAACATTTCCCTCTCCCAAATAAAATAAGGAGGGGATGACAAATTGCCATGGGCTTGTCAGGGAAGTCTGAAAGAAGCTGTGCTTCCATTTCTTTCTCTTCCCTATGACTCCTCCTCCTTTGTTTGAATGTCCCTGAGATAACATTTCACTGTAAACTAATAAGAAAGATGTGGCTGAAGGTTTTCCTAAGTGCACAGTAACCACTGGGTCTCTTTCATGGGTGAATTATCAGATGTAGAATAAGACTCTTGGCTGTGTCAATTTCTAACATAATTGTTTAGATGACAAATGATGATCTAAAACAGGTTTTCCCACAGAGATGATACTTATGGAGTTTCTCTTCAGTATGAATGACCAGATGGTAAGATGTTTCCTCTCACCACAGATTTTCTTCAGTGGTTATATTAAAAAACTATTTCGCTAATAGGAATTCTTGGATGTTGACTGAAGTGTACGTAAAAAGTCTTTCCACATCTGTTACAATGGTAGGGTTTCTTCCACTATGAATCCGTTGATGTCGAGTGAGGAGGAATGAGCGGCAATTGAAGGCGTTTCCATATTCACTGCACTCACTGGGCTACTCTCAGTGTGGATGATGGAGTGTTGAATGAGATCTGTGCTCTCACAAGAAACGTTCCCACTCTGGATGGGTTCGTGGGACTTCTCTGCAGTGTGAATCCGCTGGTGCCTTGTGAGGGGTGACCTGCGGTTGAAGGCCTTCCCGCACTCCACGCATTCATAGGGCTTCTCTCCAGTGTGGATGCTAAAGTGTCGAATCAGGTTTGTGGTCCGACAAAAGGCTTTCCCACATTGGATGCATACATACGGCTTCTCTCCAGTATGAATCCACTGGTGCCTTGTGAGCCCTGACATGCGGGTAAAAGCCTTTCCACACTGTAAACACTCATAGGGCTTCTCTCCAGTGTGGATGTTGAAGTGTCGAATGAGGTCTTTTCGAATGCTAAAGGCTTTCCCACATTCTTTGCACTCAAAAGGCTTTTCTCCAGTGTGGGCTCTTTCATGCAGGACATAGGTGGAATAGTGAGTGAAGGCCTTTCCACATTGACTGCACACAAAGGGCTTCTCACCAGTGTGAATCCGCTCATGCTGCTTGAGGTGTGACCTGCAGTTGAAGGCCTTCCCACACTCAAGGCACTTAAAGGGCCTCTCCCCAGTATGGATAATGAAGTGTTGAATGAGGGCTGTACTCTCATAAAAGCCTTTTCCACATTCGCTGCATGCGAAGGGTTTCTTCTCATTGTGGCTCTTGTTATGCAAGACAAAATTGGAGCGGTAGGTAAAGGCCTTTCCACATTCATTGCACACAAAAGGCTTCTCTCCACTGTGAACCCGCTGGTGCCGTGTAAGGTGCGACCCGCGATTGAAGGTCCTTCCACATTCACTGCACACAAAGGGCTTATCTCCATTGTGAGTCCGCTGGTGCCGTGTGAGGTGTGACCTGCGGTTGAAGTCTTTCCCACACTCCAGGCATTTATAGGGCTTCTCCCCAGTATGGATGATGTGATGCTGAAGGAGGTGTTTGCTCTTGCCGAAGGCTTTCCCACATTCTGGGCAATCATAGGGCTTCACACGAGGGAGAATCTGCTCATGCTGAACAAGGAAGCAATTCTCATTAAACATTTCCTCGAATTTATAGGAATTTTCCCCTTCATGAATCAAGGAATCTGTAACTGGTCCATATGAGTCAAATCCATAGAGAGCATCTTCTGGTGAGACTTGGTTCTGTATCATCATTGAACAAATACCATCAGCTGTCGCCAAACCTTCGTGTTCAAGGCTCATTTTCCCATGGAGTTTCTCACTCTGTGGGTCTGTCCCTGGTCTCAAAAAGTATTCCTGCATTTCAGATGGCCCATCTTGATCCATGGCCTGCCCCAAATAGGAGTATCTTGGGACTCCCTGTGCCAGCTGTTCCTGGAGTGAGACTTCCTCAGGCAAGGCCAGATGAGAAGGGATAGGCTCTACGGTCTCAGGTTTTGTGCTGTCACCTGAAGGGAACACAATACACAAAAGAACTTATTAAGATAGTACAGAAGAAATGAAACCACCTTTTTGGTGAGAACAATAAGATGAAAATAGTGATGATTTGAAAATAGCTATGATTTGATGGGCTGGGTACAGTGGCTCATCCCTGTAATCCCAGCACTTTGGGAGGCCAAGGCAGGCGGATCACTTGAGGTCAGGAGTTTGAGACCAGCCTGGCCAACATGGTGAAACCCCATATCTACTAAAAATACAAAAATTAGCCAGGCATGGTGGCGGGCGGCTATAATCCCAGCGACTGGGGAGGCTGAGACAGGAGAATCGCTTGAACCTGGGAGGTGGAGGCTGCAGTGAGTCAAGACTGAGCCACCGCACTCCAGCCTAGGTGACAGAGGGAAACCCATCTCAAAAAAAGGCCAGGCATGGTGGCTCATGCCTGTAATCCCAGCACTTTGGTTTGGGAGGCTGAGGCGGATCACCCGGGATCTGCCCACCTCAGCTTCCAAGGTAGCTGGACTACAGGCATATGCTACCACGCTTGGCTTTTTTTTGTTTATTTTTTTTTAGATGGAATTTCACTCTGTTGCCTAGGCTGGAGTGCAGTGGCATGATCTCAGCTCACTGCAACTTCTGCCTCCTGGGTTCAAGCAATTCTCCTGAATCAGCCTCCCAAGTGGCTGGGATTACAGGTGTGCGCCACCATGCTGGGCTAATTTTTTTGTATTTTTACAGATGAGGTCTCACCATGTTGGCCAGACTGGTCTAGAACCCCTGAACTCAGGTGATCTGCCTGCCTCGGCCTTCCAAAATGCTAGAATTACAGGTGTGAGCCACCCCGCCTGGCTAAATTTTTTGTATTTTTAAAATAGAGATGGGGTTTCACCATGTTGCCCAAGCTGGTCTCGAACTCCTGGGCTCAAGTAATCCGCCCACCTCTGCCTCCAAAGTGCTGGGATTACAGGCGTGACCCACCGTGCCTGGCCAACTCTTGAAATTTTTAAAGAGAAACCCAGAGGGAGAAGCTCAAGCAGAGTACAGATGGTCTGGAATAGAGATCCCCACTCACAGTCAAGATGAGACTAGGTGGACATCATAATGATGACACTCTATCATAAGCTTGCTCAAGAACATGTCAAGGAGCTACAAGAGGCCAGGGAAGGGGCACTTAATGTAGCCTAGAAGGGGCAGGGACAGGAAGAGGTCAAGGAGGCTTCCCAGAGAGGATGCTTCATGAGCTTAAAGTTAGAAGGACATATTAGCCTTAGGACATAGAATATACAAAGACACAGAGTCTTCAGCGAATCCAGAGGACTGCAGTGAGAGGAGGCAGCCCCATAAGAAGTTAAGGTTGATCAGGATTCAGAGACAGGAAGGGGCGGAGACGAAGCTGATGCTCAAGATTCTGCCTGAGGGACAGCTAGTGATGGCCACAGCTACTCTTAGGACAGAGCTCCTAGGACAGAGGGTGAACAGAATCCTGGTAGACATATAGAATCCACTGTCAAGGTGAAAGGTAGGCGAAAAGGCTAACAAACAACTGGATCTTGAAAAAGAAAATAATAAAACTTTATTTCAAGACAATAAAGATCTAACTGAATGAAGAAATTGATAATATAAAATTATCAATTCTCTAAAAACTGATCCAGAAATTCAATACAACCCTGAGAAACAATAACCTGAAAATACTAGAAAAAGACACAATCTGAAAGGTACTGCCTGTAATCCTGGCTACTCGGGAAGCTGAGCCCAGGAGTTCGAGACCAGCCTGGGCAACATAGCCAGATCCATCTCTTAAAAAAAAAAAAAAAGTAATAATAATAAATAAAAAGAATGTGTGGATTAGCCTTGGAGAGTATGTAAGAGTAAAAAGGATGGGCTATGAGATAACTGATGAAGCCAACATAAAAGTGAAGATCAGAGTAAAAAGAGAACCAAAGCCCAGTGAGAACAGAGAAAGAGAATCTAAGACGGCCCAATGCTCAAGCACAAAATATGAAAACTCTGTGCTGAATCGTGAGTTCATATTGAAGGGAGGTTAAGAGTGTAGCTCTGGAGTCAGAACATCTCAGTTCAAATCTTGCCTGTACCAAGTCAGCTGATGCCAGAGAAATGATTTAGTTGATCCTAGTCTCCACTTCCTCATCTGAAAAACAGAAACTCTCAGATTCTGTTTCATAGGCTGTGATGAGGGTTAAATAGGAAAATTCTTGGCTGGGCACGGTGGCTCATGCCTGTAATCCCGTTACATTTGGGAGACTAAGGCAGAAGAATTGCTTGAGGCCCAGAGTTCAAGAGTAGCCTGGGCAATATAGCAATATCCCATCTCTACAAAAAAATTAATAAATTAGCCGGACGTTGTAGCATGAGCCTGTAGTTCCAGCTACTCTGTAGGAGAACTGCTTGAGCCCAGGAGTTTGAGGCTACAGTGAGCTATGATGGTGCCACTGCGCTCCAGCCTGGGCGACAGAGGAAGACCCTGTCTCTTAAAAAAGGGGAAAATTTCTATAAAGCACTTGGCACAGTGCTAGACACTACATAAGAGATCGGTAAATTGTGGGCCATCATCAGTTATCATTATGGTCACTGTTGTATTTGAAAATTAGGAATGAAAGGAGTGACCTTACAATGGTTTCTGTGCTGTGATATAGAGAAACCTACCACAGGGACTCAAACAGTAAAATGAAATGATGGTTTTTTTTGTTTGTTTGTTTTTTTGAGATGGGGTCTCGCTCTGTCGTCCAGTCTGGAGTACAGTGGTGTGATCTTGGCTCACTGCAACCTCCACCTCCCAGGTTCAAGCAATTCTCCTACCTCAGCCTCCTGAGTAGCTCAGATGATAGGCACCTGCCACCACACCTAGCTAATTTTTAAATTTTTAGTAGAAATGGGGTTTCACCATGATGGCCAGGCTGATAACTCCTGACCTCAAGTGATCCGCCCGCCTAGACCTCCCAAAGGGGAATGATGTTATCAAGTGATTATGAAGATGTGGAGCAATGGAAACTTTCACATGTCCATGGTCAGAAAGTGAAATGGTACATTCTGCAGAACTGCTGGGCAGTTTCTTTTAAAGCTGAACACACCCACACAGTGTGGCTCATGCCTATAATCCCAGCACTTTAGGAGGCCAAGGAGGGAAGATCAGTGCAGGCCAGGAGTTCAAGATGAGCCTGGGCAACATAGTGAGACTCCATTTCTACAAAAAATAATAAAGAAAAAAAGAAAGCTGAATATACAACCTACTCCATGACCTGATATGTACACACGAGTATATTCTAACAGAATTTACTGTTAACACACAATTCAGAAATCAGTATTTACATCCACCAGAAAATATGAACAATAATACTCTCAGCAACATATCCAAAACCTGAAAACAACAGGAACATCCATCAGCAGGGTAATGGACAAATGGATGGCAGTTTCACATACAATGAGAAACTACAACATATTGAGAATGAACCAACTCCGACTGTATATAAACACCTCAAAAGAATAACACAGACATGATGATCAAAAGAAGACAGATATGTCAGAGAGCACACTGTGCAGTTCAACAACAGCCAACCAATCTGTGCTGATGAAGTCTAAATATGAGCTAATAGAATCAAAGAAGCTATCGAGGGCATAAAACCCTGATGAGGAGCTGGAGATAGCCTATGTATTGATGTAGGTGGTAGTTACTTGGGTTTATACATAAGCAAAAATTCAGTGAGTGGACTTTTTTTTTTTTTTTTTTTTGAGACAGAGTCTCCTTCTTCGCCCAGACTGGAGTGCAGTGGCACGATCTCGGCTCACTGCAACCTCTGCCTCCTGAGTTCAAGCGATTCGCCTGCCTCAGCCTCCCGAGTAGCTGGGATTACAGGTGTGTACCGCCACGCCTGGCTAATTGTTTTGTATTTTTAGTAGAGACGGGGTTTCGCCATGTTGGCCAGGCTGGTCTCAAACTCCTGACCTCAGGAGATCCACCCGCCTCAGCCTCCCAAAGTGCTGGGATTACAGGTGTGAGCCACCACTCCTGGCCTGGACTTCTTAGGATTTTTGCACAACACAGCATATGAGTTATAGCTTATTCAAAAAGTAAAAAAAGATGGAGTCTTATTATGATGCCAAGCCTAGTCTCGAACTCCTGGCCTGAAGCAATCCTCCCATCTCAGCCTCCGGAGTAGCTGGGATTAGAGGCATCTGGCTTCCATTTTAGTGTTATTAATTGACTTGACTGCATTATTGTTGTATCTCAGAGAATATGGAAGCCCAAGGAGAGAGACAGAGAGGGAATGGCCAGTAAGTGGAGCAGTCAGAACACACATAACATTTATTGATAAAGCTGTCTTACATGGTGCAGTTCATGGTGCCCCATAGCAATTACAATAGTAACATCAAACACCACTGATCGCAGACCACCACAGTAGATATAATATTAATAAAAATATTTGAAATACTGCAAGAATTACCAAAACGTGACACAGACAAAAAGTGAGCACATGCTGTTGGAAAAATGGTGCGGGACAGACTTGCTCAATTCAGGGTTGCCACAAACATTCAACTTCTAAAAATACAGTAACTGCAAGGTGCAGTAAAGCAAAGTACAATGAAACAAACGTATGCCTTTTTTGGCACATATTGTCCCATTTTACCCATGAGAAAATTGAGGCACTTTTCTGCACTGGCATGGGTATAAAGAAATAAAAAATTCTAAAAAGAAAATTAAGGCACAGAGGAGTTCAGTACTTTGCCCAGGAACACACAGCTGACAAAAAGTAGAGCTGGAATTGGACTCTGAGGCATCAGACCTTGGTCTCCCAAGTGCTGTGCTCAGAGGAAATGAAGAACACCCCCGTGTGGTGCCAGGAGTCTCAAAACAAGGAGGCCATAAAGAATGGGAGACATGAGTGGAAGAACTCAATCCTAAGGGAACAGGGCAGCAGAGTGAGGGGTAGACGTGGTGACTCCACGCTTCGACATTTCATGAACCACTGAAAAATAAAAAACTGGGAGGGAACTCCAAATAGCGATTTGGCCACATATAGACGTTTGCACAAACATCAAAATCAACACATCACAAAAGAAAGAACCTTTACCAAGAAAAAAAATGCAACGAACAGCATCTCACAATGAAGGTTTATCTCTTAAACTGAATTAATTAAGTTTCTGAGGTGTTCATTGCAATGGCCCTATTATCCTTACTCACTGACGATGGGGATGCTGGGAGAATTAAGTGAGAAGAGTATCAACAGAGAGACAACAAAAATATGCAGGAAGTAGTAGTGCCAAGGAATGTGTGAGCCTCAGAGAACAAGACTAGACGGTCACTTCGTTCCACACAATAGCTGAGCCAGAAAAAGCCATTATAAAAAGACAGTGACAGGAGCAGACCCATAAAGGGAAGCCAGCACCAGACAACCAGTATTAGTGCCACAGGGGGGCCTGGCTGCAAATCCTGCCTTTGGGTTCTACAAAACATCCCATTTCCTGGTAACACATCCCTCTCCTTTGGCTGTGACCAAAAGCAAACTATATTTCGTAGCCAACCCTTTCTAAGTAAGACACAAAGAGATCAGGAAGAATAAGGTGAGTCAAAAAAATGAGGCTGGGCGTGGTAGCTCATGCCTGTAATCCCAGCACTTTGAGAGGCTGAGGTGGGTGGATCACTTGAGGTCGGGAGTTTGAGAACAGCCTGACCAACATGGAGAAACCCCTTCTCTACTAAAAATACAAAATTAGCTGGGCATGGGAGCACATGCCTGTAATCCCAGCTACTCTGGAGGCTGAGGCAGGAGAATCACTTGAATCGGGGAGACGGAGGTTGTGGTGAGCCAAGGTCACGCCATTTCACTCCAGCCTGGGCAACAAGAGCGAAACTCTGTCTCCAAAAAAAAAAAAAAAAAAATAGAGTAAAGCTTTGGGAAACAGGAGGGCTGGCTCCCAAGACCTATTCCACTAGCCAGGCCTGGAGCCAGGATGAAGGCTAGAATGAAGCTGCTTTCTGGTGCCCCTGATTTTGGAGAGGAGAGGACAGGCCTTACCCAGTGCGACCAGAAGCCCACAGGTCTCCAGCATCACCTCCACGTACAAGGCCCTCTGGGTCACGTCCAACTGCCCCCACTCCTCCTGGGTAAATGTCACAGCCACATCCTCGAAGGTCACAGACTCCTGAAAAGTCAAAAAGAACCAGTAATGTTTCCTTTGCAACTGTGGAATAGGATTAGAACCTGTCACTCCAGCACTGCAAAAGATGCACAGAGAATCAAAGGCCAAATCACCAAGCACCTCCAAAGGGCCAAGATCTGTGCTAGGATCAAGGGGAATGTGGACACTGCCTTGCATGGATTACAGCAGTGAAGAGGAGACAGAAGCGGCTGAGGCAGGAGAACTGCTTGAACCTGGGAGGCGGAGATTGCAGTGAGCTGAGATCGTGCCACTGCACTCCAGCCTGGCAACAGAGCAAGACTCTGTCTCAAAAAAAAATAAATAAATAAATAAAAAATAAATAAATAAATAAATAAATAAAGCCTCCTAGGCAGGAAGCCACTTGAACTTAACACAGAAATAAGGTTAGGACAATCCCAAGTGGACTGAGAGGCACAGACAGTAAGTGCTCTGACATATTAGAGGAATGGGAAATAATAATAATAAAAACATCACCACCAGCAACAATAACAGGAACAGTATCTGAGTCTTACCAATCCTCCCTGTGTGCCTGCCTCATGCTGACAGGTTTACATGCCATGGTAAAGTGACTGAAACTCCCCAGCTCAGGAGCCAGACTCCTGAGGTTTAAAACCAAATTCCTGAAATCAACGTGTGCCTGCTATGTGACCTTGGGGACCTCATTTCATTTCGCCGAGCCTCCATTTCCAGGTCAATATAACCGTGTTTCCCACTTCATCAAGAATAGTCAAGGCTGGGCACGGTGGTTCATGCCTGTAATCCCAGCACTCTGGGAGGCTGAGGCACATGAATTACCTGAGGTCAGGAATTCGAGACAAGCCTGGCCAACATGGTGAGACCCCATCTCTACTAAAAATACAAAAATTAGCCAGGTGTGGTGGCACAAGCCTGCAATCCCAGCTACTAGGGAGGCTGAGGCAGGAGAATCGCTTGAACCTGGGAGGCAGAGGTTGCAGTAAGCCAAGACTGTGTCACTGTACTCCAGAACAGAGCGAGCCTCTGTCTCAAAAAAAAAAAAAAAAAAAAAAAAGAATAGTCAAAAGAACTAAAGAAAAACTGTTTGTAGGCTGGGCACGGTGACTCATGCCTGTAATCCCAGCAGTTTCGGAGGCTGAGGTGAGCAGATCATGAGGTCAGGAAATTGAGACCATCCTGGCTAGCAAGGTGAAACCCCATCTCTACTAAAAATACAAAAATTAGCTGGGTGTGGTAGTGTGTGCCTGTAGTCCTAGCTACTCGGGAGGCTGAAGCAGGAGAATCGCTTGAACGTCGGAGGCGATGGTTGCAGTGAGCCGAGATCGCACCACTGAACTCCAGCCTGGCAACAGAGCTAGACTCCATCAAAACAAAGAAAGAAAGAAAAACTGTTTGTAAAAAAAAAAAAAAACAAACAAACACTGAGGCAAAGGCCACAGCATCTGAATTTACCATCATCATCTCTATGTCACACTCAGGGACCTGAGACCTGGGCCTCAGTCCTACCCTCCGCTCTACCAGTCTACCCAAAGTCTCATGTGTTCATGTCTCTCTCTTTTTTTTTTTTTTAGATGGTCTCACTCTGTCACCCAGGCTGGAATGCAGTGGCACAATGTCGGCTCACTGCAACCCTGACCTCCTGTGATCTAGTGATCCTCCCACCTCAGCCTCCTGCACAGCTGGGACTACAGGCACATGATGCCATGCCGGTCTAATTTTTTGTACTTTTTGTAGAGACAGGGTTTTCCCATGTTGCCCAGGCTGGTCTTGAACTCCTGGGCTCAAGCAGTCCACCTACCTCAGCCTCCCAAAGTGCAGGGTTTACAGGTGTGAGCCACCAAGCCCAGCCCAAAGTCACAGGTCTTATCAACAGAGGCAGGATTTAAGCCCAGGGCCCTCTGGTCTGATTATGTAACCTGACATTTCTCTATTAGCAAAGTTAATGCAGTTAATGAGAATGAAGCATTTCAAATCCACATATACATTTCAGCCACTCCCATGGACAAGGGCAGAGAAGTGTAGTCATCATCATCCACCTCACCAAAGAATCACCTGACGTGGTGACACCTGATCAGGTGTTAGGGCCTGGACCTGCTTCCAGGGAGAATTCACAATGAGCCATCGCTTCCTTTTCTACCTAAGTCCTACTAGCAGGCATCCCTGAGGCCAGAAGATTCCATGAGCAAGCAACAAGAGTCATAGAGGGCACAGCAGGTTGTAGCCAAGACAATATGGGCCCATCTGGAGATTACATCTATCCTGGCTGAGTAGGAGGGTACATTCAGCAACATAACCATACAAACGTGCCCTCTCAGAATATGTCAGCAGGTAAGGGAGTAAGGGGAACCACATATAAAACCACCGTGGAAGCCACACAGGTCCCCTGAGAACTCCTTAAACAACCAATATACCATTTTTTAAGTCTACACAGTTCCACCAGTATGAAAGGCCATGACTCCTCATGCCCAAGATCACTGGCTAGAAGGAGGCCTCATCTTGCAAAGGTTACTTTAGGTCTCACCCCCAGGCCTCCCTAACCACTGCGGGTAAAGAAGAGGGTAAAAACACAGGCTATGATGTTAGACACACCAGTTGTTAGTTTCTGACTTAAGAAACTTAAGAGCTACAGTGATGTAAGGCAGGTAATTGGACGTATGTGACCCTCAAATTGCTCTTGTGTAAAACAATGATGACAACAGAACCTAATTCTAAAGAGTAATCCCAGCACTTTGGGAGACCCAGATGGGTGGATCACCTGAGGTCAGGAGTTCAAGACCAGCGTGGCCAACACGGTAAAACCCCGTCTCTACTAAAAATACAAAAATTAGCCAGGCGTGGTGGCGCACACCTGTAGTCCCAGCTACTCAGGAGGCTGAGGCAGGAGAATCGCTTGAACCCAAAAGGCGGAGGTTGCAGTGAGCCGAGGTCACGCCACTGCACTCCAGCCTGGGCGACAGAACAAGACTCCGTCTCAAAAAAAAAAAAAAAAAAAAAAAAAAATTTCAGGGTTAAACGAACTGAGGGTTAAATAATACTCACCGATCAGCCCACAGCAAGGACTCAATGACAGTTAATATCATTCTTTGCAATTATTTTTCTTTGTTCCCATTACATCCTTGACAAACTCAAATCCACAAGCTTCTTTAATACCATCAGATTATCTACACAAAAATACCAGACTCTGGGCAAGGGTGTAAGGTGCCACTTTAGCCGGAATTGCCAAAAAAGGCACCTCCAAATAGGTGACACCTGGACAGATGCCAAAAGGATGTGAAAGGGAGGCCCTGCAAAGTTACAGGGGCAGTGTTCGAAGTAAAAGGAAGTGCAAGGAGAAAGCCTGGAAAATGGAAGAGGACTGCACGGTCAGGTTGGTGGCTCTGAAGAGCAAAGGACCAGGGAAAAATGCAAACAGACAAGGTCAGGGGTGGTTGGCCAGGTGGATGGGGTACGGGCTGGCAGGCAACAGAGAAGGTTGGATTTAGGGGAAGTGTGATGAGATCCCTAGAAGGAAGCATCACTCCTTCAACCACGGACTGAACACCTATCAGAGGCCAACACTGTTGCAGGACTGCGGATAAAGGAAATGACAAGCCACGGCCATTTCTCTTAAATAAACGATGGCGACAAAGAAAAATCCTGTGGCTGTCTTGGCTTCCAGCCTGCCCACGAGGCCTCTAGAAATAGCACAGCAGCAGCAAGGCCGAAACCTCGTCCACTCACCTGCGCCGGAGCCATCCACGCCGCCGCCATCCCGGGAATGCCGCGGATCAGCCGACCACAGCCCTTCTCTGTCCTGGGCGGGGCGACCTCGGCTGACTTTCGCACTCCGAGCCTCAGTTTTCCCCCGAAAAAAATGCGCACAAGGCCCAAGGCGCAGCGTCGGGGCTGAGGAGACGGAGGGCGGCTGCGGAGGCCTAGGCCTCGGCGGGCGCCGGTGGGACACCTCGTTAGGGGAGAAGCGGGGCGTCAGGCTCCCGCCAAGACGCGAAGAAGGGGCGTAACCGCTTCACTACCCGTCCCTGCTCAGGCCGCAGAACGCGCCCACCCAGCGCTCTAGGCCCCACACTGTTTCAGGGCCAAACCGGCCCACGGAGATGACGTCACACGAAGAAGCGGAAGTCCCGCCTCCGCCGCCCTGGCCCGCAGAAAACTCTCCTGTCCTGGGTCGTCAATGGCCCAGAGTCCGCGGCCGACGCAAGGGGCAGTGCCTTCTGGGTAATGCAGTTTTTCCCTTACATCTACCGGGTGTGGGAACTCACCCAGCGCATCCGACTGCACGTAAGTGCGCACCAGAACCCCCGCGTCGTCTTAGGGCCACCGCCTTAGTATAGGCACAAGTCGGAGGGTCGAAAGGTCCCTTCTAGCTCAGGAAAATCGAGGTCAGGAGGCGGGGATATTCGCCCCGATTCAGACCCCGAACAAAGGTGCTTACCCTGCTGTGGGCTGGGCCCGCGACTTCTCGCTTGCTTTGCCTCTTTTCTGGATCTTTTCATAGAAGAAAAGGATAAATGAGCAGTTAAAATAGCCACCCAAAGGAGGACGCCTGACAGTGTGCCCAGCCTGCTGGGAAAGGACAGACCGCCCTCTATTGGGCCTCCTTTGGCCGGGCCCAGCCTTCGTAGGATGCAGGGACTTCCGGGTGATGTAATAGGCTTCGCGTTCGCCACGTGTGGACTTCCCGTACCCTGAGGTGGGGAGGCTGCTAGTGGAGCAGGCTTGCCGGGAAGCCCAGTACTCCCATTTCAAGCATGATCAGTTTGAAACGTCAGTAAGACCACAAAGCGTAGTGCCATATACTCAACCTATGATTCAACATTGGCAGAGGGTTCGAGCGTGGATATATAAATTTGGGAGTTATTACTGTAAACTGTTACTTCAAGTCATGATATTGGGTGAGGCTATGAAAAGAATGAGCGTAGATGGATAAGTGACGGGAAAGAGGGGAACCCTGGCCCAACCCAGCATTAACTGGTTGCAGACAGGAGAGTTTATAAAGTCTTGTTAGGAATTTTAACAATCCTAGACTATGCAAAGATTATATTATGCGAAGTCTTAGGAGTCCCCATCAGTAACTTTTTTTTTTTCTTTTCATGACTATGAAAGTGAGAGAATAAAGTCCAGCTTTCAATGGTTTGACGATATATATGGTTAAGGAAATAGAAAGGTGTGCAGAAAGTACTCTCCAAGAGATTTAATTTTGAGATTGAAAATAGTCAAGGAATGGAGATGGAGTCAATTTCCTACACGATGCGGTACTTTTGGAGAAATATTTTTGGCTAAATTAGTGTGCAAGGAACACTGTTATTCATCACTGGCAATAGTAATTTTTGAAAATTGATAAAGACATCATTCTCTTTTTCACATATTTGTGACTCTTAAATTTTTTTTTTTTTTTTTTTTTTTTGAGATGGAGTTTCACTCTTGTTGCCCAGGCTGGAGAGCAGTGGCACAGTCTCCACTCACTGCAACCTCCGCCTCCCGGGTTCAAGCGATTCTCCTGCCTCAGCCTCCTGAGTAGCTGGGATTACAGGTGTGCGCCACCACGCCTGGCTAATTTTATATTTTTAGTAGAGACAGGGTTCTTCCATGTTGTTCAGGCTGGTCTCAAACTCCCGACCTCAGGTGATCCACCCACCTCGGCCTCCCAAAGTGCTAGGATTACAGACGTGAGCCACCCCCTCTGGCCAGACTCTTATAATTAAATTTAAATGGTTTTTTCAGAGGCATATGAACCAGAGCAACTCTATCTTAAATAGGAGCTGGGTAAAATGAAGCTAAAACCTACTAGGCTGCATTCCCAGACAGTTAAGGCATTCTGAGTCACAGGATGAGATAGGAGGTCAGCACAAAATACGGATCATAAAGACCTTGCTGATAAAACAGGTTGCAGTAAAGGAGCTGGCCAAAACCACCAAAACCAAAATGGTGACAAGAGTGACCTCTGGTCTTCCTCACTGCTACACTCCCATCAGTGCCACGACAGTTTACAAATGCCATGGCAATGTCAGGGAGTTACCCTATGTGGTCTGAAAAGGGGAGGCATGAACAATCCACCCCTTGTTTAGCAAGTCACTAAGAAATAACCATAAACATGGGCACCCAGCAACCCTTGGGGCTGCTCTGTCTATGGAGTAGCCATTCTTTATTCCTTTACTTTCTTAATAAACTTGCTTTCACTTGCACTGTGGACTCGCCCTGAATTATTTCTTGTGCGAGATCCAAGAACCCTCTCTTGGGATATGGATTGGGACCCCTTTCCTGTAACACATTCCTGGCCACTACAGAAGAGACTATACTGCAGGAACCCGTGACCCAAAGGCTAACTTTGGGTAAGTGGTGGGGTCGGGTAACACTTTTCTCGCAAACCACAAAAGGGACAATGCTGAGGAGACCCCCCTGACTCAAAGGAAATAGACTGCAGCACTGATTGGATGACTTTGGGTAAGTGGTGGGGTACCCAGGTAAAGAATGGGATTGGGATAGACGCTCAAGTTAGGGGAGTTAGAGTCTCTCCTAAGGCAGAGTGGATTAGAGGCCCCTCTTAATAAAAGGCAAGGACGCTTGACTGACCTTGGGTTAGAGGCCCAACTTAGGAGGATTAGAGTCCCTTCTAAGATTTAGGGGGTTAGAGACCCCTCTCAGTAAAGTCCCTCTTGGCTAAGAAGAGGTTTGGCACCGTGGGATGTTAACTGCTATTGTCTTTGGATTAATCTGCCTTGCACTCTTTGCTGATGGCTCCGGGCGACAGGGTTAGGCGTGTACAGGATCGTGGGACATGGGGAGCTTTTTCCTCCCCCAAAAGGGGAAACTTGAGAGCTGACGGGACTGCTGGAAAAAAATCCCTTCACGACAGCAGCCGTAGCCGCCTGAACTTTTCAGTGTCACTGCAATGGGTGGGTCTTTCTCTGGCCTCCCTGATCATTTTGCCTTCCCTGGGAAAGTATTGCTTGTGGAAAATATTTCCTGGGAAAGTATTGCCTGCGAAAGCATTTCCATATATAATTTTTTTTTTTTTTTTGAGACGGAGTCTCGCTCTGTCGCCCAGGCTGGAGTGCAGTGGCGCTATCTCTGCTCACTGCAAGCTCCACCTCCCGGGTTCAGGCCATTCTCCTGCCTCAGCCTCCCGAGTAGCTGGGACTACAGGCGCTTGCAACCATGCCCGGCTAATTTTTTGTATTTTTAGTAGAGACGGGGTTTCACCATCTTAGCCAGGATGGTCTCGATCTCCTGACCTTGTGATCTGCCCGCCTCGGCCTCCTGAAGTGCTGGGATTACAGGCGTGAGCCACTGCGCCCGGCCCCTTTCTTATCTTTTCTATTACTCTATTACTCAGGGCGACCATCTTGCCCAGAGACCACATGTTGAAACTCCAAGTCAGAGGTTGGATTAAAGATGACAGGGCCTATCTGGGGGCAAATTTAAGCCTTGCCAGTTTAATATTGGGTGCTAAGCAGAGTGGCTAATGTGTATGTTTCATCACATGTGTTTTGCTCTGGTCAGAATGAAAAAAAGTAGTTTTCCTTTACAATGAGGCTTGGCCCCCAGGGCGATGGTGCCACAAGCCAGATCACTGGGACCACTCAGAGAAAGGGAACACAGAAGCCTGGCATGCCAGCAAAAAGGTAAGAATTTGTTACCAGTCAGATTTCTGACTTCTCCCTCTCTGTGCAAACGGTTGAATGAATGGTAAAAATAATAACAATAATAAAAATAATAAATCAGTGTGTATCTCCTCTGTAAAGTTTTGATTAATATGAAAAAGAATTCTAAGCTAGTCAAACTGGTGTATTTTGTGCTGTGAATTTGTTTTTCTGTAGGATGAAACATGGGCTTAGAACACCTGTGAGCCCACTTTTCAACATGACCCAGCAAACTGGTCAGTAACAAACAGCTGCAGGTCCCTGAAACAAACAAACAGGATGAAGTCTCCCCTTGTTTTATGTCCTTGGGAGCCTGACCTTTTAACCATGTGGCAGTACCTTCTCTTGGTCTCCACCTACTAGGGAAAAGGAATTTTAGGGTTCATGTCATAGTCAGCTCTAAAAATCATATAAAATAGTTAAAAGCCTTTGCAAGCTCAAAATTAACTACTCTAGGCTTCTGTGAAAGGAAGTAGGCACCGTCCCACACTGTAGCTCAGTAACTAAGGTTTCTGCACTTTCACAGTGGCAGTTTGGGTTTGATACCCCACCTAGGAAGTAAGTCATTTCTGGTTTAATATCTGCGTGACCTTGTCTAGTCTCTTCTCCTCCGCAGACTGTCTTAAATTTTCCTTTCTCTATGCACGTAGGAGATAACCTTTGGTAAAGTTCAGAAGTTAGAAATATTGGCTTCTTGGCATGGCTAAAGTTGGGTAATAAGAGATTTGAAAGGATTTCTTTTTTAAAGAGCACTATGGTTAAAAGTTAGCTTAATTAAAAGTGGATAGGCCAGGTGTGGTGGCTCACGCCTGTAATCCCAACACTCTGGAAGGCCAAGGAGGGCAGATCACCTGAGGTCAGGAATTCGAGACCAGCCTGGCCAACATGGTGAAACCCCGTCTCTACTAAAAATACAAAAAAATTAGCTGGGCGTGGTGGCGGGTGCCTATAGCCCCAGCTACTCGGGAGGCTGAGGCAGGAGAATGGCGTGAACCCGGGAGACGGAGCTTGCAGTGAGCTGAGAACGCGCCACTGCACTCCAGCCTGGGCAACAGAGCGAGACTCCATCTCAAAAAAAAAAAAAAAAAAATGCCTATGTGGAAAATAATTATTCTTGCTGCACTTTATATAAATAATCAGGCCAAGTATAATAAAGCAAATCAAATCAGTCTTACCCTAATTTGTCTTTAGTAAAAATGGGAAACTGGAGAGAGAAATATTATATTTCAAGAACTATGGTATACTTGTTATTAAATTCTAGTCTCATTAGTTCTTTTTAAGTTTGTTTCTGCAATTTAAGCTACCCTGCTTATTCCTGTGAACCAACATCTCTGACTGCTGCTCAGAAAAAATAAGAGGGATGGGTAATGTAAAAATCTGGATCAATATTCCAATTCTGGGCACATTATAATCAGCTAACAACCCCATGCCAGCTTAGTTCCAACAGTTGCTCAGTTCATGAAAAGCCTTCTAATTTAGTTTACTTAGAATAACTTTACTTATTTTGCTTTACTCTTGTGGAATATATTGCTGTTATACTCTTTGTGTAGGAATACAGAACAAGCTTACTGAATGTTTCCTTTTTTTTTTTTTTTTTTTTTGATGGAGTCTCACTCTGTTGCTCAGGCTGGAGTGCAGTGGCGCGATCTCGGCTCACTCTGCCTCCCGGGTTCAAGTGATTCTCCTGCCTCAGCCTCCTGAGTAGCTGGGACTACAGGCGTGAGCCACCACGCCCCACTAATGTTTTGTATTTTTAGTAGAAACGGGGTTTCATCATGTTAACCAGGATGGTCTTGATCTCCTGACCTTGTGATCCGCCCACCTCAGCCTCCCAAAGTGCTGGGATTATAGGTGTGAGCCACCGCACCCAGCCAGAAACTCCTGTTTTTAAAACTATCAGATCTGGTGAGACTCCTTCACTATCATAACAGCGCAGGAAAGACCCTGCCCCATAATTCAGTCACCCCCCACCGATCCCTCCCATGACAAATGAGAGTTGTGAGAGTTACAATTCAAGATGAGATTTGGGTGGGGACACAGCCAAACCATATCATATGGGGTCTCACTATGTTTCCCAGGCTGTCTGTGAACTCCTAGGCTCAAGTGATCCTTCGGCCTCAGCCTCCCAGGTAGCTGGGACTACAGGTGCACACCACCATGCCCAGCTTGGAAATCAAATTTCAACATGAGTTTTGGTGGAGACGAACTATTTCCAAATCTTAGTATCTCCCTTACCTTATTTGTATAAGACGGGATTCACAAAACACACATAGAAGCACTTACATTTGATTTTTAATATATGTATTGCTAAGGTGAGCACTTACTTGATTTTTCAGAAATTAAAACCAGTAATTAATAAGGCTCACCCATAAATAAACAAGGAGAAGAAACCAATCTTAAAGAAGAATTGCAAATAGTATACATAGATACCAACAGCCCCCTTCAGACAGTGGAGCTTTGTGGTCTTCCCCTTGAGTTGGCTGGATTTAGTGACTAATTGTGGAAAATGAAAACAGTAACTTGACAGGGGAAACCTGGCAGACAAGTACCTAACCAAGTGATCAAGGTTAGCATCACTTAAGTCATCTTTTTTTTTTTTTTTTTTGAGATGGAGTCTTGCTCTGTCTCCCAGGCTGGAGTGCAGTGGCGCAATCTCAGCTCACTGCAACCTCCGCCTCCCAGGTTCAAGCCATTCTCCTGCCTGAGCCTCTTGAGCAGCTGGGACTACAGTTGCACGCCACCACGCCCGGCTAATTTTTGTATTTTTAGTAGAGACGGGGTTTCACCATGTTGGCCAGGATGGTCTGGATCTCTTGACCTTGTGATCCACCCGCCTCGGCCTCCCAAAGTCCTGGGATTACAGGGCGTAAGCCACCGTGCCTGGTCCATTTTAGTCATCTTGACATCACGTAACACCTACTATGATGATACAAGGAGGACACTTTGCCAATCTGATGTTCTTCCCCTTAACCCACAATTCTAGACTAATAATGAAAAAATACCAGACAAATGCAAATTAAGGGACATTGCATTATGAGTACTCCAGAAGTATGTAGATCATGAAAAACAAGAAAAGACAGAGCAGCTGTCACAGATGGGAGAAAACTAAAGCGATGAGATGATTAACTGAAATGTGGTGTCCTGGACTGGATCCTGCAACTGGAGGACATTAGTGGAAAAAAACTGGTGAAATCCAAATACAGTGTGTAGTTCAGTTAGTAGTAGTAGTAGTATACCATGTTAATTTCTTAGCTTTGACAAATATGTCATAGGCTTATGAAGTATTAACATGAGGTGGAGCTGCATGAAGTTATATAGGAACTCTGTAATATCTTTGCTTCTTTACAGCTAAAATTGTCAGAAAATAAAAAGTTTAAAACAAAAAAAGCAAGGAGAGACTTCTGGCGTGACAGCATAAGGAGCTCTGTGGGCCTATTCCCCAACAAAACTGTTGAAAATTATTAAAAACAAAAATGAAAACAAAAAAAGTCGTGTCTCTGGAGATAGTCCTAAGGATATACATCAAATGAAAAAATATTTATTCAAGAGAATCTGTCCTTCTGTAAGAACTGCGAGAGTCTGTGGTATTTGAACCAAGACTATCTCTTTCCTTCAGCCCTCCCAGTTCAATGATATGGAAACTGTACTCTACAGTGTTGCAGACAAGAACACAGGGCTCTCCCTCTCAGCTTCCATACAGAGGGCTGTCTTCCCAGCAGGGTAGGATGTCAGCATTTCTTATCTTGCCACCAGAAACTTGCTGAGGCTAAATCCCTAGTGAGTGCAGCCCCAGAGGCAGGAGCTCCCTTCCTCCACCCATCCAGTGTTGGTGAGATGAAGGCCCTTCCTTGGGCATCATGATGCTGAGCACTGGGGATTCATCACACTTGCCCCACTGAAAGTCTGTAGTAGTGTACCATGACAGGGCAGCTGAAAAGACATGAGACCACTGGCCACCCGCTACCACTGAGCACTCAACCCTCAAAGCAGGATGTCAGAAGTGGGCCATTGTTCCCACTCCCAGCTTTAGAACCCAGATCCAGAGATACTGCCTGAGGGGACAAGCAGAGAGCCTGGAAAGAAACATGTGGAGGTACGCCAACCTGAGGTAGAACAAATATCAAACAGTTTGGGAACCCAAACAGCCTGATTTTTTTTTTTTTTTTTTTTGAGACGGAGTTTTGCTCTGTCACCCAGGCTGGAGTGCAATGGCGTGATCTCGGCTCACTGCAACCTCTGCCTCCTAGGTTCAAGCTATTCTCCTGCCTCATCCCAAGTAGCTGGGATTACATTTTTGTAGTTTTTAGTAGAGACAGGGTTTCACCATGTTGGCCAGGCTGGTCTCGAACTCCTGACCTCATGTGATCCACCCGCCTTGGCCTCCCAAAGTGCTGGGACTACAGGTGTGAGCCACCGTGTTCGGTCAAGCCTGATAAAAAGCTTTGGAGCAATTTATGCCTCTGGGTATTGTTGAAAGTGGTGTCATTCTGTACTCTCTTCTCAAACCACATCAGTGGTCTATAGTGGAAGAATCAAGAATACCAGGCTCTCTGGTTATGAAGGTAATATATGGGTTCCAACCCTAAAATTCATCTGGAATCTGCTGCTTCCTCTTCATCTCAAGTCTCACTTCATAGGGAATCCTTTCATAACTAGTGTTTGCTCCAGTCAGCTTCTCCTTTCATTCCTTCTCCCTTCATTCCTTTCATTCCTTCTCCTTTCATTCCTTGTAGCTTCTCCTTTCATTCCCTGTAGAATCTGTCTTGTTCTCATGGAGTCAGGAGCAGAAATACATCTCAGGGCCAAAACCATGACTTTCAGTCTTGAACTGGAAGTTTCCCCTGAAGCCATAGGCTGGTTGCTGAGAGAAGAGAAAGGGAAATGGCCTTAACAGCCAGGGGTGACCCCGCAGTCCTACAGTAACAGTCCTACAGTGGTGCCAGGAGACCATGGGGATTTCACAGCATTATTATAAAATCCACTCAACATTCACTCTACAAATACTTCTTAGAGAAGCTGAGGGAAGGCACTTTGCAAGATGATGTAAAAGATACAGTGTTGAGCCAGTGCCACCTGGATTGTAGACATGTGGTCCAGGTAATGAGTCTCAGCTTGTATCAACCATTCCCTTCTCATAGAGGCCTCTCCAGATCTCTTACTCTTTTTTTTTTCTTTTGAGATGGGGTCTTCCTCTGTAACCCAGGCTGCAGTACTGTAGCAGGGTCATAGCTCACTGCAGCCTCCACCTCCCAGGCTCATGTGATCCTCTCACCTCAGCCTCCTGAGTAACTGGGATCACAAGCCCACACCAACACACCCAACTAATTTTTTTTTTATTTTTTGTAGAGATGGGGTCTCACTGTGTTGCCCAGCTCCTCTCAAAACTCCTGGGCTCAAGTGCGGATCTCTTAATCTAAAGTAGCTCCTCCGGCCAGGTGTGGGGTCCTGTAATCCCAACACTTGGAGAAGCCGAGGTAGGAGGAACACTTGAGCCCAGGAGTTCAAGACCAGCCTGGGCAACATAGTGAGACCCCGTCTCTGTGAAAAATTTAAAAATTAGCCAGGCGTGGTGGTGGGTACCTATAGTCCTGGCTACTCGGGAGGCTGAGGGAGGAGGATCACTTGAGCCACGGCGGTTTAGGCTGCAGTGAGCCATGATTGTGCCACTGCATTCCAGCCCGGGCAACAGAGTGAGAGAACCTGTTTGTTTAAAAAATAATAACAATAATAAAAATTTTAAAGTAGTCCCTCACCCCAATATTACTCTGCTCTATTTTTCTTTAGGACATTCATAACCATTTGAAAATATATTTTTATATATTTACTAACTTTTAATTAATTAACTCAACAAGTACTTGACTATCTTGTGATAGGCTCTGCTCTAAACAGTGGAGATACAGAGCTGGGCCTGGTGGGTTTGTTCCTGTAGTCCTAGCTACTCAGGACACTGAAACAGGAGGATCGCTTGAGACCAGGAGTTTGAGACCAGCCTGGGCTATCTAGCGAAACCCTGTTTCTAAACAAAAAAACAAAAAGTCACAATGGAGACACATACATACCACACACACACACACACACACACACACACAAAATAATAATAATCCAAAACTCCTAAACAATATAGAAGGTTAGGAGTGTTGCGGAGATAAGACAAACTAGAGCAGATTAAGAATCAGTGAGAGTGGGATAAAGCCAGTTGTGCAATACAGAGTGGTTGGGACAGGTCTAATAGGACAGTTAGGCCGGGCGTGGTGGCTCATGCCTGTAATCCCAGCACTTTGGGAGGCTGAGGCAGGCAGATCATGAGGTCGGGAGATCGAGACCATCCTGGCTAACATGGTGAAACCCCGTCTCTACTAAAAATACAAAAAATTAGCTGGCCGTGGTGGTGGGCCCCTGTAGTCCCAGCTACTAGGGAGGCTGAGGCAGGAGAATCATTTGAACCCGGGAGGCAGAGGTTGCAGTGAGCCGAGATCACGCCACTGCTCTCCAGCCTGGGCGACAGAGCAAGACTTCGTCTCAAAAGAAAAAAAAAAAGTGATGTTTTAGCATGGACTTGGAGGAATTAAAGACTCATCAAGTGGAGATCTCAGGAAACAGTGTTATCACTCAGAGAAAACACACAGGACAATGGAACTGACAGAGCATCCTGGGTGTTTGTGGAACACCAAGAAGCCTAGTGCGGCTGGAACTGAATGTGCATGGAAGTTGGAGAGATAGATGGAAACAAATTGTGTAGTCTTTTATGCCAGCGTAGAGAGGTTGTAATATGTTCCTGTGTGTTCAAAAATGTACCTGGGGTTTTTTGCAGTATGGTCTGATAAGAAACTCGGACATGCAAATGATTGCCAGGAAGGAAGAACTTTCAACTCACGGAGTTTTAGAAACAGTAGGCAAAACACATCCTGCAGGGCTATGTGAGAAGCACCAGGGTGGTATAAGAAGCAGAAGCAGAGGAGAAAGCAGAGGCCAGATCCTTTATTGTTTTCCACAGGAAAAGAAAGGCAGGGCTGGGTAACCAGAAGAGGATTTGCTGGTTTGAATAAAGTTGGTAGACTTTGGGGTCTAGGAGCTGTCCCTGTCTGCCTAGTACCTGGCCCTGGAGTCATTAGAGCAAAAAAAAAAAAAAAAAAAAAAAATTGTCTCCTGTAGTGTAAGAGCCAGACAGAGGAGATGATTCACATTAGGGTACTCTGGATTTGTTAGTATGCAAATAAAAGGCATGGTTCAGAGTGAGTCATTTGCAATCTCTAAGAATCAGTTAACTCTAAATGGCAAGGTCCCAAATTCCATAGCATCAACAATGCAGAAAATAAGAAAATATAGCTAATACACTGTGAAATGGGTAGCCATCATGGGGTTTTGAGCAGAGCTGTGATGTTATCTGATTTATGTTTTTGTTTGTTTTTTGAGACGGAGTCTTGCCCTGTCGCCAGGCTGGAGTGTGATGGCGTGATCTCGGCTCACTGCAACCTTCTCCTCCTGAGTTCAAGCGATTCTCCCACCTCAGCCTCTGGAGTAGCTGGGATTAGAGGCATGTGCCACCATGCCCGGGTAATTTTTTGTATTTTTAGTAGAGACAGGGTTTCACCGTGTTAGCCAGGATGGTCTCGATCTCCTGACCTCGTGATCCACCCGCCTCAGCCTCCCAAAGTGCTGGGATTACAGGCGTGAGCCACTGTGCCTGGACTGATTTATGTTTTAAAAGGATCACTCTGGGTAGTCTATGGAAATTGGAATATGGGAGGGGCAAGAGGGAGAAGTCCTGTTAGGGAGCTCTGGCTCTTTCCAGATGTGCAAGGTGGAGGATAACTTAAGCCAATGTAGTGAGAGGGGAGGTGGTTTACCACAAAGTACAATTAACAGTAGATCAAGGAGAACAATGAGTAATTGAATTGATACAAATATATGGAAAAGTATGAATGGCTTTATGGGATGGATTGTTGTTTCTAAATCTATCCATTCCCCACACGAGCTGCTCCAGTGGCTCAGCATGTTCATGATGATACTGCTGATATATCTTATATAAATGTTATACTAAATGTAGATGCTCAGTAAATATGATTGTTTTGCTGTAAGAGATTCTAGGCTAGGGCCAGGGCTTTGGTTATACACGAAAGTGTGAACTCATCAGGCTTCAGTTGCTCAGATGCTATACATTCTAAAGAAAGAAATGGCCCTTGATCAGCTCCAGGAAGACAATCTCTGAGTTTCTGGAATATTTTGCCTGGTAAAAGTAATTTTTAAGCCTGAGTCCATAGGCCTTCATGTATCGATTTGATGAGATAATTTATTCTAAGAACATTGTTACTGAAAAGGGGTCCCAATCCAGACCTCAAGAGGGTTCTTGGATCTTCCACAAAAAAGAATTCGGGGTGAGTCCATAATGAAAGCAAGTTTATTAAGAAAGTAAAGGGGCCAGGCGCGGTGGCTCACGCCTGTAATCCTAGCACTTTGGGAGGCCGAGGAGGGTGGATCACCTGAGGTCAGGAGTTTGAGACCAGCCAGGCCATCATGGCAAAACCCCATCTCTACTAAAAACACAAAAATTAGCCGGGCGTGGTGGCACATGCCTGTAATCCCAGCCACTCGAGAGGCTGAGGCAGGAGAATCGCTTGAACCCGGGAAGCAGAGGTTGCAGTGAGCCAAGATCATGCCATTACACTCCAGCCTGGGCAACAGAGCAAGACTCCGTCTCAAAAAAAAAAAAAAAAAAAAGGAATACAAAATGGCTACTCCATAGGCAGAGCAGTAGTTTGGGCTGCTGGACTAAGGCTACTTATAGTTATTTATTGATTATATGCTAAAGGAGGGTTGGATTATTCACGAGTTTCCCAGGAAAGGGGTGAGCAGTTCTCAGAACTGAGGGTTCCTCTCCTTTTTAGACCATATAGGGTAACTTCCTGACATTGCCATGGCATTTGTAAACTGTCATGGTGCTGCTGAGAGTGACTTTTTGCATGCTAATGCATAATTGGGATATAATGGGCAGTGAGGATGACCTTGGTTTTGGCCGTCTTGGTTTTGGTGGGTTTTGGCCGTCTTGGTTTTGGCCGTCTTGGTTTTGGTGGGTTTTGGCCGTCTTGGTTTTGGCCGTCTTGGTTTTGGTGGGTTTTGGCCGTCTTGGTTTTGGCCGTCTTGGTTTTGGTGGGTTTTGGCCGTCTTGGTTTTGGCCAGCTTCTTTACCACAAGCTGTTTTATCAGCAGGGTTTTTGTGAGCAGTGTCTTGCACCAAACTCCTGTCTCCTCCTGTGACTTAGAATGCCTAACTTCCTGGGAATGCAGCACAGGTCTCAGCCTCATTTTGCCCAGCCCCTATTCAAGACGGATTTGCTGTGGTTCAAATGCTTCTGACAATATTCCTCATGGTGAATGCTGGATTTTGCATGCCCGAGGCCCTGGGCCACACTGTATGTTTGCTTTTTGCAAGGGCTGTATGGCTATGACTAGTTATGTGGACCCTGCATTCCTATGTAAATGACCCTCCATAAAAACCCCAGAAATGAATGCTTGAGTGAACTTCCCTGGCTTGTATTATAATACTGTGAACATCTTGTCACACATCTTTGCTGGGGGAATTAAGTGTGTCCCTATGTGACCGTAATGGGAGATAACACCCAGAGTTTTGTGCCTGCTTTCATGTGGACTTCATTCTATGTGATTTTTCCCTTTGGTGATCCTGGTCTATATCCTTTTATTGTAATAAACTATAACCATAACAGCTTTTCTGAGTCTTGTGTGTACTTCTAGCAAATCATGAAGCCTGAGGTAAGTAACCTAAAATATCAAGATGATTAAGGCCATTCATCCACGTATCCATTTAGCAGATATCTGAATATCTACTACTGACTAGGAACTATGTGCATGGAACAATTAGGATAAAATCCATATTAACATCTGTGCTCTTTTGAAGCTGGAAATCTAGTTGGTGAGACAGTCAGGAGTCAGTAATCAAACCTAAATATATATGCATGTGTATGCACACACACACACAGATATTTATGAAAGAATGCTTATGACGTAGCTGGGATGAAGGATAAATATTCACTACTGGACAAAGTGTGTGGTGGAAAAGCCCCATGGCAGGTGGGAAAAGGAAACACAAAGTGAAAACAGAAAGGGCATAAGTTATGCAAGATGAAAGGTAGTAAATGAGGCACCTCCCAGACCAGATAAAGCTCAGATAAAGCCCAAAGGATTGACCGTGTAATGATTTGGGAGTTGTTTTTAGAGATGAGGTCTCACTTTGTTGCCCAGGCTGGTCTCAAATACCTGGGCTCAAGCAATCCTCCTACCTTGGCCTCCCAAAGTGCTGAGATTACAGTTGTGAACTACCACACCTGGCCATATTTGGTTTTTATCCCAAGAGTTGAAGCCATAAAAAGTTTTCAGGAAACGTAGTGGGGGCAGAGGGAGGGCGAAGCAGAGCACTATTAAATCTGAGATGGTTCTCTGGTTTCAGCTTAGAGAATGGATTGAAGAGAAAATGTGGGTAAAAGGACACTAATTGAGATGATAGATGGTGAGTGGATGGACTAGGAAGAGGTGGTAGAGAGAAGTGGACATACTTGAGAGATATTTAAGAATTAAAAATGATGGGGCCGGGGCAGTGGCTCACACCTGTAATCCCAGCACTTTGGGAGGCCAAGGCAGGCAGATCACAAGGTCAGGAGATTGAGACCATTCTGGCCAACGTGGTGAAACCCCGTCTCTACTAAAAATACAAAAATTAGCTGGGTGTGGTGGCATGCACCTATAATCCCAGCTACTCAGGAGGCTGAGGCAGGAGAATTGCTTGAACCCAGGAGGCGGAGGTTGCAGTGAGCCGAGTTCGCACCACTGCTCCAGCCTGGGGACAGAACGAGATTCTGTGTTAAAAAAAAAACAAACAAAAAAACACAACTTTCTGATTGTACATGAAGGAGGAAGAGATTGAGGTAACTATGCTGAGTTGGAAATTTCTAGCCAACGTAACTAAACAGTGCCATGTAGTAAAGAGGGAAGACTGAAGTAGATCAGAGTCAGGGAGAAGCATTTTATTGATCTTATTTACATCAGGTGAAGAATGAGGTATCTTTGAAACATCTATGTGAAGATAGCAAGAAGATAACTGGTAATTCAGGTCCAGAGCTGTAAGGATTGCTCAAGACTGGGGTATTCTATTTTCAATGCCTTTAAAGTAAGGGAGGTAACTGAAGCCAAGGGCACAGATGAGGCTGGGGAGAGGCCATACAAGGCAAAAGAGCCTTGGACAAAACCTTTAGGTATTTCAACATTGAGTGGGCAGCTAGATATGGATGACTGCACAAAGAAGGGAGAGAGGGAGGGAACGAATGAGGAAAAAGATGTTACAGAGCCAAGGAAAGAGAACATATTTCACGAATTGAGTATTAGACACAATAAAATTCTACTGATGGCCCAAGAATGACAAGGACTTGTGATTTATAAGCACCAAGTCACTTCTGACCTTAGTCACAATGTCGGAGAAGGTGGCATTGTAGCAAGGAGTTCCACAAAGAGTAGAGGTTTGGGAAGTGGAGAGAAATCAAGAAAGAGGTAATGGAGAAGTGAAAATATTACACAAAAAAGGAAAACATCCCTAAGAGGCTCCTCTATTAAAGGAGGAGAGGGAGGAAAGGACAAATAATCAAGTTGGAGAAACCCATACACACACAGGAAAGACCAGACTGGTGGTGACTGACACTCAAGCAGAAGTCAGTTATGCAAAGATAACTTAGAAAGTGTAAGTGACAAAAGAACATGCAGATGAAAAACAGGCTTGTAGGTGGCCATGATGACATCGAAGGCAAATGTCAGGAGGAAACTCAAGATTGCAAAGAAAGTGACCACTGCTTATGTGTGATTCCAGGGATCAACAAGAGACAGAGTGAGAAGGGACCACTTCAAACACGTGTCATTTTACCCAAGAGCAGGGACATGGAATGGCACTGGGAAGGGCAAACAGGTATGTTGAGAGGCTATACAACTGCAATGCCGTAGATCATAAGAAAAGAGAGTTAATGCAGATGCCTGAGAATATCAAGCAAACAAATGGGCCGGGCGCGGTGGCTCACGCCTGTAATCCCAGCACTTTGGGAGGCTGAGGTGGGCAGATCACTTGAGGTCAGGAGTTTGAGACCAGCCTCGATATGGAGAAACCCCATCTCTCCTAAAAATACAAAATTAGCCAGGCATGGTGGTGCATGCCTGTGATCTCAGCTACTCGGGAGGCTGAGACAGAATTGCTTGAACCTGGGAGGCAGAGGTTGCGGTGAGCCGAGATTGCGCCATTGCACTCCAGCCTGGGCAACAAGAGCAAAACTCCATCTCAAAAAAAGAAAAAAGAAAAAAAAAAAAAAAAGAACAAATGATGTAGGTAGGACTGGGAAATAATATACAGAAAGACAAACTTCAAACTTCAAACAGCTTGGAGAAATGACAGAATAATGTTTGTATATCTGGGGCCCTCAATTAGTTGTGCTTGGCCTTTTTCAGAAGTGTCCAACAATGAGAAAGGCATCTGGAACTATTTTTCTAAAGTCTTGACTACTGACATCACTGGGATCCCACCAACACAGTGGTCCCTTGGATGTCTGGTTCCTAGTAATTCACCTAAACAGTCCCTCCTTGGCATCAATCCATCCTCCAATCCATGGTTCTATACCATGTTGCCTGATGTAGGTACCCAGTACTCTAGAAATTACACGGAAATGTAACTTCCATGTAATGGTTTGAGGTGGCATTTTGAGAGGCCAATTTTATTATTCAGGTATGGTGAGGCCAACAGATCAGGAGATACTGCCATTGAAGAGATGCTTAGCTACACACACTTCCCAAGAAAGGGGCACACACCAGGCAGTGTAGGACCACATGCGGAAGCAGCAGGATCGGAAAAACAGCAGGAGCTGGGGGAAAGCATGGGCAAGAACCTTCACTGTGCTTTTGCAGGTAAGAATGGTCAAGACAAGGTAAGCAAGCTAAGCAGGGTTAGGCTTGGCTTTTTAATTTTATTTTATTTTGAGACAGGCTCTCACTCTTGTCACCTAGGCTGGAGTACAGTGGTACCATCATAGCTCACTGCAGCCTCAACCTCCTGGGCTCATTTAATACTCCCACCTCAGCCTCCCAAGTAGCTGGGAGTACAGGCATACACCACCATGCCTAGCTAATTATTATATCTTTTTGTAGAGATGGGGTCTCACTATGTTGCCCAAGCTGGTCTCAAACTCCTGGACTCAAGTGATCCTCCCACTTCAGCTTCCCAAAGTGCTGAGATTACAGGCCTGAATTTCATTAGGAACTGTCCCTACTTGCTTAATATCTGACCCTGGAGTGGTTATGGCAGGAAGATAGTGGCTCCATGTGTGAGGCCTTGATAAAGGGGGTGGGGGAAGGGAATGGGCACTGAATTGTTTGGTTGCATATCAAAGGCACATACCCAGGGGAGTCCTTTGCTACCACTTAAAATTAGCTAGTCCTGGGATGGGCAGTCTCTCAGGATCAGCAAGGCTCCACTTGCCAAACAGCAGAATAGCCAGTACAGTGGCTCATGCTTGTAATCCCAGCACTTTGGGAGTCTGAGATGGGAAGATTACTTGAGCCCAGGAGTTTGAGGCTGCAGTGAGTTATGATCGCACCACTGCCCTCCAGCCTGGGTGACAGTGAGATCTTCTCTCTCAAAGCCAGCATAATAAAAACATGTGAATACATGGATCTCCAATTTAAGTGAGGCAGAGTGGCTATGAATGTCCTTTCCAGCAGGTAGGAACAAGGACAGAAAGTATAAGCAGGTAGTCTGTCTCCCAGGTCCACACTCTTGACACTACTCCGAAAGAGGCAAAAGAAACTGTCCATTTACAATTTAGCTGAGACCTTCCAATTGTGAGATATGAAACACAAACAGATTTTGCTATGAGCAAAAATAATCCATCTCTTAGCAATCATTAAAAATATTCAATTCTCAAAATTGAAATACATCACTGAGCATTGTGGAGCCTCCCCAACTTTCCACAGTGGAAAGGAAAGGCTATCTGTGGGCCGGAGTCTGAGTACAAAGAGGAGTTACATATACAAGAGACCAGATTTCTCAAGGTCTCTAGCATCATGTCTCTGTAAGGGCCCTCTCAGCTGAAGCCAACTGCTCCCACTTCCTCCAAGTGAAACTCACAGACAGATCCATCAAAGTGACTAAGCCTGCAACAACATATTCTTTAATCTCAAATTATCCACATTTAATGATAAATTATGGCGAACTCCATATTCTTCAACTATCTCTGTTGTAGCCAGAAGCTACAACTTTCAATAGCAAGAACAAAGAGTGGATGAGAAACTGACATACGTGCTAGGGAAAGAACACGGCATTTACCTACCCATCACATCTTTGCCGAAATAAAGGCCAAGAAAGGGTGTATCTGCAAATCAAACCACTTGAAGCCTATCTGTGAAAGATACTAGGCAGAGGCAAGATCCTTTCTCACAAGACTTCCTCTGTTCCCTGTCATCACTGAATTAAATCCTGGCTAGTTTGTTAAGTATTTTCACTGTGACTCTGACTTTTTTTTTTTTTCTTGGTTACAATGGTTTACACGTATATAAGCCTTCATCTCAAAGCTATGGCTTATTTCTGTTATAGAAAATTTTATTTGCTTAATGTTTGTTACAGAAACTTAAGCTAACTCAGCATTTTTCCATTTAAGTTACTGTGAAAAAGAGAACAGAGCAGGCCAGAGACTGCTATTCTTTGATCTTGCAAGGTTCATCCTTGGCTGGAGTCTGTACTTTAGGTTTTGGGAAGTTTCCCATTGTTCCCAGTAATGAGAAGTAGCTCCGTGTGCCTAAATTGTCTTACGCTGAACACCTCCTGTTCTTCTGGAGGTCTACAATTGTGGTATGTGCTAGAAAGCAAGTCCAATATAAACTCTGAGCAATGGGTGCTCAAGACGACTTCCTGGAACACATCTCACGTGTGTTGTTTTAAGTCCCAGATGGAGCTTCAATGAAGCACATCCTGTGTGATTTCATTAAGATTCTCAAAGATTGTGCCTGGTTTCCTCTGGACTTGGGTTTGAGCCTTTTGCTGAGTTTGCTCTGGATTCTTTCGGTGTGGTAAATCATAGCCATTGAGTATGACAAAATGCTGAGTCCTGTGAGTCTTCCTAGCAAATCAAATCTGGAAGGGGTCTTGAGGACTCCAGCATTCATTTATTATGATTTCTAAAATTGTGTACGTAGGTCCATAAAAGTCCATGTAGATTCTCTTCGAGGTCAAGGTACGCCATATATGGTGCCACCTATATGCACAGCTTTGTGGTAAACGCGCTGAGGGAACTGAAAATAATAATAAAAAATACCCTGCTGTGTATGGCCATTTACCAACACACACATATATATTGAGGGTCTACTACGGAACAAAAAGGAATGGGGCAGTGGCCGGACGTGGGAATGATAAAGGAAAAAGAAATGGCCACAATGTGTCTGGTTTGAGTAACATGACAGAAATTAGGGGGATACACTGATGTTCTTCAGGCATCTCAAACACACCTAAAACAACATGCATGCCTTAGCCCTTCTCTACTCCTTCTCCCCACCCCTCCCACATATCCTCAAACCCAGACATTCTCCGTCTTTTCTACAGTCACAATAGCTTATGCAGGCATTAAAGAGTGAGTCTGGTTTATCTCATTTGCTTGAAGGAATGGCCAAGATGTACTGTCAAATAAGAATAGTAGATTATAAATAAATGAGCACAGTTTGACCCATTTTAGTAAAAACAAGTGATGACCAGGAAACAAAGACCCACCTTATGAGAAGCAATAAAGTGGTTAAGGACATGGATTCTGAAGCCAGTGCAGTGGCTTCCAGTCCCCAAACCCAAATTTCATAATTGTGAAATCTTTGACAAATTCCTTAATCTTTCTGTACCTCAGTTTTCTAATCAGTTAAAGGGGGGAAATAACATTATGGAGTTGTCATAAAGGTTAAAAGAGCTGACGCATGTAAAACATTCGAAACAATGTCTGATACACAGTAATAATTTGTGTTCTCTTATGATGATTATGGGTGCATCCCCACGGCCAAGGTCATGGCCACATGATACATGCATATAGGCTCAGTGAGTGCAAATACAGAAAAGGTGTGGAAGGATGACCAGTGGTTAACGACATGAGAAACATCCAACCTGGAGACACAGATTTAGGGAAACACTGTAGATAATTGAGAGTAAAGTGTCTTCAGCGCAAATTAACTCAGTCATGGGGTGAAGGACAAGTTAGAAAACAGCAATGATCATGATGGATGCTGGGAAGTAAAGCTGTTTTACAGATGGAAGAAAGACACAGACCCTAAAAAGGAAAAAAGCCAGGAATTCACAGAAGCCAGGAAAGGACCTTCAAGTCAGAGATTTAGCAGTATGGAGGTCCAAAAAGAGAGTGAGGGGGTCAAAAGGGACCTTTCTGAGACGTGCTTAAGTCAGGCAACGGTGGTGGAAGCCATTTAGTAGTATCTGGGGAGTAAAAGGAAATGTAAAGGGGTGGCGACAGTGCACAGAATAGTTACTCAGGGCATGTGTGTGGAAGAAAGAATAACCAGAGCTTGATAGGCAAGGAAGGGTGAAATAGGTTGGAAACGAGGCTTGAGATCCGACTAAAGCTATACATTATGGGAAAGAAGCTGGTTAATAAGGAGAAGTTAAAGACTAAACAAGAGTATGAAAGACAGAGGACTTAGACAAGTTTGGTTGGGGAAGGGTGTGTGTGTGTCTAATAAAAAAGTGTAAGAGTGATCTTAGAAAAGGAATGACCCCTTCTCCATTGAGGATATAACAAGGCTTACAGAGCTGGAGGATTTTACATACAACCTTCCCGTGGAGTACGTAACTCTGAATGATATGCAGATCACCCTGATATAAGATCTGTTGACAGAAATATTTAAGAAGCCCAATATAAAAGATTACAGGACTTCTACTCCTCCAGATAATTTAGGATTTCTATTCAAATATTGAGACAAACCACCAGAAAACCATGACTCTGGAATTTAGTTTTTTCTGTTTTCTGAGCCCTTTAGTATTATAAACTAAGCAAAGAAATCAAAGATGTACAAAAGAACCAAATGGAGGCCAGGCACAGTGGCTCACACCTGTAATCCCAGCACTTCGGGAGGCCGAGGCAGGTGGATCACCAGATCAGGAAATCGAGACCATCCTGGCTAACACAGTGAAACCCCGTCTCTACTAAAAATACAAAAAATTAGCCGGGCATGGTGGCGGGCACCTGTAGTCCCAGCTACTCGGGAGGCTGAGGCAGGAGAATGGCATGAACCCGGGAGGCAGAGCTTGCAGTGAGCAGAGATCGCGCCACTGCACTCCAGCCTGGGCAACAGAGCAAAGAGTCTGTCTCAAAAAAACAAAACAAAACAAAACAAAACAAATGGAAATTAAACAACTGAAAAATACAAAAACCAAAACGAAAACTCATTGGACAAGCTCAACAGTAGACTGCATATGGCAGAAAAAAAGAATCAGTGAGCTGAAAAAAAGTCAACAGAAATTAACCAATATGAAAAAAAGGGAAAAATAGACCAGAAAAAGGGGGTAAACATGAAAGCACAAGAGACCTCTGAGACAGTAACAAAAGCTCTACCATTCATATCACAGAGAGGAGAAAGAGTAGGGATGAAAAAATATTTCAAGAAATAATGGTTAAAAATTCCCAAATTTGGCAAAGGGCATAAACCGACAAATCAAAAAGCTAAACAAAAACCAAACATGATACACTCAAAAAAATTCCATGTCACACACCTCATAACCAAACTTCTGAACACTACAAAAAAAACAAAACACTTTGAACGCAGGTTGATAAAAATGGCACATTATGAACTAGGGAACAATGGTTCAAATGGCAACAGATTTCTCATCTGAAACCATAGCGGACAGAAGGAACAAACATGTTTCTCAAGTACTAAAAGAACTGCAGACCCTAAATCCTATTATCCCACAAAAATATCCCTCAGGAATGAAGGGAACATAAAGACACTTTTAGAGACACCAGCAGACTGACCCTAGAAAAAAGGTTACACAAGTTCGCCAAACAGAAAGAAAATGTTAATAGAAGGTGGCTTAGAATTTCAAGAAAGAATAGTGGAATGGGTAAAGAGATCAACAAGCAATACTTCCTGTGACTTTTGTAAAATATATTTGACAGTGGAAGCAAAAATTACATTTTCCAACATGGTGCTCAATTTTGAAGAGGAATTACTTTAGACAATTATATTAACAGGCAAGGTGAAGGGACCAAGTAAGGTTTCTATACATCAAAGTGCTAAATTTTTCATACCATTAACTGTAATTATGTTACATATGTACATTATACTACTTAAAGCAACCACTAAAAAATTAATACAAAAATACAAAGAAATATATTTAAAAAACACTACAAATATATCAAATGGAATTCTAAAAAATGTTAAAGACAAAAAAAAAAAAACCCAAACAAACCAAGAAAGAAGCAACAGGAAACACAAAAAACTAATCATAAAATAGCAGACATAGCACTAACATAATTATTGTAAACTTTAAATGGTCTAAATACACCAATAAAAGACAGAAATATGCAAACTGGGGCCAGACACAGTGACACATACCTGTAATCCCAGCACTTTGGGAGGCTGAGGTGGGCAGATCACCTGAGGTCAGGAGTTTGAGACCAGCCTGACCAACATGATGAAACCCCGTCTCTACTAAAAATATAAAAATTAGCTAGGTGTGGTGGCAGGCACCTGTAATCCCAGCTACTTGGGAGGCTGAGGCAAGAGAATGGCTTGAACCCGGGAGGCAGAGGTTGCAGACTGCGCCACTGCACTCCAGCCAGGGCGACAGAGCAAGACTCCGTCTCAAAAAAAAAAAAAAAAAAAAAATGCTGTGCGTGGTTGCTCATACCAGTAATCCTAGCACTTTGGGAGGCTGAGGCAGGTGGATCACCTGAGGTCAGGAGTTCGAGACCAGCCTGGCCAACATGGTGAAACTCCATCTCTACTAAAAATACAAAAAATCAGTCAGGCATGGTGGCGGATGCCTGTAATCCCAGCTACTCAAGAGCCTGAGGCAGGAGAATCACTTGAACCCAGGAGGCGGAGGTTGCAGTGAGCGGAGATCGCACCACTCCACTCCAGCCTGGGCAACAAGAACAAAACTCCGTCTCAAAAAAAAAAAAAAAAAAAAAAAAAGATACGCAAACTGGATATAAAACCACAGCCCAAATATACGCCATTCACAAGAAACTTACTCCCAATATAGTGATATAGATAAGGTTTAAAAAAATGATGAAGTGTAAATCATGCAAGCATTAACCAAAACGTAAGACTGACCACACAAATATCAGATAAAAATTGATAAGAGTATTAACAGGAACAAAAAGGGACATTACTTAATTATAAAAGGGTCAATACACCAAGAATACTAAGCAAACCTACATGTGTATATACCAAACAACAGAGCTTTAAATTATGTGGAGCAAAAACTGATAGAACTTAAAGGAGGAATAGGTAATTCCACAATTATAGCTCAGGACTTCAACATCCTTCTCTTGGCAATTGATAGAAATACTAGACAGAAAATCAGCAAGGATACAGGAGACCTAAATAACACCACCAACTAACAGGATCATACAAACTTTTACAGAAACTCCACCAAATGACCGAGAACACACATTCTTTTCAAGCAGCTATGTAAAACAAGACAGCCTATATCCTGGGTCATAAGGAAAAAAAGTCAACAAATTTCAACAGTAACATCAAATGCAAAACAAATTAGAAATCAATAACAAATAGCAGGGAATACTCCAAACACTATTAAACAATATACTTCTAAATAATTCCTGGGTTAGAGAAGATGTCTCAAAAGGAATCAGGCAATCTTAGAACTGAGTAAGATAATCAAAAGCATATTAAGACTTGTGGGATGAAACTAACAGCAGTGTAAGAAAAATGTATAGAACTTAAAGCTTATATTAAAAAAGAAAAAAAGCCTCAAATCAATAACCTAAACATCCACGTCAGGAAACCACTGAGTCAAATACAACCAGAGCAAGTAGGAGAAAGGATACAATACACATCAGAGCAGATATCAGTGAAATTAAGAACAGAGACTGGAGAAAAATCAGTGATATAAAGTGCTATTTCTTTGAAATGATCAATGAAATTGACATATGTCTACAAAGACTGACAATAATAAGTGATACATTTCCAATATCAAGAATACAACAAGGAACATAAGTACAGATCCTGCTGCCATCAAGAGGATAAAAGGAAATATTTCAAAGAATGCTACAAATTAGAACATTTACATAAAATGAACACTTCCTTAAGAAAATCTATAAAAATTCATCCAATATGAAATACTCTGAATAGTTCTATACCTATTAAATAAAATAAATACATAATTAAAAAGCATTCAAAAGGAAAATCTCCAGGTCCCACTTCTTCACTGGAGAAAGCTACCAAACATTAAAGGAACAAATAACACCAATTCTACACATGATCTTCCAAAAAAACAGAAGAGAATTCCTTCCAATTCATGTTAGGAGGTTAGTTATCATCTAGACATCAAAACCAAACAGTAACAGTTGAAGAAAGAAAACTACAGATTATCACTCATGAAATCAGAGGAAAGCTTCCTCAACAAAATACTAGCAAATGAAATACTGTAGCATAGTACACAAACAAAATTATACTCCATGATCAAGTAGGGCTTATCACAAAGATGTGAGGCTGGTTCAATACTTGAAACTCAATCAAGGTAACACATCATATCAACTGACTATAGAAGTAACATCACATAATTAAATCAATTGGTGGAGAAAAAGCATATGACAAAATTCAACACTTATTAATAATAACCAAAAAAATCCCAGCAAATTAGGAATAGAGGGAAACTTTCTAAACTCGATAGAGAAACTCTTTGGAAGCAACTTTCAACATCATAATAATGAGAAACTGAACATTTCCCCCTAATATCAGGAACAAGGCATGGATAACTTGTCACTATTCGTATTCAACATCACACTGGAAATCCTACCTAGTACAATAACATGAGAAAAGCAAATAAAAGGTATACAGATGGGAAGCAAGAAATAAAACTGTCCCAAATTGCAAATGACATTTCTATATTTAAAATCCTAAGGATTCTCCCAAAAGAAATGGCAAGAAATAATGAGTTTAGGAAGGTTGCAAGACAGCAAAATAAGATTGAAAAAATAATGTTTCTGTATACTAGCCAACATCATGTGAATATTGAAACTTTAAATATCAATGCCATTTACAATCACTCAAAAAACTATGCAGCTATAATTCTTATTTTAAATGTGCAGGAGTTATACTGTGTAAACTATAAAACAGTAATGAAATATATCAAAGAAAATTTAAATAATGAAAAGATAGGCTATGTTCATGAATTGGAAGACTAAGATGCCAATTTCCAACACATTGATCTATAGATTTAACTCAATTTCTATCAAAATCCAAGCAAGAATATTTGAAAAACAGAAAAACCAATCCTAAAGTGTATATGGAAAGTCAAACTAGGAATGCTAAATGAATTTTAAATAAAAATAGTAAGAAAAAAGAAATCACATTACCTAATTTTGAGATTTACCATACAGCTATAGCAATCAAGTAAACCAACAGATGGGAATCAAGAAAAATTCTCAGTGTTAGTGTTTAAAACCCATTAAAAAAGAATTTTTTTAAAAAATCAAAGACCTAAACAGTATTAAGTGGTACAATAAAATGTGCGCATTCATGTTTCTTTTAATCCTTAAATATAAAAGTATTTCATAACTCAAGGCTTCATTATTTCTCATAAAAACAATGCTTCTTAAGAAGAGACAATGTTGTAGAACAAAGACATTGAGTAAGTTTCCAGACCTTCCCTTACTAACTTTCCTGACACAGGACAGAAATGTACATACAAGACAACAGTATAAAAGCAGTGTCTGCATTTCATTTTCTTTTCTATGTCACCTCTTTCTGTTTATAAAAATTCCTGAGATAACATTGCACTGTAAACTAATGAGAAAGATGGAGCTAAAGGTTTTCCCAAGTGCGTAATAACCACTGGGTGTTTTTCCAGGATGAATTCGGATGGAGAATAAGGCTCTAAGCTGCGTGATTTTCTAATATGACTCCTTAGGTGACAAATGACATTTGGCAACAGAAGGTTTTCTCACAGTGAAGACACTTGTGGGGTTTCTCTTTGGTATGTACGATCAGATGCCATGTAAGATGCTTCCTCTTGCAAAAGATTTTCCTCAGTGGTGACATTCAAAAAGTTTTTCCCCAATAAAAGTTCTTGGATGTTGACTGAGGTCTGCCCACTTGTAAAAGGTCTTCCCACATCTGTTACACTGATAGGATTTCTCCCAGTATGCATCCTTTGATGCTGAGTGAGGGACGAGCTGCGACTGAAGGCCTTTCCACATTCACTGCACTCATACGGCTTCTCTCCAGTGTGGATGATAGAGTGTCGAATGAGGTTTGTGCTCCAGCAAAATGTTTTCCCACACTCGATGCATTCATAGGGCTTCTCTCCACTATGAATCCGCTGGTGCCTTGTGAGGCCTGACCTGCGGTTGAAGGCCTTTCCACACTCCATGCACTCATAGGGCTTCTCTCCAGTGTGGATGCTGAAGTGGCGAATGAGGTCTGCCCTATTGCTAAAGGCTTTCCCACACTCTTTGCACTCGAAAGGTTTTTCTCCAGTGTGGGCCCTTTTATGCAAGATGAAAGTAGAGCAGTGGGTGAAGGCCTTTCCGCATTCACTACACACATATGGCTTCTCCCCAGTGTGAATCCGCTGGTGCCTTTTGAGGTAGGATCGGTGGTTGAAAGCCTTCCCACACTCGAGGCACTCAAAGGGCTTCTCTCCAGTGTGGATGACATAGTGGTGAATCAGCGCTGCGCTCTCACAGAAGGCCTTCCCACATTCACTGCACTCATAGGGCTTCTCCCCGGTATGAGTCTGCTGGTGCCACATGAGGTATGATCTGTGTTTGAAGACCTTGCCACATTCGAAGCACTCGTAGGGATTCTCACCACTGTGGATGATGTAGTGTCGAATGAAACCTGGCCTATCTCGAAAGGCTTTGCCACACTCTTTGCACACAAAGGGTTTTTCTCCAGTGTGGCTCCTGTTATGCAAGACAAAAGTGGAGCGGTGGGTGAAGGCCTTTCCACATTCACTGCACTTATAAGGCTTCTCTCCACTGTGAATCCGCTGGTGCTGGGTAAGGTGTGACTTCCGATTAAAAGCCTTCCCACACTCCATGCACTTATAGGGCTTCTCCCCAGTGTGGACCATGTGGTGCTGCAGGAGGTATGTACTCTTGCTAAAGGTTTTTCCACACTCTGTGCATTCATAGGGCTTCACTCCAGAGTGAATCCTCTCATGCCGAGCAAGCAGGCGTTTCTTGTTAAACACTTTTTCACATTCATTGCATTTAAAGATATTTTCCTCTTCCTGAATAACTGGATTTTTACCTGATCCATGTGAGTCACAGTCATGGACATCATCTCCTAAGGAGACTCGATCCTGTATAATCCTTGAACACACACTATCAGCTGTCCCTAAACCATCATGTTTGGGGCTCATTTTTCCAGGAAGCTTCTCCTTTTGGGAATCTAACCCTGGTCTCAAGCGTTCTCCCTGCATTTCTGAAAACCCATCCTGATCCTTGGGTTGCCCCAACTGGGAGTCCCCTGAAGCTCCTTGTGTTAGTTGTCCCCAAAAAGAGATTCCTTCAGACAAGGCTAGCTCACAGGTGGTAGGTTCTGTGCTCTTGGGTTTTCCTTTGTCACCTGAAAGAAATCCAACACACAGAAGGGCTTGTTAGTAATGTAAAAAGAGAAGAAACAAACTCACCACTTCAGTAAAAAAAATGAAGTTATAAATGGTGCCTTTATGTCTGTTATATTTTGCCATCTTGAACCCCAGATCTATAATTTGTTTCTTTTATTTTCCTTGGATTCCTGACTCCTTGAAAGGGAGACCAGGCAGAGAGACCAGGTGAGGGGACAGGGCCTAGAGTGGAGATATCGCTTCAATTCCAGACTAAATATTTATATAAAGGTAACTCATTATAGGTACCTAAATAGTTTATCCTAAATAGATGACTCTGGCTGAGGTCTGGTGGCACCAGAAAGACCAACCAGTGAGTAGAAGGTTAGGTCTCTGAGCCACAAGATATCAGCTGAACTCTGGAAAAGGGACGAAGGCTGGAAACTTCACATGGCAATGTGGGCAATGTCTCGATTAACCGTGCTTGTGTAATGAAGCTCAACAAACTCTAAAAACCAGAGCTCCAGTGAGTTTCCTGGGTTTGCAATGCTCTGTGCACATATTTTACACTCAATGCTGGGTGGGTAACAAGTTACTGAGGAAGCTTTGTGTTTGGAACCCCTTCAGCCCCACATCCCGTGTCCTCTTCTAATTTGTATGCTTTGTCTGTAATAAACAAAACTGTGAGTATAATAGGTTTTAGAAAGTGTTGTGAGTCTTTTTAGCAAGTTATGAAACCTAAGGTTGGTTTCAGGAAATCCCTGAATTTGCAGTTGGAATTAAGAGGATTTGGGTAGACTTGACAAAGTCCTGGAGGACTGTGTCCTTATCTTGAGTTTGGCTAATCCTGGGTAGAAAAAGATCAAGGCAGTTTTCCAATAGAAGGTACCCAGTGAAGTAAGTCCCACTTGTCACGAGAGAATGTGAGAAAGACACTATAGCCTTAGGAGAAAGAATATGCAAATGAGCTACAGTGCATGAGAGGGTGGTGGTGATGAGAATCTAGGGAAAGATGAGGCACAGGGGGACTGATTCCCAAGATTCTGACCTAGGTGACAGCTGTGAAGAGCAGTGCCACTCTCAGGACAGAGCTCATAAGGCAGAGGTACCACTCTGGCACAGACATAATGCAAACTGGGAATAAAGAAGAACAGAGAGCTCAGAAATCCCCTTGCACATAGATGGGGCTTTGGTAGATGGCAAAGAGGCACAGCACCTCAGTGATGAGAGACTACTAAGGAATTAGAGCTAGAAAAATTGGCTACCAACACGGGGAATGGAAATATTGTATTCTATCACATTCTATACTCAAAATCAACTTCAGATTGATAAAGACTTGAATGCCAAATGGCAAGTTTTACAACTTACAATAAAATAAACAAGAATACCTTTTTGACATTAGGGTAAAGCAACATTTTTTCCACAAGGTACAAAATCATTAATCACGTAAAAAAAAAACATAAATCAGACTACGCTATGTAAGGAACTCATTGAACAAAAGATACTTTAAAAAGAGTGGAAGGACAAAATTAAAAACTAGAAGAATATACCGGCAGCAAATGTAACTGATAAAAGATAGGTATCTATAATGTACAAAAATAAAATCAAAAAGAGAAAGCCAAAGAAGTTAATTGAAAAAAAGGCATTTATCACCAAATAACATCTCACAGAAGAAAATATAGATTGGCTCAGAATCATGAAAGACACTAAACCACCCTACCAATGAGGAAAATGCAAATCAAGAGCACAACAGATAATATTTTGTGTCCATTTAATCGGCAAAAATTGAGGGGCCTTATAGTTTCAAGTATTAGATAGGATATGGATCAATGGAACCTTCCAAAAATTCCTGAGAGGAATTTTTTGATATAGGCCCTTTAGAAAACAATGAGAATGATCTTGCAAACTAGAACATTTGCATAATCTATAATCCAATTATTTCACTCCAGAAACATCAAAAATGTGTCCCTACACATGTGAAAGATGAACAACATACATAAATGTCCACAGCATCACTGATATAAAAACATGTAAACAATTAAGTGCTCAGACAGTGAATGAATATATGAATACACTGTGAACCATGAACACTGAATTGTTGAATTTTCTTCAAGGGTAAGGAAGTTGAGCATATTTTTATGTTGAGTACAGAAAGGATGAAGTTACAAAACAAGCGGAATATAAGTGAAGAAAAAACGTCCATGAAAACGTATAATATAAACTCTTGAAAAAACTGGCCGTGGCCAAGGGTAAGACCTCTTCCACCAGGGGAAAAGAGAAGCTACCGATATGAGAGGTTGAGAGGAATGTGTAAGGACTGCCGATTAAACAATAGAAGTAGATGACACTGTCAACACGAAAACCTGCTAATACATCAGCAGTCATATGCTGAGTTGCTGGGGAAATATTAACTGTCTGGAACAAGGTCTGAATGCTGGAGTACCCCACGCAGGACAAAGAGCTGACCAGAGGCACAAAGCAGATACAGAGATTAAGTTTTGGGAGTCTATTAACATCCCCTAGAAAAAAGATGATAAGAGTTTAGAGTAAGACCATAAGGGGGCCGGGCCCGGTGTCTCACGCCTGTAATCCCAGCACTTTGGGAGGCCGAGGCGGGCAGATCACCTGAGGTCGGGAGTTCGAGACCAGCCTGACCAACATGGTGAAACTCCATCTCTACTAAAAATACAAAATTAGCCGGATGTGGTGGTGCATGCCTATAATCCCAGCTATTCGGAAGGCTGAGGCAGGAGAAACGCTTGAACCTGGGAGGCGGAGGTTGCGGTGAGCCGAGATCGCGCCATTGCACTCCAGCCTGGGCAACAAGAGCAAAACTCCATCTCAAAAAAGAAAAAAGCAGAAGGATAGGTCTCATGGAGGTGATAGAGGGATGAATTCAGGAGGCATGCATGACGTGAAATCGAAAGGCTGTGGAGATAGGCTGGATGCAGGGACTCATGGAGGTGGAGGGGTTGACTTGTCTGAGGTTGGGGCCAGTCCCCTAATCTGCCTGGATGGCAGAACCATTCACGGAAACTTGGGAGGTGGCAGGAGTGAGCAAGATCATGGGTTCCTTGTTAGGCATGTTGAGTTTTGTGCTTTTGAGATTTTCAAGTGCAGATGTGGCACTGAGGAGGGGACAATCTGGAACAGACTCTGAAGGGCTGAACAGGGACTGCACAGACACTCAGGGTTGGATGAGCAGCTCAAGGAACCCACGCGGGCAGAGGCCAAGGCTCTGCAGTGGCACCAATCCACACACATGACAGATGGCCTCAGTGCCCTCAGCAGCCTGAGTGTGGGACACAGAAGGTCAAATGTCACCCTGAGGTTTTTGGAAAACAGGAGATATAGGAAGACATGGGCAAACTACTGCTTCTTAGTGTCTGATTGACACTCAGGGAATGGGTGGAAGGAGAAGGTGGGAGAGGCTGATAGGCAGAATATAAGTGGAAAGAGAAATTGGGAGAGTAAGAAAGGCCCTATTCCCCAGAGTTCAGAAGGAAATGTAACGTATCATCACTCATCAATGTTTATATGACATGAGTAACACTCATAGCTTATTTTGATAAGTCACTTACTATGGCTCAGAAACTATGCAGTTTTATGCATTAATGTATCACATGATTACAACTTCAAACTGCCCAATGGCATAAAAATAATGTTTTTCTTTTTTGTTTTTTATAAAAATAATTTCTAATATCATTTTTCAGGAACAGACTGAGTGTAGTGGACTGAGTAGGTGCTCACCAGACCATCTGCTCTTCTCCTTGGACAGGCAGCTCAGCCACAATTCCTAGACTCATGGACCCAAGTACAGCCAAATGCCCAGTTCCCATGGGTGAGATGTGAGGGGAGGTCTGGAAGTGGGTATGACTTTCCTTATTCCCTTAATTCTCTACCAGCAAGAAGATGTCAGGACAACCTTAAAGCAACAGGTTGATGACAGAAGGACTCTAGGTCCTGAATAACTGTGTGGTACAGAGTTCCCTGCTGACCCACACAGACCTTGGTATGAGTGAAAAAGAGTTTTCATGTGTGAATCATTTAAATTTTGGAGTTTGTTGGATACAGCAGTTGGTATTAACTTAGCCAAACTCATATACAAACTTCACTGGGGTCACAGAGTAGATGACTGGCTAACCAGGGTTCCGGCACACAAGGCTGCAGCCCCAGGACCAGTCTCAGTTCACACACCTCACTCCTCCCCAGGAGTGGCGACAAGTGCGATGGGGCTGGGAGGACGGAGAAACCACAGGTTAAAGGGCTCCAAGGCTCCCAAACCCTTAGAGAAGCCACAGTGAGAAGCTTCCCAAGAGATCCCAGGGCCAGTGGTCTCCTCGAAGTCTCAAGCCAGCAGGGACTCCGACCTGCCCAGATCTTGGCTCCTACCTGGACAGGTGCCTTGGGAGAGGTCTTCCTTCCTGGTCCATGGCTCCTGCCCATGCTCTAGGTGGTAGATCAGCTCAGGTCTGGGAACAGGACACCCTGTTTATGGAGAAAGCAAGTGGACACATGGATGTGGGTGAAAAGAAATAAAGACCTTCAATCTAGTCTGGGACTTCAGGATGGGGACCAGACCTTGGAATGAAGCTACACCCATCCATGGGAACAAAAAGTTAGCACGTGATCTAGAAACCAAGGGCAGGGCATGTCATGCTGCCACAGAATCTCTACTCCTAATAGTAAGTCAAAAACTAGTATTTATAGGCTATAACCATGTCCAGGGGACTATGCCAAGCATTTAAATGCATTAAAAAGTGAACAATATTTATGGAATATCTTAGAGAAAAAGTGATACACTTTAAATATTAAACATTGATTATTTTCATTCAGAACAAGGTATGTATCTTCACTTATCTAAGTCTTTTTTTTTTTTTTTTAACATCCTAAGCAATGTTTTATAATGCTCTTCCTCTAAACCAAAGACTAAATGCGTCTGTTGCCCAGGCTGGAGTGCAGTGGCGCGATCTCCGCTCACTCAGCCTCCTGAGTAGCTGGGACTAAAGGCGCGTGCCATCATGCCTGGCTAATTTTTTTGTATTTTTAGTAAAAATGAGGTTTCACTATGATGGCCAGGCTAGTCCTGAATTCCTGACCTCAGGTGATCCACCCGCCTAGGCCTCCCAGAGTGCTAGGATTACAGGCGTGAGCCACCATGCCTAGCCATTAAATGAGGATTCCAGTTGAGGATTTCCTCACGGTATACCCAGGAAGTCCATATCATAATCAACACCATTTTGTTGACAAAGAAACCCAGGCTCGGGGAGGTAAAGTGATTTGCTGAAGAGCACAGAACTGGAGAATGGCTGAGTCAATAAGGAAACCCAGGTCCTGCCATCTCTGTCTGTGCTGTTTAACCACAAAGCTCCACAACGCTGCCCAGAAAGTGCCAGGTCAAGGCATGCCAACGACAATAATCATGATGAGGACGACGGTAATAGTACTGGTGGAAACAGAGATTGTAATGGCTCCCTGCACGCAGCCTGGTCTCCCAGGTGCTGTTCTGAGCCTTTTCATAAAATAACCCTTGACCCTGGCAACAGCCCTGGGATGCGAATATGGTTAAGTCCTCATTTGAACAATGAGAACACTGAGGCACAGGCAAGTTCAGTAACTTGCCCAAGGCCATGGAGTTTTTAAAGAGCAGAGCTGGGGCTGGACACCAGCGTTCTGGCTTCAAACCCTACTCTCCCAAGAAATACAGTAAGGAGGAAACCACGAGCACCAGAGTGGGTGGCAGAGGGTGGTGACGAGGCAGAGATGTGAGCTGGAGGATTCATCCTCAGGGACCAGCGGCCAGGATGAGGGGCAGGTCAGTGACTCCAGACCCCAGCATTTCACGAACCATTAAAATATTTAAAGACTGAACATCCTACTGTGATATGGTGACATAAGGATATTTACAGAAACTTCATATAGCAGCGCAGTGGCTCGCATCTGTAGTCCCAGCTACTGGAGACGGTAAGGTGTGAGGATCGCAGTGAGCTATGATCTTGCACCACTGCACTCCAGTCTGGGAGACAAGAGTGAAACTCCATCTCAAAAAAAAAAAAAAAAGTTCACAAGAGAAGAATTTTTTCTACACAAAAACATTCAGTGATAGCTTCATAAAATGAAGGTGTTTCATCTGTGCTGAGTAAGTTAAACTGGATGAGGGACTCACAGGAGTGGCTAAATTTTCCTTACTTTGCTGAGGACAGGGATCCTGTGAGAATAAATGGAGCATGAACACTGCCTGGAACAGGCCTGAGACACCCAATCAGTGCTCTGGGGATCTGGACTGTTAACTGCTTTTCTTTTTTTTTTTTTTTTTTTGAGACGAAGTCTCGCTCTGTCATCAGGCTGGAGTGCAGTAGCGCGATCTCAGCTCACTGCAACCTCCAACTCCCTGGTTCAAGTGATTCTCCTGCCTCCACCTCCTGAGTAGCTGGGATTACAGGCATGCGCTACCACACCCAGCTAATTTTTGTATATTTAGTACAGACGGGGTTTCACCATGTTGGCCAGGATGGTCGCTATCAACTGACCTCGTGATCTGCCTGCCTTGCCCTCCCAAAGTGCTGAGATTGCAGGCATGAGCCACCATGCCCGGGCTGCTTTTCTTAAAAGTGATCCACTTTTTATTTTTCTTAGATTTCTTCAAAAATGGAATCCTTATCACTCTGGTAAATGGAAAATCCAGAGTCACTTGTCTTGATGGCAGGTAACCATGAAAATGTAGCAATAAATCAAAACAACGTATACAAAAATTAGCTGGGCGTGGTGGCACCTGCCTGTAATCCTAGCTACTCAGGAGGCTGAGGCATGAGAAATGCTTGAATCCAGGAGGCACAGGTTGCAGTGAGCCAAGATCAAACCACTGCACTCCAGCCGAGGCAACAGCGAGACTCTGTCTCAAGACAAACAAACAGTGCTCTTTGGTCCCTGTGAGCTCATGCTGCTTGTTCAGGGCTGTGAGCCTAAGGCTGCTCCCTCTGTAGAAAAGGGGAAATTACCAACAGTTTGCAGGACGTTAAGTCTCAGCACTAAACCAGAGTTTTCCTCAAATGCTAAGGAGACAAGACGAGAAGAAATAAAAGAACAACTTCCTCAAGTGTCTCTCAGCACCAGCTGATGTAGTGTCTGTCCAAGCACTCTCTGAAAAAGAGCTTCTCGCCTTAGCACAATTGACATTTAGGTCCAGGTAATTCTTTGTTTGTGAGATCGGGGGAAGAGGAGGAGAAAGGATCTGTCCTGTGCATTATAAGGATGTTTAGCAGCATCTCCACCCACTAGCTGTCAATGTTATCATCTTAGGTTTTTTTTTTTTTTGAGATGGAGTCTCGCTCTGTCGCCCAGGCTGGAGTGCAGTGGTGCAATCTCAGCTCACTGCAAGCTCCGCCTCCTGGGTTCACGCCATTCTCCTGCCTCAGCCTCCCGAGTAGCTGGGACTACAGGCACCCGCCACCACGCCCGGCTAATTTTTTGTATTTTTAGTAGAGACAGGGTTGCACCGTGTTAGCCAGGATGGTCTCTATCTCCTGACCTTGTGATCCGCCCATCTCGGCCTCCCAAAGTGCTGGGATTACAGGCATGAGCTATCGCACCTGGCCCATCATCTTAGTTTTAACAACCAAAATGTCTCCACACATTGCCCAGTGTCCACTGAAGCTCAACATCGTCCCTGTTTGAGAAACACTAGCTTAGAAAGACATTAAAAAGGTAAAGGGAGGAGGCTATGGTGAGAAAGGGGCCTCCCCAAGATTCGGTGGTCAGGGAAGGGCTGGGTGAGGAGGCAAGTGGTGCTGAGAAGGGGCGGCCATGTGAAATGCTGAATTACCCTGAGAACACTCATCAAAGAGAACAGCAAATGCAATGGCCTGAGGTGGGTGGGCACTTGGGGAAATAGCAAGAAGCCCAGCAAGGCTGCAGCAGAGTGACTTTAGAATCAGAGGATGTGAAGGTGATTGAAGGACGTGAAGGTTGTTTAGAATAACACCTGGTGGGACGGAAGGTCAATGTCTCCTTGGGGCCTGCCTGACTCAACCCTTCTTAGTGAACATCCCACCAACCCTTACACCACAGACTGGGCTGTGGAGCAGATACATGAGCAACCAGGCCCACCCAGGCAGATCCCGCTCTGGAACTCAAAAAAAAAACTGCAGACAGAGGCCAGTCTATGCTGGGCAGTGGGTGAGAGATGGAGGCAAGTATGAGCTGGAGGTGGAGCAGCATTTGCTGCCTCAAACACGCCCCACAGAGGCCAGAGAAACAGACAAGAAATCTGGAGGGGAAGGAGGGGTCACAAACAGTAAAACCTGGGGTGGTTACTCTTCCCCTGAACTCGCTGAGGCAGAAAAAACCATACAGAGTAGACAGTGACATGAGCAGACCCAGACAGAGAAACCAGGACCCCATCGTGGCGGTTCTCAGTTCCTACTTCAACCCCTCATAACATACAGCTGGCAATCCTACCTTTGAGGTCTGCAAAACACCCCATTTCCTTCCACCAGCTTCTCTCCTTTGGCTGAGAGCCAAAGAGTACTCTTATTTCTTGTCCAAAGCGATGCATGGAGACTGTATAGGAAGAGGTGAGTGTAGGCCAGGCGTGGTGGCTCACACCTGTAATCCCAGCACTTTGGGAGACCGAGGCGGGCGGATCACCTGAGGTCAGGAGTTTGAGACCAGCCTGGCCAGCATGGTGAAACCCCATCTCTACTGAAAATACAAAAATTAGCCAGGCATGGTGGTGGGCACCTGTAATCCCAGCTTCCCAGCTACTTGGGAGGCTGAGGCAGAAGAATCGCTTGAACCTGGGAGGCGGAGGTTGCAGTGACCCGAGTTCGTGCTAATGCATCCAGCCTGGGTGACAGAGTAAGACTCCCTCTCAAAAAAAAAAAAAAAAAAAAAAGGAAGAGGTGAGTGTTGTAGAAAATGACTGAATTTGTGGGAAGGAGGCAAGGCCAGTAAGAGAGGACTTCTTGACCCATCAGGCCTGGAGTCAGAGGGTGGAACGAAGGAGGTGGCAGATCCCCTGCATGGTGGAGGGGGAAGGCCTTACCCAGAGATACCAGGAGCCCACAGTTTTCCAGCATCACCTCCTGGTACAGGGTCCGCTGAGCTAGGTCCAGCTGGCCCCACTCCTCCTGGGTGAAAGTCACAGCCACATCATCAAAGGTCACAGACACCTGAAATGTCAAATAGAGGTAGTAGAGTTTGCTGTGGGACTATTGCATGTGCTTTGCTGGAAAAGGTGCAACAAGATCAAGGCCCAAGTCACTGAGGGCCTCCTGAGGGCCTAACTTTGTACCAGGCTGAAGGAGGAAGGCAGACATTGCTTTGGACAGATTACTGTAATGTAAAAGAGAAAAGCCTCCTATATAGGAGCCATCAAAGAATAACAGAAGACAATGGCAATAACTCGTGGATGGCGAGATGTAGACAATTAGAGTTCGAGGACCTCAAAGAAATGAGGAAATAGTGACAATAATAATAGCAATAATGTTGACAACCACAGTGCCTGAGCCTCACTGGTCCAGCTCATGCTGAAGCTTCATGTTCTGTTTTAAAGCAACTACAAGTCCCAAACTCTGAAGTCAGACTTCTCAAGTTTGAATCCAAACTCCTGAAACTGACACTTGCCAGTTTTGTGACCTCAGGGACCTCATTTATCTCTGCCTCAATTTTCAGATGAATACAGAATTCCCATTTTCCCAATAACAGACATGAGTTATTCAGAGCTTACTGGACTTTGGGATTTTATTAATCCTCCCACAGCCCCTGAAGTATTACTAAACACCACCGCCAATCACCTCCATGTCACAGTCACTGACCTGAGGCTAAGGGAGCTCCACAGATTCTCCTAGTCTTTTGTGTTTTCTGTTTGTTTGTTTCAGAGACAGGGTCTCACTCTATTACCCAGACTGGAGTGTAATGGCATGCTCAGAGTTCACTGTAACCTTGAACTCCTGGGCTCAAGCAATCCTTCTGCCTTAGCCGCCCAAGTAGCTGGGACTACAGGAACGCACCACTGCGCCCAACTATTTCTTTTTGGTAGAGCTGGGATCTTGCTATGTTGCCCAGGCTGGTCTCGAACTCCTAGCCTCAAGTGATCCTCTCACCTCAGCCTCCCACAGCACTGGGGCTACAGGTGTGAGCACCAAGTTCAGCCAGAGTTTTACATGTTATAAGCATGATTTATATATAAGAGACAGGATTTTAACCCAGGTCCCTCTGCTTCAGGGTTTAATACTGTGACCCCAATAATCCTCCACCACCCACGTGAATCTACTATAATACAGTTGTGAAGCATTTCTACATATTTTTGCTATTTAATCTATTTTAGCAGCTCCTGAAAATATCCCCAAGATGTGGGCAAAACCCTCATCACCAAATTCACAAGTACCAAATGCCTGACGAGGGGCAGTGCCTGGACCAGCTCATCCTCTCCCCTGGACCCCAGGGAGATTGCATAATGAACCATTAGCCTTTTCCTTCCCTGAGTCCTGCCAGCAGGTATCCCTAAGGCCAGTGTGCTTCAGGACCAGAAAACTCAAGTGGCTGAAGATAATGCAGGCTGTGGTCATGAGAACCCAGGCTTATGACTGGCCAAAATGCCCTATAGGCTGAAGGCAGGACGAACATCCAACAAAAGACCACAGGATTTTGCCCTTCCAGGCCATGTCTCAGCAGGTGGGGATGGGGGGAACCATGGTAACCTCATAAGTCCTCTTGGACCTCCTTAAACAACCAACACACTTTGCCTTTGTCTACACAGTCCTCTCTAGTGGAATGTCTGCCTTTCGCTTCCAATGGCCACTGTGACTTGCTGGAAAGACTGCAAAGTTCACCTCAGGGCTTCTCAGCCAACTGTCTGTAAAAACAAAGGCTCTGGTGGTCCACACGCTAAATATGAGTTTGTTACTTAAGTGCTATGTGACTTTCAGCAGGTAACTAAACAGGTCGGAGTCTTGACCTCCTCTTGTGTACAGCAGTGTTTATAATAGAATGTCACTTTAAGGAGATCAGGATTAAATGAGATGATAAATAATGCCCATTTCTCAGTTCACATCAAGGACTCAATGAAGGCCAACCGTTACAGTTCTTGTGTTATTATTTATGCTCTTTGTCCCCACAAAATCCTTTAAGACCTCAACTCAGTAGGTGTCTAAAACTTTGCCAGATTCTCTATACAAAAACGCTAGACCAAGGGCAGGTGAGAAGGGGACTACTTTAGTCTGAACTGCCATGAAAGGCCGCTTTAAAGAAGTGACATTTGAGCAGAGCCAACAAGATGTGAAAGGGTCTTGCAGAGATCTGAGGATAGTGTCTGAGGCTGAATGAACTGTAAAGGTGAAGGCTGAGGGGTAGGAAAGAACTCTGCGTGATCAGATTGATATGTCTGAAGGGCTGAGCCAGGGAGGAAAGGAAGGAAACAAGGACAGAGGTGGTCAGCCATAGTGGACCTGTGTCTGAAGCGCTGAGCCAGGGAGGAAAGGAAGGAAACAAGGACAGAGGTGGTCAGCCATAGTGGACCGGGTAGGGACTTGCAGGCCAAGGCTGAGTTCGGATGATGTGTGTGACGGGAGTCCCTGGAGTGGAACTTCATCCATCCTTCAAGCAATTATTAAGCAGCTTTCAGAGGCCTGACACTTTAGCAGTGGAAAGCTGCAGAAGGGCTAACTAGAAGTGGGGCATCGTATGTGATTGGTTAGGCTGAGCACGTATGGCTTTCTCTGCTTGGTCCTCTTTTGGAGGCGGAGGCAAAAATTAGAACAGTCAGTTACAAATCAAGTCCTATTTGGGGCCTACTGTTCCAGGAGTTACCGTTTAGCCTCCTGAAATGTCACCAGAGAGTAATCTAGCTCCTTGCAAGACTAACTTAAGGCAGACTGGCTTCCAGAGTAGTTTATTGCAGAACAGGAGGCTGGTTTCCTGGGCAGGTTGCTACAAAAAAATTGTACGTCACAGCCCTATAATCGATGTATAGTCTGCCTACTGTCCGCTTCAATATTCAGTCTCTCAGGTACTACCACGACAGGAGATAAACTAAGTGACGAGCCTGCTCCACGTTTCGTAAACAAACAAAACTACAAAGAGGAATCCTGTGGCTGTCTTGGCTTCCGGCCTGCCCAGGAGGCTTCCCCGAACTAGCAGAAAAGCAGCAAGGCCGAAACCTTGTCCACTCACCTGCGCCGGGTCCGTCAAAGCCATCGCCATACCGGGACCCTGTGGCC